>NC_000007.14:158709843-159022908 GCF_000001405.40 Homo sapiens | reverse complement strand
CCAGCTCTCACACAGGCCTGTGGACCCCGCTAAGCCGGCTGGACGCCAGGCCCTGGACAGTAGACTGTGAGCTCCCACCCAAAGTGTGAGACCCGGTGTCATCAAGAGCCGGGTCCTGCAGCTGCCTAGATCCTCCCCAAAGCCTCCTTGGCTGTTGGCCAAGTCTGTTTCACAGGGAACCCTCCCTGATGACGCAGTCTGCAGTGTGGCCACATCCTGACTCTAGGGCACTGGGAAATGCATATTTATTTGCTCGAATTTTCCATAGAATTTCACAAAAGGGGAGATAATACAGAGTTTGCAGTTCCAATTTGGCCAAAGATTCAACCAAAACACTTTTTTGGCCTAAGTTTTTTAAAGGTCCAGGAATACTTTTCCTACTCTATAGGCACTCCCAGCACAGGTGCACCATGCCAGACGGGGCCCCGCGGTTTACATGCATGACGGGTTTCGGCCTCCCAGCACCACCAGGACAGACTGAGTCAGCAGTGCCTAGGAGTGAATGCCAAGCCCTGCTCCGCACACGGGACCTCAGGGCAAGACCCTCCAGTCGCCATGCTGTGAGGATGGATGGGCAGCCCCAGAGCCAAGCCTGGCGCCACCAGTGCCCAGCAGGTCTCCGCTATTACTTATTTCTTCTTAGGGGAAGAAATTCTAATCTCCCTGCAGGAGCTTAAGTAAATACGAAAAATAACACTTTGAACACTGGCAAAAGGACAAAAACAGATAACTGATGTACACAAGACTGTAGAAAGCAAAAAGAATAAGGGAGAATTACACTCTCCAATAAGCAAAAGAAAACTAAAGCTGGGGGCCATAATTGGCTATAAAAATGACACACATCCCAGGATAGGGCGGTGAGGTTACAGTTGTATTATGTAGTGTGATATTATAAATTTGGATTTCATGGTTTTACTGTATCATAGTCTTATAATACAATATAAAACTCACTTATGTCCAGGCATGATGGCTCATGTCTGTAATCCCAGCACTTTGAGAGGCCAAGGTGGGCAGATTACCTGAGGTCAGGAGATCGAGACCAGCCTGGCCAACATGGTGAAACCTCGTCTCTACTGAAATACAAAAATTAGTTGGGCATGGTGGTGCATACCTGTAATCCCAGCTACTCAGGAGGCTGAGGCAGAAGAATTGCTTGAGCCCAGGAGACAGAGGTTGCAGTGAGCCAAGATTGTGCCATTGCACATTGCACTCCAGCCTGGCTGACAAAGGAAGACTCTGTCAAAAAAAAAAAAAAAAAAACTAATATAGCTTATTATTATGCCATATTTATTTACTCTATAAGCTAAATATATTATAAACTTAGAATGTTCATTCCATTCAACCCAGTAATTTCATTGCTAGGAATTTTTCCAGTTAAATATTCAGAATTATGCACAGTGATTTGTGTATGAGAATGGTCATCATGGTGTTATTTGTAATATCAAATAATTGAAAAGCAAAATATCTGATTATTAACTGATTAAATAAATGGTAGTTGGGAATACAGAGGCAGACTGGCTTGGAGGGGCCCTTTAAAGGAGGATATGTCCTGGCTGTCACTGTGTACAAGGTGCACCCACTCAGCAAGTGCAGACAGGAGGCAGACAGGCTGGGGTGGAAAAGGGCAGGTCCCCAGTGAAGCCCCACCTTCAGGCTGGGGAAGGCCTGAAGCCTGGGGGCCGGGACGACAGCCCCATGGACCACAGGGGGCGCTTGTTCTTTTTCCTGGGCCCGCCCATGGCCACCCATGGACCAATCAGCACACACTTCCTCCCCTCTGAGGCCCATAAACACCCTGGACTCAGCCAGACTCAGGGAGAGGACCAGAAGACCGGCCTGCAGAGAGGAGTTACTGAACGAAGTCTGAATGATGGGGAAGAGTGAACCACAAGCAGAAGAAACCATGAAATATGTGGTGTGATTTGAGAGGCATGTACCAGCCTCAGAATAGTGCTCTTGGAGCAGGCAACTTGGAATCCATTGTGCATTGCTTGCAGTAATTCACTCTGCCAAGCAAACCATTAATAATGCAGCACAAATTATGTTATCTAATTACTCACCTAGCAAGGATATTGAGTGATGAAATTTAGGACAGCCACTTTTTGATCGTAAGAACTGGGGAAAAGGGAAAGTTCAGCTCATCTAACATGAGTGGTTTTATTATAATGGAAACAACTGACATATCTTGACTTCCAGCCGGGTGTCTCTCCTTAGAAATCTTCCCCTGGATATCCCATCCTGTATGCAGCATCTTCTTCCCCTTGCATAGGACTCCCAGCTGGGCATCTCTTCTTAGAAATCTTCCCCTGGATATCCCATCCTGTATGCAGCATCTTCTTCCCCTTGCATAGGACTCCCAGCTGGGCATCTCTCCTTAGACGTCTTCCCCTGGATATTCCATCCTGTATGCAGCATCTTCTTCCCCTTGCATAATGAAAGAAGGTCAGTTCATCAGGAAAGCATAACAATCCCAAATGTGCATGCACCTGATAACAGAGCTTCAAGATACATGAAGCAAAATTAACTGAAAAGAAATAGATCCACATGGTTGAGGTTTTAATGCACGTCTCTCTGTGTCATTGATACAGCAGACTAAGAAAATCTGTAAGAATATAGAACATTCAAACAATAATATTAACTAACAATATTAACCAACTTGACCTGATCAGCACACAGAGAACATTTCACCCAACGACTGCAGAATCCATATTTTTTTCAAGTGCACATGAACATTCACCAAAATGGACCATATACTAGACCATAAATCAAGTCCTGATAAATTCCAGAGGAATGAAACGATACAGAGTAGGCTCTGACCATAATTAAATTGCACTAGAAATTAATAACATAAAAATGCCAAATATTTGAAGTTAAGTAATGCATATCTAAATATATCAAAGAAGAAATCACAAGAGAAATTTCAAAATATGTTGAGCTGAATGCGAAGAAAAACACATCAAAATTTGTAGGATGCAACTAAAGGAATCCTTGCAAGAAAATTTGTAGCTTAAAATATAGATATTAGAAGGGAAAAAAGATTAGAAAAATTAGTTCATTTTGTTGGAAATACATTTGAAAATATTTAATTCCATGAGAAAAAAGCAAAGCCTAATTTTTTTTTTTACACGAAGTCTCACTCTGTTGCCCAGGCTGGAGTGCAGTAGCACAATCCTGGCTCACTGCAGCCTCCCCATCCCGGGTTCAAGAGATTTCTCGTGCCTCTCAGCCTCCCAAGTAACTGGGATTACAGGCGCGTGTCACCACACCTGGCTAATTTTAGTATTTTTTGTAGAGACAGGGTTTCATGATGTTGGCCAGGCTGGTCATGAATGCCTGACCTCAAGTGATCCACCCGCCTCACTCTCCCAAAGTGCTGGGATTACAGGCATGAGCCACCACGCCTGGCTGCAAAACCTTATTTAAAGTGAAGCAATGATCTGTTCGTCAATCAGGTCTCTGGGCTCTTCCTGTCAGGCATCACACAAGATGCTTGTTGCTGTAGCAACCACTAGGGAAGGTGAAATAATAACTGAGGGCTCTTCCACAGAGAAAAATTTTCAGGTTTTGTTTTTAGGAGCTCTTTTCATTCAGATCATTGTGTTCTCAAATGGCACACAGATCTGGCTTGACGCCAATGTCAAATGAAGCAAACATTTTCCACCCACACTATCTGCCCACACTTCCTCTCCCAGTTGGTGAGAACATGGACTCACTGCTCCCCCGAGTGAGGAACAGCACCAGACCCCCAAGATCTTCACAGTGGTGCCACAGTGATTGGAGTTCTGCGGGGACCCAGGGAAACATGCTTTCTTCATGGGCTACTCAGCTCTGCAGATGCTCTTGTCAGTAAAAACCAACCCCAGGCCCCTGAATACATATTAGGAAAGGAATGACAGAGACATAAAAAGGGGGACAAGACCCCCACAATAAGGGGGACAAAACAGAGACACAATCGGAGAAATGAGACCGAGACACAGTGGGGGAGATGAGACAGACACACAATGCGGGGGGTGAGACTGAGACACAATGGGGGGGTGAGACTGAGACACAATGGGGGGGACGAGACAGACACAATGTGGGGGTGAGACTGAGACACAGTGGAGTTGAGACAGACACAATGGGGGGTGAGACAGAGACACAATGGGGAGTTGAGACAGACACAATGGGGGGTGAGACAGAGACACAATGCGGGGAGGTGAGACAGAGACACAATGAGGGGTGAGACTGAGACATAATGGGGAGTTGGGACAGACACAATGGGGGGTGAGACTGAGACACAATGGGGAGTTGGGACAGACACAATGGGGGGTGAGACTGAGACACAATGGGGAGTTGGGACAGACACAATGGGGGGTGAGACTGAGACACAATGGGGAGTTGGGACAGACACAATGGGGGGTGAGACTGAGACACAATGGGGAGTTGAGACAGACATAATGGGGGGTGAGACTGAGACACAATGCGGTGGGTGAGACAGAGACACAATGAGGGGGTGAGACTGAGACACAATGGGGGGATGAGACAGACACAATGTGGGGGGTGAGACAGACACAATGGGGAGGTGAGACTGAGAAACAATGTGGGGGATGAGACAGACACAATGTGGGGGGTGAGACTGAGACACAGTGGGGGGGGATGAGACAGACACAATGAGGGGTAAGACAGAGACACAATGGGGGGGGTGAGACTGAGACACAATGGGGGGTGAGACTGAGACACAATGGGGGGTGAGACTGAGACACAATGGGGGGTGAGACTGAGACACAATGGGGGATGAGACTCACACACAATGGGGGGTGAGACTGAGACACAACGGGGGGTGAGACTGAGACACAATGTGGGGTGAGACTGAGATAAAATGGGGAGTTGGGACAGACACAGTGGGGGAGCTAAGGCTGAGACACACTGTAGTGATGACACAGACACAGTGGAGGGGATGAGATTGAAGCATAAAGGGGACAGAAGCCGAGACATGATGGGTGAGGGGTTGAGAGTAGACAGAATGTGGAGGAGAGTGAGACTGAGAAACCATGTCAGAAACCACAAGCTAAATCAAAAGGGAAACAGTAATATGGAAAAATATATGCAAGAAATACGAAAAGGAGTTAGTATTCTTATGGTTGAGTCAGTAAGAGAAACACCAAGAGTCTAACAGATAGTAACAAATTACATAAATTTCAATCCAAAAAAACACAAATAAAAATGTTTAAGAAATATTCAAAAATTACCAATCCATTAAACAGCAACACTGCCACTTCCTACCTACTTAGTGGAACTCAAACATCTGAGAGAACACTTCGGAATACAGATGCCATTCTCAAAATTGAAGTTTTTCTTTGTTGACCAGGAGCATACTGAAGGGACCTGCCTAATTTTTACAGATGGCTGGGTCCTGAGACAGCCAGATGTCCCCTGGGCTGGCTGGAAGAGGGGATCCCAGAGCCCACACGGGTGTGGGAGCGACCGGGATGACCACTGCATGTAACCTAGGCAGGGAGGCCAGGCGCAAGACCGCACACCAGGAGTGGGGAGCAGAGCTCCCAGGTCCTTGGGCAGCTGACAGTTTTCAGTCAGCACCAGCTCAAAAACCTCACACTGGCCTGTCGTGGAAGTTGTGACGGAACAAAACTGTGTACACTTGGCCCGCACAGAGAGACTGGACGTCCACTCTGAGGTCTGCAGCGATGGAAGGGAAGGAGTGTATCTCATCCCGCACAGGAGACTGGACGTCCACTCTGAGGTCTGCAGTGATGGAAGGGAAGGAGTGTATTCTTGTCCCGCACAGGAGACCGGACGTCCACTCTGAGGTCTGCAGTGATGGAAGGGAAGGAGTGTATTCTCATCCCACAAAGGAGACCGGACGTCCACTCTGAGGTCTGCAGCAGTGGAAGGGAAGGAGTGTATCTCATCCCACACAGGAGACCGGACGTCCACTCTGAGGTCTGCAGCAGTGGAAGGGAAGGAGTGTATCTCATCCCATACAGGAGACCGGACATCCACTCTGAGGTCCGCAGCGATTGAAAGGAGGGCGTGTATTATCCCACACAGGAGACCGGACGTCCACTCTGAGGTCTGCAGCGATTGAAAGGAGGGCGTGTATTATCCCACACAGGAGACCAGACGTCCACTCTGCAGCGATGGAAGGGAAGGCGTGTATTCTCATCCCATACAGGAGACCGGACATCCACTCTAAGGTCTGCAGCGATGGAAGGGAGGGTGTGTATTCTCATCCCGCACAGGAGACCGGACGCCCACTCTGAGGTCTGCAGCGATGGAAGGGAGGGCATGTATTTGCAGGGTGCCAAGCAGGAGGGTGGGGCAGCTCCGCCTAAGTCCTGAACTCCCCACTGGCTGCAGACAAGGGTTCTAAAGGCAGCAGCGAATTTCAGGAAAGCAGAAGCTGCAGGCAAAGTCGTCAATCAGGACGTTGGGCGTACACGTGGGTTTTGACCTAAAAGGGTGGGAGATCTCGAAGTGAGGACTTAGGGGTCATCAGAGGATTCAAGGATTTCCTGATTTGTAGTTGGTTAAGGAAGAGCAGCTTTGTTTAAAAATTGGGGTCGGCAGAGAAATTGTTAACCGACTCAGGGGTGTGGCTCCCTCCAAGCCCCTCAAGAAGAAATTTAGACCCAAAGAACAGTGATCAGAGGTCAGCCTCCCGTTCCCCCCATCTAAGGTCTCTTCGTGGGGGTCCGCAGTGGGGTCTGGGCTTCTGAAAGGCAGCTCGGGGACATGTGTGAAGATGGGATCTTTAGAGTCTACAGAGAAACAAAAATCTCTGGACTCACTCCCCTGGCTGCTGACTTGGGCTGCCCGTAACCTTCTTGCTTATCAGGTTGTTCATTTACAGGCGAGCTGGCTTCCCCTTGAAGGAACTCTTTGCAGGGGGCTGGAGGACTGCAGGCCTCTAACAAGGGAGTCCCTGCTCCCTCTCAAAATGAACCCTTGATCCTTGGAGGGACTGTGAACTTTAACGTCCACACTCCGCAGGCCTTGAGGTGTCTGGGGACAGCCCCCCTTCCCACCGCCCGGGGGCGGCCCCTCCTCCGCACCCTGGGCAGAAAGAACGCGATGCCGTCATCCTCAACACGTGGCTCGGGCAACGGTTGAAATGGAGAGTTTTCAAGAATTATTTTTAATAAAATAAACCCTGAGGTCAGAGACTGGTCATGTCAGGCCCCGGGGCAGAGACTGTTTACAGTCTTTGGTGCCTAAAGAAAGGTCAGAGAAATTCCAGGGCTGCCCTCCCTCCACAGGAGGTCAAGTTTCATCACCAAGGAGGCCCCTTCTGCAGCCTGTGGGCTCTTTAAAGACCACACCCCTGCCTGTGCCTGCGTCAGAGCCCAGGTTCCCCGCTCTGCCCCCACCAGCTACTGCCCTTGGGCCTGGCACTCTCCCCAGGAACGCCTGTGAACAGCACTGTCAGCTCATCTCCCTGGGCTTCTAGTCAGAAAGGCTGGTGTGCAGAGGCTCACAGGCCACCTGTGCTATTTAAACATCGCAGTCAACTCCCCTTTGCCTGTTCCTATAGAAAACAAGGTCTAACAGTCATCTCCTTCCTCTAAAATAAGCAAAGTGACATTGCAGACCGTGTATACTACCTATTCTGTGTATGCGCACGTGAGCATGGCTGGTCACCGAGGCACAAAGCGTTTAAGAAGGCCCTGCTCAGGCCCAGCTCATACTTGGGTCAGAGCTGGGGACCCTTTCATAGCAGCCCCCTGCCAGGAAGTGCCAGCCAACTAGTGGCCAGATTTCTGAGTCTCACAGACATAAAAAGTCTGAAAGGGTTGCCTGTTGTTTCATTTTGGCCAGTAAAGTCTCAAAATAGGAATGGCCAGCTTTTATCAACAATATTTCAAAAGGATTTTTTTTTAAAGGACTCTCTGTTGAAAACATTTCTGTTTAGAGCTGGAGAGTCTCTTGTCTAGAATTATCTCATCCCCTGAGAATAAGAAGCAGCATCTGGCGGAAACCCCAGACCCCGCCAAGAGTCTGCCGTGCCCACCACAGTCGTGGCACAGCGTGTGCACCAAGGGCCTGCCAGGCCCACCGCAGGCATGGCACGGCATGTGCACTTTTTTCCAGGTGCCTGAAGCCCTCTGAGCACACGAGAGGGACAAGGCTGTCAACTCTGGGCCACACTCAATCAGCTCACCCTCCCACAGCCCACGTACAGGGAGCTGGCCCAGTTTGGGTGGCCAGACCTGTCTCATCTCTGGATCCACCCTGGCCCCGGTCAATTATGTTCTAGAGTGTGGGGGCATTCATGGATTTATAGATGTGTAGAAATGATCAGTTCTGACCCCGAGCCTCCGTTCACACAAACCCCCAAGCGCAAAGCTCCCGGCAGAAGTGCGACAGGGGCTCTCCAGGCCCACAGCCGCCTTTGTGTCCACACATGACATCACTTCACTGTGGGTGTCCTGAGGAACACAGCGTCCTTGGAGGGTTCCCTGAGGTTGGCGTGACCACAAAGGACAGCTTACTAGCAAGGAGCTGCCCTCACCCCCAGAAACGGTCACAATAACTCACAAATTATAAACACCTGAAAATCCACCAGATCAGCCGTTCCAGAGCCCAGCATTAGGAGGATTTGGCTGGGAGAAAGCATGGAGGCTGTCATGGCTGGCATGGGAGGGGGCGCCGGGGACACAGGCCAGGGAGAAGTCCCGTCCCCAAGGCTGCCTCCCACACGGGCGAAGCCAGCACCTGCCCATGCCCTCTGGCCTCTACAGCCTTGCAGGGCCACAGAAGGGCCCAGCTGCTCACCTCCACAGCTCCTCCTTCCCAAGATACTTCCCACATATGATGTGACTCTGACCTCGGTCTCCCAAGGAGTCCCATGCATTCATCTGAGCAGGGCATGGGGAGGCAGCTGGCCGTGCTGAGCAGGAGGGTGTGTGGTGCCAGGGCCCAGGACAGGTCCGAGGTCTGCAGTGCCTGGGCAGGGCCTGAACAGAACATCTCCTATGGCCACTGCATGTCCGCCTCCCCCCACACCAGGTTTGCCCACTGAGGCCAGTGCCCTGGACACCAGCCAAGGGCCCTGCCATGCCCATGACTTGTGCAGACCCAAAAGAGGGACAAGGCCGAGATGATTTAATGGCCCAGGGGAGCCTGGAGACCTCATCTCCAGAAATTTTACCATAATGTTGCTTGAAAAATGCCAAAATAATACGTTTTAAGTCATTTCAAATCAGAACATAAAAAGCAAATGCAAAGATACAGAAGTGCACAAGCCCCTTTGACCCCAATGCGACCTCGACCCCAACCCCGACCTTGACCCTGACCCCAACCTTGACCCCCCGACCCAACCTCAACCCTGACCCTGACCCAACCCGACCCAATCCCCATCTTGACCCTGACCCCAACCTTGACCCCCAACCCGACCTCAACCTCAACCCTGACCCCAACCCAACCCAGACCCCATCCCAACCTTGACCCTGACCCCAACCTTGACTCCCAACCCGACCTCAACCTCAACCCTGACCCCAACCTGACCCCAACCCAATCCTGACCTTGACCCTGACCCCAAACTTGACCCCAACCCAACCTCAACCTCAACCCTGACTCCAACCCGACCCGACCCAGACCCAACCCCGACCTGACCTCAACCGTGACCCCAACCCTGACCCCGACCCCGACCTCGACCTCAATCCCAATCTGACCCTGACCCCAGCCCCGACCCTGACCTCGTCCCTGACCCGGGGAAGGGTGAGGCCGTTGCCCTCCTCCCAGCAGAGCCTGGGGCCCCCAACGGCAGCATCCTCCAAATGCTCCTGGGGATTAGGCAGGTCCTGCCATCATGAGGATTTGCTAAAACCCAGCCAGTGCCTTTCAGAAGCAGCCTCACAGAAACTGCAGGAAAGAGCCCATTCCTCGCCTTCTGCCATGAGCCCTCTGTGGTTTTAAGCATGGGAGAATTTGGAGAACAATGGTGAAAGGGAGTTACGTGGGGCTATGTTCTCTAAAGAAGTCCCTGGCTGCTGCCACCTTGCACTTGTGACCGATGCTGGGGCCAACAGGAAATGCCAGTGCCTGGAGCCCCAGCGGGGCCGGGCGCTCATCCAGACGTGCTGCAGATGAACTTGGCCCTTCCTCATTAAACTTCACTGTGTGGAACATAAACCTCGTGAATTTTGATTCTCTACTAATTTGGAAATGGGTACTACATAGACGGGCTTGGCTGAAGTTTGTCTTTGAGTTAAAGAAAAGTTTGTTTAAAAAATAAGCAGCATCAATAAAACTGCAAGAGTAAACCTCTTAACAATATCACTTGTGGAGGATAAGGCTAATATTTACTTTAAGATCTGACCATTTTGCTGAGTAACAGCTGTGTTCCAGGGATAAAATGTGGCCTGTGGTATGGTCTAGTGTGTGTCACTGGTACTGACGGAGTTCTGACAAGACTTGTCAGATGTAACTTATGTGACCTGCTAATCAGAAATCTTTTCGATATCATATTGAGGATATGCCCCAAGAATCACATTAATGGATCAATTTGAATTTCCACATGAGACCGAATGTAATGGAAGCACATTACCTAAGAAACTGTAAACGCAGACTTCCCTTTATTTTGCACTAGACTCCTTTCTAAGTAGTAGCAATGGTGATGTTTTTCATGCAAGCAAACACACCACAGCTTGCTGATAGTAATGAACAATGGGCATAATTTCCAGAGCCAGAGGCGCTCCCAACACATACATATAAATCTTAACTTAATTATGATACTAAAGAAAGTGAATTACAAAAGAGATAGCTAGAGATGTTTTTGAAGATGTTTCTTATTTTAACCAAGCTTGAGTTTCTTGGGGCAGAGAAAGAGATTGACGATGCTCAGAGATCTTGCTCATTGTGACAAATCAGGGACGCTGGACACAGGCAGCGCGTTCTGGCCACTATCCTTTCAAAACAGAGCTTCAAGAACAACCTTCTGCATTACAGATCCTCTGCCTCTTATCTTTGACTGAATACCAGATCTCATAGGGGACACAAGACAATTTTAAAAAGGAGCCATGTTCTAAACCATTTCACAGGCAGCTTCCTCCTTTGAAGACTCTGCATTTGACTTCCTGACACTGCATCTGCCCGGTCTCTAACAGCTTTTGTGTCACTCACATTGTGTTCTCCTCCACTAAGGAGTCTTCTCCTGGCTCAGGAGCTGTGTGGGCAAAGGTGGTGCACTGTGGGTGCTGAGCGCCTCCTCTCCTGCATTGTTCTTGCCCTGGGGGTGGTCGACCACTTTCCTCCCAGGCCATGCAGGGTTAATCCTCATCTCCTTCCCCTGCTCTGTGGTCCTGGCTCTTCCCGCCTCTGTGCCCAGCCAGCAGCACTGACCAGCAGCCTCTGCATCTGCCCTGTTGGGATTGATCGCCCTGACCTGGCTGTGGGCCTCTAAGCACATTCCAAAGGCCTAGGCCGTTCCTTCCTCCTCCTCCTGCAGAGCTGCCAAGCAAGCCTCACAGCAAACCCCTGTCCACTTCCTAAACACGCATTTGTAACAACAGACACTCTTGGGTCCCACCTCTCTTTGATGTGACCTTTTACATCCCTGCGGCCACCTTGTGATTTCTCCTGTGTCTTGACTGAGCTGATGCCCGTCTTTCACAGCCTGTGTGCAATTCTATCTCCTAAATACGTAACCCCTTCTCTGCCTCTTCCACACAGTGCCCTCCACACCCAGAATGCCCTCCTACGCCTCCCCTGCATTTCAGCCAACGCTCCTCTCCTCAAGGAAGCTTTTCCTAACCACCAACTGTGAACATTCCAGTCATCTGGGCTCGGCAGAGGTCTGCTTATGCATCCCTTTCCTGATTTGCCTCTCGCTGCGGTCAAACTGACAACCTCCACTCATCTTTTGCTCTTTTTGTGGGACTAGGTTATTAGACCTTCATGTGGGACCTGGGCCAGGAGTGCTGAGTGTTCAGGGAGAAAGCTTTCCAGCCACAGAAGTCCGTCTTGTTGGGCAGATATGGGAAAAGTTAAATACCAAGTCAAGAAATAAGCAGTATTTTTGTCATCTTTGCTGACACACAGATTGTCTTATTCATTTAATATTTTTTATTCCTGTGCATTAGGCACAGTCCTGGGTGTGGGAGAAACAACAGGAACCCAACCAGACAACGGTCCCACTCTCTGTAGTGGGTGGTAAGAGACATAATTGAGTGTGAGACACGGTCACGCGCCAAGGAAAACAAGAGGACCCAGGGAAGAGACGTGGGTGTTGGGGGCGCAACTACAGGCATGGCGTCAGGGCTGGGGGTTGGGGGCCAGTGGAGGGGGAAGGGGCCAAAAGCGTGGCAGGCGGGTGCAGGCATCTAGGGCCACAGCCTCCACTCCCCACTGTGCGGTGCAGGGCAGGGGTGTGAAGTGACCTGGCTCGTGGCACTCATCATCCCAGTGCTGTCCTGAGGACGGGGAAGAGCTGAAGCAGGCAGTCGGGTGCAACCCCAATAATCCAGTGAGAAACTGTGGCATTGGTAGTGGGCGCAGCGAGATTTGATCAGAGTTTGGATGTAAAAGTGACCTAAGACTTTGTTA
This sequence comes from Homo sapiens, assembly GCF_000001405.40. Lineage (NCBI taxonomy): Eukaryota > Metazoa > Chordata > Mammalia > Primates > Hominidae > Homo > Homo sapiens. The sequence continues at coordinate 159,010,365 of NC_000007.14, read as the reverse complement.
ATTAAAGTTTTCATGTAGAGTACAGATAACACAGTTGTAAATTTGGAGGACAGGAATCACTGAGCTGGTGGATAAGACAGCCTCATGGTAAGAAGCAAAGGAGAAGTCAGTCTCCGAGAAGGCGTAAGTGCAGTCAGGCGAGGGAAGCAGGAGGCCTCCCGGGAACCTGGCTGGCTCACTGTCCCAAACATGTTAGCTTCGTGCTGTGAGGACGCTTGCAACAACCACATCAGCGGGCATCCACAATGGTGTGGGATAGGAACCCCACTCTCGCAAATGGGGGGCATCCGCAACAGTGTGGGATAGGAACCCCGCTCCCGCAAAGCGGGGGCATCCGCCATGGTGTGGGATAGGAACCCCGCTCCCGCAAAGGATAATTCACGGAACTGGGGAAGTTTCGACAGGAAAGAAAAGATCTTCCTGTGTTTTCAGGAGAGAGAATGAGAAGCAGCCCATATTAACTATTCAAGTATGTTGAAAAGTTGTTACTAGGAAAAGATTATTATTGTCCTTGTCCTGTAACCAGAGGAAGAATTAGGACCTGTGGATACAAACCGCAGGGAGAGAGGTTTCAGTGTGGAAAATAGAAGCTGTTTCTTGCAATTAGAGCTGAACAAAAATAAATGGGCTGCTCAAGAAGAAGTGAGCTCTCCATCATTGGAGGTGCCAAAACTAGGTGGCAGAGGCAGGTGCAATGCTGCATTAGCCCAGAAGGCCAAGCATCCACGTATCACACGGAAGACCCAGATCATCTCAAGAATTCATCCTGTCCATGATTTCGTAAAACAGGGTCATCTCAACCCCACTGCCAATTCATGTGACCCATCCACTTGGTGGCACCTCTGTAACCACCCAAGTCTTCACACAGAGCCCTTGATATTGTGAGCCTACAGCTTAAGAAAACGGATACAGGTATAATATAATTACCTTTTCTGTTGTTTTTTCCTCAGATATGATGGGGTCAAGGAAATGGCAAGTTCCTATGGTCAGCCCTTCTTCTGGTAGGATTTTTCCTCCACTAGGATGGGTCTGAATCGGGGATGAAAGCGACTTCGCTTCTGAAAATCCAGAGCCTTTTTAAAGTAAGCCTTCATAAGGAAAACTGCGATTGTCCAGTCGATGGTTTGTTAACACACAGACCCCAGGAGACTGACCACCAGGCTGGGAAGTGTAACGGCAATGATTGAGGGCGTCAGACGTCCTCTGCCACCAGGTAGGGTGAGGTCCTCACAAGATGGAAGCCAAGTTGTCAGCTTAACAGAAGGAAAGACGCCCTCCATCTTCCACCATTAAGGTCTCCAGCGTTCACCTTCTTGGCAGGAAATAATCATTGAAAGTTATTTCTGAAATGTTGGTTTGACATTTAAAGTAGTAACTGGCATCTTCTGAAATATATTTCTGGTCTTTTGGGACTTCATCATTTTCCTGTGAAGCTTGACCTTTCAAATCCAGTGAACAAAAGTCCTGAGATTTGTAATGCATCACACCTGTGACACTTTGTCACCCATCAGCATTTTTGGCGTTGGCATTTTCCGAGTTTGCCTGATTTCTGAAGACCATGCAGATAACAGGTTCAGCTCCCAGATTCTCACTGCACGCAACCAAAAGAAAAAGCTGCAATATCATTTCAGCTCCTTTAGATGAGACGTGAACTGCAGTTCTTCAGGCTCTCCAAACCAACAGCTGGCTGCACAGCAGACTGATGGCGCCAACGGTGATGGAGACCTCAGGCAGCTGTAGGGCCAGATGCCCGGGGAAGGACGTCCTGGGACGGTCCCTCTTGGTGGAGTTGGGAAAAGAAGCAAGAGTCCATCCCCTGTGAGAACAAAGGGTTAGAGACTGAGGAAACCTGGGACACAGCAGCCCAGGGGCATAGCCATCTCACTGACACACTGGCTCCCTCCAGCAGACACTCCGCAAGGGTGTCCTGGACACACCGGCTCCCTCCAGCAGGCACTCCGCAAGGGCGTGCGGGTCCTGGAAACCCCTCCCTGTACCAACTAACATCTCATTTCAGCAATCAGATGTCCCAGATTCTAACACAATATTAAAATACAGAAAGTACCACCCGCTTGCCCTCTTAGGAGACCCCTAGAAAGCTCTGGAAAGCCCAGGGCTGAGCGGCAAAGCCAGGAAGAAGAGACACCAACAGCTGGACAAACAAATCCGCTAACAAGCATTGGAATCGCAGGCTCAGAGCCAGATGGCCTTAGAGACCTTCCTAGCAGTTTTCAGGCTGATAGAACATTTTGTTCAAATAAAATTGAATGTGGACCCCGGTTTATAGAATAGACTTGTTGGCCTGATTGATGGAGGATGAAAGCCCCCTGACTTAGTCCAGCCCAGGAGGGAGACCCTCAGAAAGCAATTTGAAACAACTGCATCTGGTCCACCCTCTTTTCACCTCAAAGAAACAGCCCCAGGAGGCCACGGGACCTGCCGAGCATGAAGTCTGGCAGGCCACGTAAGCTTCACAGGGCAGGTCTGCAGACCCTGGCCCTCAGCAGCCGGAACCAGCACATCTACTGTTTTGGTTTATGTGCTGTCAGCCAAGAAAGCTGTTTCGTGATGATTACTAATTACGAGCTTGGATTTTCTCGCCAGCTGGTTATGGAGCAATTATTACGGTGCCTGCCTCACAGGGCCTTATAAGGATTAAAGTAAGTGTGTGTGAGCTCCAGAGGGGAAGCCACTGGAAAGACCCCCTCACTGTCAGCGCTTGACCCCTCTGCACCCGCCCTCCCTGGCATAGCTGGGTCCTCTGTCTCTGCACCTGCCCTCCCTGGCATAGCTGGGTCCTCTGTCTCTGCACCCGCCCTCCCTGGCATAGCTGGGTCCTCTGTCTCTGCACCTGCCCTCCCTGGCAAAGCTGCGTCCTCTGTCTCTGTGCCTGCCTGGCCCTCTCGCCTGGCCCCTCTGCACCCGCCCTCCATGGTATAGCTGGGTCCTCCGTCTCTGCGCCCGCCCTCCCCAGCGTGGCTGGGTCCTCTGTCTCTGCGCCCGCCGGCCCTTTCTCTTCTCAGGCTCCTCTTTGTCTCATCTCGTCATTCCCATCTTTTGCTCTTTCTCACGTCTGTTGTATGTTTGTTCCATTTACCATTTATCTATCTTTCACTGTTAATCAATTTTAAATACAAATAACATTTTGTTTCCTTAAAACATTTAAATTTCACTGTTTTACATTTAAGTGAACACAATCTATCCACCTCCATGGTCAAGGTCGTTCAGAAGCAAACTCTGTCCTCCCACCTGACCCCTCTGAAGGCCGTGGACTCACACGCGAGGGTCCCCGTGCCTGACTGTGCAGCGCTGACTCTTTCCCGGGCCCCTGAGCAGGCCACGTGTGAGGCTGACTCATCAGGAGCCCTAGACACACGCCTGGAGCCCTAGACACATGCCAGGAGCCCTACCTGCCCTGAGCACCTGGCCCAGGCCACATAGCCCACACAGGTGGCAGGACTCCTTTCCTCCGTTTGATCTAACTTGGTTTTTCCATGTCTTTCTGGGCAAAATGAAGACAAAACCAATCGCCACCAACCTCCCTCTGTGGCGGGAAGGAGTCGCAAGTGTGGGTGTGATGACACTCAAAGGAGAACCTCAGGAGCCCAGATAAAGCCAGCAGCGCGCGGGAGGCCGTCCTCTTCCTGAGGAAGCCGGCAGCGCGCGGGAGGCCGTCCTCTTCCTGAGGAAGCCGGCAGCGCGCGGGAGGCCGTCCTCTTCCTGAGGAAGCCGGCAGCGCGCGGGAGGCCGTCCTCTTCCTGTGGAAGCCGGCAGCGCGCGGGAGGCCGTCCTCTTCCTGAGGAAGCCGGCAGCGCGCGGGAGGCCGTCCTCTTCCTGAGGAAACCGGCAGCGCGCGGGAGGCCGTCCTCTTCCTGAGGAAGCAGGCAGCGCGCGGGAGGCCGTCCTCTTCCTGAGGAAACCGGCAGCGCGCGGGAGGCCGTCCTCTTCCTGAGGAAACCGGCAGCAGGCGGGAGGCCGTCCTCTTCCTGAGGAAGCAGGCAGCGCGCGGGAGGCCGTCCTCTTCCTGAGGAAGCCGGCAGCGCGCGGGAGGCCGTCCTCTTCCTGAGAAAGCAGGCAGCGCGCGGGAGGCCGTCCTCTTCCTGAGGAAACCGGCAGCGCGCGGGAGGCCGTCCTCTTCCTGAGGAAGCCGGCAGCGCGCGGGAGGCCGTCCTCTTCCTGAGGAAGCCGGCAGCGCCCGGGAGGCCGTCCTCTTCCTGAGGAAGCAGGCAGCGCGCGGGAGGCCGTCCTCTTCCTGAGGAAGCCGGCAGCGCGCGGGAGGCCGTCCTCTTCCTGAGGAAGCCGGCAGCGCGCGGGAGGCCGTCCTCTTCCTGAGGAAGCCGGCAGCGCGCGGGAGGCCGTCCTCTTCCTGAGAAAGCAGGCAGCGCGCGGGAGGCCGTCCTCTTCCTCGGCCGCAGGCACCGGAGCGCGGGAGGCCGTCCTCTTATCTCAAAGCCCCGCTGCCTCGTGGGTGATGTCAAAGTGCACATTTTCAAATACTGTTTTTGTTCATTGATTGGCATTCAAGGGTCACAATACGACCACAGTTGCTCGGGTTGATTTGTGAAAGAGAACACACACAGAACAGTCCTCCACACTGGGTTCCACCGGGAAGGAACATGTGCCTCTCCCGGGAAGGAGCACAGGGCAGCTTTCAGTTCTTCATCCTGCCCCCAAATCAACAGACACTTCACTGGTTACTCAGGTTTTTTAAGTCCTTTTTCAATTTCCAAAGGACAGGTGGGCTCTTTGTGGATAGAAACAGACTTCGATCACCTACGTGAACCTGCATGTTTAAAAGCCCAGATAACTACACCTAGAAAAACGCAGGTCCCAGGACCAGACCTACTCCCACCCTGCAGCCACAAGGGCCTGTGGTCTCCACACACCGGAAAAACGATTCCACATCTTGCTACAAATCTTAACTCCAGCCAGATTTTCTTCTGTGCCATGGGGTAGTGGAGATGAAGCTTGGAGGGATTTATGCAAACGCACAAGGAACAGTGGGAATGAAATGGCTCAGCTCAAACCCTGCTGGGGGCAGATGTCCTCTCCGAGGATCCAGTTATGTCACGGTTCCTGCCCTTAGTCAGGTTTTAGCTTATTCATCCATGTCTGCTCCCAGTGCTTTTTTTTTTTTTTTTTTTTTTTTTTTGAGACAGGGTCTCACTCTGTGTGCAGACTGGAGTGCAGTGGCACAATCTCGGTTCACGGCAACCCCCCGCCTCCCGGGTTCAAGTGATTCTCATGCCTCAGCCTCCCAAGCAACTGAGATTACAGACATCCACCATGACATCTGGCTAATTTTTGTATTTTTACTAGAGATGGGGGTTTCACCATGTTGGTCAGGTTGGTCTTGAACTCCTGACCTCAAGTGATCCACCCACCTTGGCCTCCCAAAGTGCTCGGATTACAGGTGTGAGTTACGGCGCCTGGCCTTGCAATGCATTTTTAATTAAAACAACATAAAAATTTTAATAAGACATACAAGTGCTCACAGTGCCACGCTGCAGAGATAACCACACACACCAACAATTCGGTTCTTTCCCCAACACGCACCATCTGGAAATTCCTATGGAGGCTTTGATGTCCTTTAAAAACATATTGTTCTGAAAACGGATTTTTAATACTTTTTAAACACATGGTAAGATTGACTTTTTTGGTGTAGAGCCCCATATGTTTTAGCAGCGCATGCTAACAAACATATTCGAAGCGAAAGTGCTACTTCTGAAATGACACAGTGGTGCCTCCACCCTTAAGCACAACTCTCGTAACTGGTGCAGGAACAATGCGTCAGTCGGGTGGAAAATGAACCTAGATTCACACCCTATGCGGGAAGAAACTTCAAATGAATTAGAGACCCAAATGTAAAAAAAGAAATCGTTCAAGTCCCAGAAGAAACCTGGGTGAATTCCTCTTTAACCATGGGGAAATGATGACTAACTACCGTCAAAATCCAAGGGCGATGAAAGAAAATATTTACAAATTTGCCTACAAAAAAATGTTTAACACCACTAAAAAAACACTATATACAAAGTTAAAAGGCAGTTGACAAATCAGAAGAAAACAGGCACAACACATCCCACAGATATGGAGCTAATAAACCCAACATAGCAAAAATTCTTAAAAATGGAGGCTCAAAGGGCCAGAAAAACCCCAACAGAACCATGGGAGAAGGCAAACAATTCACCAAGAAGACATTAAAATGGTCCTCAGTCATATTTTTTTTTAAGTATGATGACAGTTTCTCTTGGTGATTTGAGGAGAGCAGCACTGGTGGGAATCGGAACTGGGACCACCCTTCAGCCGGGGCTTTGTCAACACCTGATAAAACTACACACACTTGCTTTTGACCCAGCAACCCCACTTCTCAGAATATTCTGGAAAACACACCTCCAAGAACACAGAAATACGCGTGCATGGGATGCATCACTGACCCCTTGTTTGAACTGCAAAGGAGCTGTGTGCTTGCCCACATGAGGCCCAGGCAGACGGAGGAATACGGGCTTGGTGTGGGAAGACGATAGCTGCAACAGACAGTGATTCCTCTGATGGATCTGGGCAAAGTAAGTCGAAAACCTCCTGGAAAGGATTCACCATCCTAGATGCCATTGAAAACAGTGATTCATGAGAAGAGACAAAATATGAACGTTAACAGGAGTTTGGAAGAAGTTGATTCCAACTCTCATGGATGACTTTGAGGGGTTTAAGACTTCAGTGGGAAAAGGAAGTGCAGGTGGAAGGGAAATAGTGAGAGAGCTGTAGTTAGAAGTGGAGCCTGAAAAGGGGACTGAATTGCTGCAGTCTCAGGATCAAAGTTTAAGGATGAGAAATTGCTTCTTATGACTAACAAAGTGGTTTCCTGAGATGGAATCTACTCCTGGTGAAGATGCTGCAAACATTGTTGAAATCACAATAAGCGATTTAGAATATCACATAAATTTAGTTGATAAAGCAGTAGCAGGGTTTGAGAGGATGACTCTGACTTTGAAAGACAGCCTAATGTGGTAAAATGCTGTCAAACAGCATGGCATGCTACAGAGAAATCTTTTATGAAAGGAGTCCATCAATGTGGCAAACTTCATTGTTGTCTTGTTTTTTAAAATTGCCACAAGCACCCCAACCTTCAGCAGCACCACCCTGATCAGTCAGCAGCCACCAACACTGAGGCAAGACCCTCCACCAGCAAGAAAATTAGGACTCACTGAGGGCTCAGATGATCATCAGCATTTTTAGCAATGAAGACAGGCACATTGTCTTTTAGACATAATGCTGTTGCACACTTAATAGACAGACGACAGTACAGTGTAAATGTAACCTCCATATGCAACGGGAAACCCAAAAATGCGTGTGTCTGGCTTTGTTGCGGGGGTCTGGAAGTGAGCCTGTGACATCCCCGAGCTGTGTCTGGATGTGGCCTATCCCTAGAAGTTTGTGCCTCGTGGCTGCGCTGTCTGAAGGCCTGAGCATAACTTGCACACAGACACTGCCTCACCTCTTTCCTATAGCAGTGACCAGCATCCCGTGGCCCTGCAGGCACCTCCTAGAGTGCATCTGGCAGAGACACATCACTAGGCCAAACCAAAGCAATGGGAACCCTGTCTCCAGGTTCCTGGTTCCATGAGGGAATCAAGTTACCTCAGCAACAGTGTGTCTGCATGTATGTATGAATTTTAAACAACTACAACAAGGTGGCAAAAGCAAGCCCCCTCTGGAGGATAAAGAAAAGCTGAAATACTCCACAGCACTTACCAGACGGGGCGAGGGAGGAGCCCTGCTCCACGCGCTTCTCCGGCCACAGGGTCTGAACCTTCGGGCATGTCTGCTTAGAGACGTGGAATTCTGTCAAATGAGCCCCCCTAGAAGCTTCCGGTGAGAATCTGTCTAGAACTGTTGGGTGGGCTGTGGTTTGACTTAACCATCTGCATGTAGATAAATTACCATTTATATGTGTGAAGAAGGTATCCATCCAGTGATGATCCAACACGTGCTCATCACATACCATTAAATTTTCAAAAGTAACTGGTGTAGCTAATTATCTGTCTCAATCTGGCAGCCTCTGAAGTGTCACTTACAATTTGTGCACTCAGCTCATAAACCTGAAGTATCCGGATGCCCAGTGCTAGGTCAGATGCCCAGTGCTAGGCCAGATAGCCTCTCATCCTTCTGAAATGAAAGTTTGGAATTGTGGTGCCACAGAGAAGGGACCCTCGGGTCCGTGGTTGAGACTGAGCCTGTGGAAGCTCAGAACTTGGCGATGAGCGGCTGCAGTCACGGGAGCACAGGCACCTTGAGCAGGAGAGACCTAGGGACCCCTTTGTGCAGCCCCTCCTCACACGGGGAGACGGGCAGCCCTGGAGGTCGGGGGTTGGGGCTGAGGCCACCCACACACATGGGCTCTCCTACCACCTTCTCCTCCTGATTCAGGACTGAGGAATCCAGGAACCCTGGGGAGCTCACAGGCACCAGGGACTGAGACGCTGCAAGGGCATCAGCCATCGACCATTGGACAGCCACCGCAGTGAGCAAACCCCAAAGTCTCGTGCTAAGAAGAGACTTCATTTGGAGAAGTGAATTCTGACAATACTCCACAAACAAAGTTAGGACAGTTGTTCAGGACAGCAGCAGGGAGGCATCGAGTGGAAGTGAGGAGGAACCGGCCTTTGTGGAGCTCCAAGCTGCATAAAGTCTCCCAAATGCAAAGTCTCGCTCCAGTCAGCAAAGTTCAGAGCAGCTCTCTCCAGCATCTTCAGCCACTGCCAGGCAGGCCGGCTCTCAGCACGGGTGGTAAACTTTCTCATTTTCCTCATGCCAAAAATACATCATTTCCAAAATAGAAAAATGATATTGTTCAGAGGTGAGGCAGGTGCGTTAGGAAAGAACAAAAACAGGCCTTATTGGATATGACAAGAAGTGCGGCCCCTTTCAGAAGCAAACTAGAGAACCTGAGCCAGGAAGGACGTTGCATTTGCTGAGTGGCCGAAAGCTGTCAGGGGTCGGGGCATGCAGAAGACGTCCTGTTATTCACTTCTCAGAACAGACCTGTGAGTAAAGAACCACATTTCATAGATTAGGAAACAGCCCCGGAGAGCCTCGGTGACGTGCACGAGGTCCCCAGCTCCGCGGCGGGTGAGCCAGGCTCCAAGCACCGGCTTTCCTGGCTGCACTTCCTGGAGGGACAAATTTGGGGATGAGAAGGAAATGAGGGCCTGGCGGGGTCTCTAGGGTTTTCATTTTGTGTCTTCACATAGGTGGCGAATTTGAGAAACTGTAATGGACGATTTTACTCTGATGAGCTCTAGAGGGGGTTGCTGAGAAGCGAGGCCTGCGTTTTCCTCCTGACGAGGTCTGGGCGGGCAGTTGTCTCCTACCTTTTGTACTAATTCACCTGGTGACACTGTCAAAGGAGAGAAAACCACAGGTTAGCAATTCCCACTATATTCATTCCAAACACAGCCCATCGTAATCTAAAAAGCCATCAGGGCCATCGCAGGGCTCCATGTTTCCCTGGGGATGTTACTTCCTGCACACTGACCAGCAGATGATACTGACAACACTTTGCAGCCTCAACCCGTGATAACGGGAAAAAGATAAAATAAAGAGGCTGGACATGGTGGCTCACACCTGTAATCCCAGCACTTTGGGAGGCCGAGGTGGGAGGATTGCTTGAGCCTAGAGGTTTGAGACCAGCCTGAGCAACAGAACAAGACCCTAGCTCTTTTAAAATAACTAAAAGAGTGTAATTATATTGCTTGTAACACAAAGGATAAATGCTTGAGGGGACGGATGCCCCATTGTCCATGATGTGATCAGCACGCATTGCATGCCTGTATCAAAGCATCTCATGTACCCCATAAATATATATGCCTACTATGTACCCACAAAATTTAAAAATAAAACATTTTTAAAGAGAGAAAAGAAAACCCACAGGGGGCAGGCACAGATTCTGGCTGCCTCTGGCGCATCCACATGGATGTTGGCATTTCATCCTCTTCTCAGAGAAAGCAGTTGGTCCCACCTCCACCCGCTGTCTGCGGAGGGGTTTGGACTCTCAGCATCTTGGCTATGCTGGCACTCTTCCCTGCTCAGGGAGCCAGCTGTTCCTGGACCCCTGCTAAGAAGACCTAACCGTGGATGGCGTCATGATCGCCAGGCCGTCCCCCGTTCTTTCACCCTCTCGGGACCTGGAATTCCATCTTGCTTCCCTATTGTGTCTGTCCACGGGGCCAGTCACAGGGCAAGTACTCAACACGTATTTGTCAAATGAAGGAATACATTGTACGAAGGAAAAATCGGAAAATGCCACCTCTGAAGATTGGAAATCAGAACTAACAAGAATCCAGGTGAGACATTGAGCTCAGCAGGAGGTTTCCCAGCAGTGTGTTCTCTGTGAAAATGTGACTCACAAGGCTGCCGGGTGGGGAGCGGAGGGGCTCCGAAATATCATCTGGGAATGTGAAATGATCAGTAACATTAGCAACGATCCGCTCAAGACTGAGCCAGGACAACAAAAAGTTTTGGTGGCTGATGAGGGTCAGTCAGGAGCGCTGGGTAGAATGGAGCTAGCCACCCGCTGGTTTCTGGCATTGGACAGAAACGCTAAGCCAGGGGTTCTCCTCACAGGCCCAGGGGGAGGAACGAGCACGGGGCGGTTTGAGGAGGGAAGATGGGGCGGAGCCCCAGGGGCAGCCTCGCGCATTGGGTCCGGGTAGTGTGATCCCAGAGCCTGCGTCTTAGCACTGTGCGGCCTCGCCCTTCTTTTTCTTCCACCTGTGCGTGGAAATAGAGCACGAACCCAGGAATGCAGACACCAAGTCTCTCCACCTCGAGACGCGCATAGCACACAGAGCTGCAGAGGCCACGCAGATAAACCACCAGCACTCCAGACTGGGCAGGAGCCGCTGTCAGGACAGAGGACACCTATCCACACCCGCCTGGCCTCAGAAGATCCTGGGTCAAAGAATAATTCTCTTTTCATGTATATGTGTTGAAAGAATTTCAGACTAGCAAGCAAGCCGTTTTGACTGTTTCTTAAGATACGTAGGGAGTTTGTTCTTTCTTTATTAGCAGAAAGCCACGTTTTAAGGATTAAATTTTTTCCATAAGAACGTAAGGAAAATGTGGTGAAACAAACACCTTCTGTTGGTCAGGGAAACACTGGGTACCTTCAACGTGAGGGGCTCCTGAAGACCTCCTGAGAACCACACAATGACCCAAGACAGGACCTCAGCTGCCTCTTGAAGGCAGAGGGGAGGCTGCACATTTTACAGGTGATCTGGACGTTGTTAGATGCTACAAATAAGAGCCAAGGAAAAGATGTTAAGCGTCTGCGTGAGTCAGGAAAACCTGGAGCGTGAGTGGAATCACTGCTTCCTGACTCGTTCCCTCGCCATAGGAAATGGCCCTGGGCAGAAAACAAGCCCCTGAGGAGGGGGGAGCGTGGACGCACGTGGGGAGTGTGGAGGGGGGTCCCCACTGAGGAGAGGGGAGCGTGGATGAAGGTGGGGAGTGTGGAGGGGGGTCCACACTGAGGAGAGGGGAGCGTGGATGAAGGTGGGGAGTGTGGAGGGGGGTCCCCACTGAGGAGAGGGGAGCGTGGATGAAGGTGGGGAGTGTGGAGGGGGGTCCCCACTGAGGAGAGGGGAGCGTGGATGAAGATGGGGAGTGTGGGGGGGGGTCCACACTTAGGAGAGGGGAGCGTGGCACACGTGGGGGTGTGGAGGGGGGTCCCACTGAGGAGAGGGGAGCGTGGATGAAGGTGGGGAGTGTGGAGGGGGGTCCACACTGAGGAGAGGGGAGCATGGATGAAGGTGGGGAGTGTGGAGGGGGGTCCCACTGAGGAGAGGGGAGCGTGGATGAAGGTGGGGAGTGTGGAGGGGGGTCCCCACTGAGGAGAGGGGAGCGTGGACGCACGTGGGGGGTGTGGAGGGGGGTCCCCACTGAGGAGAGGGGAGCGTGGATGAAGGTGGGGAGTGTGGAGGGGGGTCCCCACTGAGGAGAGGGGAGCGTGGACCACGTGGGGGGTGTGGAGGGGGGTCCCACTGAGGAGAGGGGAGCGTGGATGAAGGTGGGGAGTGTGGAGGGGGGTCCCACTGAGGAGAGGGGAGCGTGGATGAAGGTGGGGAGTGTGGAGGGGGGTCCCACTGAGGAGAGGGGAGCGTGGATGAAGATGGGGGTGTGGAGGGGGGTCCCACTGAGGAGAGGGGAGCGTGGACGCACGTGGGGGGTGTGGAGGGGGGTCCACACTGAGGAGAGGGGAGCGTGGATGAAGATGGGGGTGTGGAGGGGGGTCCCACTGAGGAGAGGGGAGCGTGGACCACGTGGGGGTGTGGAGGGGGGTCCCCACTGAGGAGAGGGGAGCGTGGATGAAGGTGGGGAGTGTGGAGGGGGGGTCCCTCTGAGGAGAGGGGAGCGTGGACGCAGGTCGGGGGTGTGGAGGGGGCCCCCCACACTGGGATTTCCATCCGAAATCCACATTCCAAGCTTCATCCACCAGCCTTCGCACTCCTCCGGAGGTCCCCAAATCCAAGTCACCAGAGGCTGATACGCAGAAGCTAGACCGTGGGTGCGCAGCTGGCGGCGAGGGTGAGCAGAGCCCTGTCTTCTGGTCAGAGCTAACCCCAGGAAGGCCGAGGGGCATGGGCCGAGGACATGTGCGTGGGACCCCCAGCGGAGGGGACCGCCGAGGGACGGCCTCTCTTCTGTGGACTGTGTAAGGCGCCGCGTGTCCCTCCTTTCTCTAAGCTTAACTGCTGCAAAGCCTGCCCCTTAGCCCTCTGCCCGATGAGCCTTCCTGGCAGATGGTGGCATATTCACCCTTCATCACGGTGCAGTTACATTCGTGCCGAGGGGCGTTTTGTCTGTAAGGTCCCTTGCCTATTTCTGCCCTGATTCCCACTGAGACGGGTTTCCAGTTAAATCTCAGAGGGCCAGCAAATCCCCTCGCGGGGACGCTTTGTCCCAGTGACCCAAAAGTCAACACTTGGGAGGCGTGTGCTGTGGGAGACAAAGGGGCACAAAGCGGCAGGAGCCCCAGGAATCGCGGACGGAAGCGACTGTGAAAGACCCGCGGGGGCTGCCCAGGGGAAGAAGGAAACGGGTCCCAGGACCCGCTCCAGAAGGCGCCTGCGGCAGGGGCTCCCCGGAGCGCGTGGGAACCCGAGGAGGCTGGGACGCGCCCGGGGGCAGGGACGGGCGTTTGCGAGGCTGCGAGGCTGCGAGTGAAGCGCCGGGCTCCGGAAAGGTGTTGCGAGTCGAACAGTGGATCCCAGGGTAAAAAGCGAAGCTGTAAATATGCCCAGGACCGATCCAGGGAGCTGCTGCTTCCACCAGCCACGGAGTCTGGGCTTTATGCTGAGAACCGTGGGGGGTTCGAGGCGAGGAGAGTCACAGAATCGAAGGCTGCCGCGCGGTCCGAACGGCGGCCCAGGCTCAGCCACGCGGTGAGAGGCCGCGGGGTGTGAAGAGGCTGGGCCGGCAGGTCCTGGCGGGTGAGGGGGACGGGAAGCGGCCGAGGATGGGTCCTTCGCTTGGATTCGGACGGTGGTGCTGGGAGCGTCATCCACCATCCTCGGAGCAAGAGCCCAACACCGGGGAGGACCCAGGCTCTTCCTGGACCCGCTGAGCTTGGGCAGCCTGGGCGGCCCTCAGTGAAATTCTCCAGCAGGTGATGGAGACTCTAGACCTGGAACTTGGGAGAGCCAAGGCGGTGGGAGCAGCCTGCATCCAACAAAGGAGGGAGACCCCAGGGGCCTGTGCAAGCTACGACCACCGGTGCAACCCCTCTGACAAGCAATGTGAGGCCCTGTCCTCCCCCGACCCTGCTCTGAAAACGGGGCTGCACTTCTTATCCGCTGGGGACACAGGCCATCATGGAACCCGCCCTGGAAGCGGAGAAGCAGGGGAGCCGCCTGGCCCCATATTTCTCACACCCAGTCCCTCTGGGGTCAAATCCTAATGGACGCGACCGGCCAGGAGTCCCCCAGAGCCACCCCCGCAGCCCTGGCTGTCTCAGCCGCCCACAGGGCTCAAGTGGACAATGCCAGAGGCAGCAAAGTCCCCATGAAGCAAAGCCAGGTGTGAGTGGCCTGCTGGACCCCACCGGGCTGGAGGACAGAAGGTGCCCCAAGGAAGCCAGGCCAGGCCCGCGATGGCTCCGGGCTGCCTCACCTTATCCAAGCCCCAGAAAAAAGACTGACCAGGATGAGTCTCGTCATTGGGATGAAACTTCACCACTAGAAATGTGTTTTTCAAATGGAATATCCTTTAAAGTGCAGACACCCTCGGCATCTGCAGCAAAATAAGTTTTATTACATTTCAGTATCTTCACCTAAAAACATTTTAGGGGGACACGTCGGGAAATATGGGGAGGCGAGGGTCGCGGGGGGCCCGTCAGGAAAGGGGGAAGCGAGGGCCCTACGAGACACACCAGGGTCTGTCTGACACAGAGGAAATCACATTTTTGCCAAGAGTCAGCCCAAGGCCAGGTTCTCAACTCCAGCACTCGGGCTGAAGCCTCGCGGCCGTGACAATCCCTCAGCAAGTGATGCTCCTGGGACTGAGGATGGGAGGACGGGATGTGCTTTCAGGTGAGGCTGGGACAGGTGGTCAGCAGCAGGGGAATAGCCGAGGAGGACGTGGGATCAGAACGTGGACCAGGGAAGCCTTCTGCGTGGTGGGGTCCGCCACGGCCTCCCGCTATGACTTCTTGCAGGAAGAAATGCCTCAACACCTCGCTTTGTAGTAAGTGACCCTGGGCCACCTGGTCCTTTCTGTTCACTCTCCCCAGCAAGCCCTGAAATGTGGCGCCACCGGCAGCTTACCTTTGTCTACTTTGGCGTGGTGTGGAAAACCGATGCCAGAGCTTTAACCAAGCCTTACTCCAGAGCACGTGTCCCGCCAAGGCCTCTTCCCGCACCTGCTGCGGTGTTGGCACTGGCCCCCGAGGGCAGGAGGAAGGAACCATCACGTTGCAGCTCCAGCTCCAGCCCTGCTGTTGTTCGTGTTTTTCCATCTCCCAAAAACCTCCAGGGAAATGTGACATCATAACAAACTGTAATTGGCATAACAAGTAATGCCCCCATCAATAATAAATAAAATGATTTCTTTTAATCCTAACATGCTTTTTGACTTTCCGTATTTTGCATGTTTATTTTTAACTTTTAGGTTCAGTGGTGCATGTGCAGGTTTGTTACGTAAATTGCGTGTCACAGGGTTTGCTGTACAGACTGTTTTGTCACCCAGGTGATAGGCATAGCACCAGGTAAGTGGTTTCTCGGTCCTTGCTCTCCTCCCGCCTCCACCTGAAGTCATGCCTGTGTCTGTTAGTCCTTCTTTGTGTCCATGTGTTCTCAATGTTTAGCTCCCACTGTAAGTGAGAACACGCGGTATTTGGTTTTCTGTTCCTGAATTAGTTTGCTGAGGATAATGGGCTCTAGCTCCATCCATGTTGCTGCAAAGGACGTGATCTTGTTCTTTTTTATGGCTGCATAGTATTCCATGGTGTATATGAACTACGTTTTATTTATCTGGTCTGCCACTGATAGGCGTTTGGGTTGATTCCATGTCTTTGGTATTGTGAATAGAGCTGCAGTGAACATACACATGCATGTATCTTTATGGTAGAATGATTTATATTCCTTTGAGTATAATATACCCAGGGATTGCAGGGTGGAATGGTAGTTCTGTTTTGAGTTCTTTGAGAAACCACCAAACTGCATTTCACAACGGCTGAACTAATTTACACTCACACCAGCAGTGTATAAGCATTCACTCTTCTCTACAACCTCTCCAGCATCTGTTATTTTTTGACTTTTTAATAATAGCCATTTCGACTGGCATGAGATGGTATTTCACTGTGGTTTTGATTTGCATTTCTCTAATGATTATTGAGGTTGAGCATTTTTTCATGTGCTTGTTGGCTGCATGTATGTCTCTTTTTGAGAAGTGTCTGTTCATGTCCTTTGCCCTCTTTTTAATGGAGTCGTTTGGGTTTTTTGATGTTAATTTGTTTAAGTTTCCTACAGATGCTGAATATTAGACCTTTGTTGGATGCACAGCTTGCAAATATTTCTCCCATTCTGTAGGTTGCCTATTACTCCATGGATAGCTGCACCTGCTTTTGGCATCTTTGTCATGAAATCTTTGCCAGGGCCTATGTTCACAATGGCATTTCCCAGGTTTTTTCTAGGGTTTTTATTGTTTTAGGTTTTACATTTAAGTCTTTAATCCACATTTTGTATATGGTGTAAGGAAGGGGTCCAGTTTCAATCTTCTGCATATGGCTAGCCAGTCTTTTACTATATGTAGCAGCGGTCCCCAAACTTTTTGACATCAGGGACCAGTTTTGTGGAAGAAAATTTTTCCACAGACTGCAGGCAGGAGCAGGGTGGTTTGAGATGAAACTGTTCCACCTCAGATCATCAGGCATTAGATTCTCATAAGGAGGGCACAACCTAGGTCCCTCATATGTTCACAATAGGGCTTGAGCTCCTATGAGAACCTAAGGCCACCGCCGCCGCTAATCTGACAGGAGGCGGAGCTCAGGTGGTAATGCTCGCTCACGCGCCACTCACCTCCTGATGTGCACCCAGCAGGTGCGCAAAGCAGACGGGATGAACGTCTGGGTAGGTGGAAGGGTTGGGAGCAGCCAGGACTCAGGGAAATGTGGCAGGAGTCCCAGGGAGAGGGCAAGAGGAACCCGAGAGCCCCCTTTGTCCTCCCCCCATAAAGTGTCAACAGAGCCACCTTCGTCACTGAGCACAAAGCTGGCAGATAGAAAGAAAGTGCTCGATAAAATAGCCACTAAATAAAATGAATGCACAGCTTTGAAAATCAGTTGATTCTTCTAGTTCATAGTCTTCTTACAGCAAATAAATGATGAAGACACATCATTTGTGTAAAAAAAAAAAAAGCAAAGCCTTAAGGAAGGTGTTCAGTTGAGCTGCATGTACAGCTGAAACAGATCCAAGAAGGTCAACGTGATTTCGTGCGGATGTTTCCTGTTTGTGAAAGTATAAAGACATTTCTCCTACTGAAAACAAGAGGTCTTCCCCCTTGGTGAGCAGTGAGGATTGTGGAGGAGAGGGTGGCATCTCTGGCAAGAGGACAGCAGTAAACCAAGGCTTCCTTTGACTTTTTTTAAAAAAACATTCTTAATACACCAAATTGGCCAGAAAATGGAACATGAATATCCTTGAAATTGAGATACATCAACTTCCTTACGACCACCCAGTGCACTCACCATCAGGAAAGGAAGGCAGGAAGGGGACGGTCTGTCTCCATGGCACCGCGGCCACACTTCTCAGCTCTCAGCACTGTCCCCGCGACGGAGGAGCCGCCCCAGCACAGCTCTAAGCGCTGTCCCCCCGACAGAGGAGCTGCCCCAGTCTCACTCTCAGCGCTGTCCCCGACAACGGAGGAGCCGTCCCAGTCTCAGCTCTCAGCGCTGTCCCCGACGACGGAGGAGCTGCCCCAGTCTCACTCTCAGCGCTGTCCCCCCGACAGAGGAGCTACCCCAGTCTCAGCTCTCAGCGCTGTCCCCGACAACGGAGGAGCCGTCCCAGTCTCAGCTCTCAGCGCTGTCCCCCACGACGGAGGAGCCGCCCCACTCTCAGCTCTCAGCGCTGTCCCCCACGACGGAGGAGCCACCCCAGTCTCACTCTCAGCGCTGTCCCCCACGACGGAGGAGCCACCCCAGTCTCACTCTCAGCACTGTCCCCCACGACGGAGGAGCCGCCCCAGTCTCAGCTCTCAGCGCTGTCCCCGACGACGGAGGAGCCGCCCCAGCACATCCAGCGACATGGCAGGGGCACCATCCTGGGAGGCTCCGGACACAGGAGTTACCTGGACCCAGCAGGGGAAACACAGCTGCTGCTAAGAGAACAGCTTCTCCGCAGAATGCAGCCCAATCCACCTCTTTCCAGGCCACTCTGTTCCAGGATGTGAGACTCAAAGGGCCAGGGTGGGGCCTGCAAGACAGGCTCAGCTGGGGGCCCCGCAGGGACTGGAATCTGCACAGGTGATGTGGGTGTGATGCTTGAGATGTTTACCTTGTGCAAGCAACTATTTCTCCTGAGAATTTAAATAGTTACGTAATTTCTAGAGCCAGAGACATCCCCAGTACACATACACACACATACAACTTTATATAAATCATATCATGTTATGAGGCTGGGCTTTAAAAATAAACTTTATTTTTGGAGCAGTTTTAGGTGAGGAAGCTACAGAGACTTCCTGTGTACCCACTGTCTGCGCACACAGCCCCACTCACTCCCAACACCCCTCACCAGAGTGGTGCCTTTGCTACAATCAGTGAACGCACAATGACACATCATTGTCACCCAGAGTCCACGGTCGACACGGGGACCCACGCCTGGTGTTGTACATTCTGTGGCTAACGACACGGATCCAGCATGACAGCCTTGTGCAGAGCAGGTCCCTGCCCTGGAAATCCCCTGTGCTCCAGCCGCCCCTCCCTCCCTCCCCTCCCTCAGCCCCGGCAGCTGCTGCATTTGTTACTGTCTCCACAGTTTTGCCGTTTTCAGAATGTCATAGAATTGGAATCATACAACGTGTGGCCTTTTCAGATTGGCCCCTTCACCTAGTAATATACATTTAAGGTTCCTCCAGGTCTTTTCATGGCTTGATAGCTCAGTTCTTCTTTAGCAACAAATAATATGCCCTGGTCTGGAGGCACCCCAGTTCACTTCTCCATTCACCCACTGAGGGACATCTCGGCTGCTTCCAAGTTCGGGCAGTTGTGAATGGAGCTGCTATAAACATGCATGTGCAGGCTTGTGGGACGTAAGGTTTCAACTCTTTAGGTAAATACGAAGGAGCATGACTGCTGGATGATACGGTAATAGTAGGTTAAATTTCATGAAAAGCCACCAAGCTGTCCTCCACAGTGGCTGTAGCATTTTGCATTCCCACAAGCAATGAATGATTTGGTGTTGTCAGTGTTCCAGACTTTGGCCATTCTTTTTATTTTTTTATTTTTTATTTTTTGAGACAAAGTCTCATTCTGTTGCCGAGGCTGGAGTGCAGTAGCATGATCTCGGCTCACTGCAACCTGCACCTCCCTGGTTCAAGCAATTCTCCTGCCTCAGCCTCCCAAGTAGTTGGGACTACAGGTGCGTGCGACCATGCCCAGCCAATTTTGTATTTTTAGTAGAGACGGAGTTTCACCATGTTGGCCAGGCTGGTCTCAAACTCCTGACTTCAGGTGATCCATCCTCCTCAGCCTCTCAAAGTGCTGGGATTGCAGGTGTGAGCCACCGCGCCTGGCCGACTTTGGCCATTCTAATAGGTGTACAGGGGCATCTCGTTGTTGTTTTAATTTGTGCTTCCTTGAACATGCAATTTGGCGCATCTTTTCATGTGCTTGTTTGCCATCTGTAGATCCTCGGCAAGTGTCTGTTAGGGTCTTTACATCATTTTTAATAGGGTTGTTTGTTTTCTTATACTTAGGTTTTAAGAGTTCTTTATGTATTTTGGATACCAGTCCTGTATCAGATGTGTGTTCTGCAAATACCTTCTCCCTGTCATCTCATTCTCTTGATGCATTCTGGGTTTTTACAATGAAAACTTTGTTCCTCATTTTCTTCTTTTTTACTCAACTCTGCTTCACTCTTTTCTACCACTGCCTCCCGGCAGCCTGTTCACAACCACGTGTATCTTTCCACATTGTATCCACCTTCACAGAATTATATACAAACGTGTATCTATGTCATATACACAGACATATATAAAATTAAATATATGTATGTGGAGATATTTTGTCATTTGCTTTATAAAAATAGAATCGCACTTAAATGCATCCTTGCATCTTATCTTTCTTCTTCAATAACGCCTCATGGAAATCCCTGCAAATTAACTGGTATAGACCTACTTCATTTTCCTAACGGTGGCTTGAAACTCCAGTGTGAATGCACCATCATTCACTGAATCACTTCTAGATCGTGAGGCACTGGCTTTGTTTCTGGACATTTGCTACAAATGCTGCTGAAACAAACACCTCGGACAACTGTGCTTGCACACTCGCCCTCCTGTGTCCACGGCACATATTCCCAGGAGTGCAGCTGATATGTTGATAATGGGTGTATTCTTTATCTTGGTAGGTGTTGCCATATCACTTCAAAAGAGAGTCTAACAGTGTATCTTACCACATGGTTCTCCCTACTTGCCGAGACCAACAGCTCTTTCTAGCCACCCTGCCTCTTTGCTGATAAAAAGAACTCTAAACCCTTTATGAAGCCCTCCAAGGCCCTATAATTGATTTGACATCTACCTTTACCTCTCTCTTACCTCCCACTCTATTTTCCTTTTTTTTTTTTTTTTATGAAGTCTTGCTCTGTGGCCCATGCTGGAGTGAAATGGTGCTATCTCAGCTCACTGCAACCTCCGCCTCCAGCATTCAAGCGATTCTCCTGCCTCGGCCTCCCAAGTAGCTGGAACTACAGGCATGCACAACCATGCCTGGCTAATTTTTGTATTTTTAGTAG
The DNA here is from genome assembly GCF_000001405.40 of Homo sapiens. NCBI lineage: Eukaryota > Metazoa > Chordata > Mammalia > Primates > Hominidae > Homo > Homo sapiens. The sequence goes on along the minus strand of NC_000007.14, from coordinate 158,989,864 downwards.
AGATGGGGTTTCATCATGTAGGCCAGGCTGGTCTCAAACTCCTGACCTCTGGTGATCCGTCCACGTCAGCCTCCCAAAGTGCTGGGATTACAGGCGTGAGCCACTGCGCCCACCTCACCTCTGGTGATCCGCCCGCCTCAGCCTTCCAAAGTACTGGGATTACAGGCGTGAGCCGCCGCACCCCGCCTCCAAGGTGCTGGGATTACAGGCGTGAGCCGCCGCGCCCAGCCTATTTCCCACTGTTCTTTGTGAACCCTGTTCCAGCCACCTGCCAACTCTGTTCCTCAATCAATTTCTACATATTAATGTTTCTGTGCTCACACTGCTCGGTGGGAATGTCCTGACCCCACTCCCCATTTCATGAGTTCCATGATCCTTCAGACCCAAAGTCTCATCATCACCACCAAGTCCTGACCTGTGCTGGGGACACTCTGTGCTCCACAGAGTCCATCGGCCTAATCCCTGCATCATACTTGGAGATGCAGGGAGAGTGAGTGGCTGCTCAGAGTCATGGATAGGAGGTGGTGGGAAGTGGCAGAGCCCACCTGACAGTGTCTTGGATTTGGAGACAGTGTGACTGTTCCCTGCTCAGTGTAACCTGATACCAAATTCTGATGTGAGGAAGTTTTCCTGAGTGCCCAGCGCCTGCTTTCCCTTTGTTGATTCTAATCCGTTTCTCCAGAGAGAGTCATTCCTGTAAGAAGATCCCCACTGCCTGAGGTTCATGGCTCAGGTGTCTTCCTGGGTGGTCTTCTCTGACCACAGCCACCCTATTAAATTATCCATTACCTTCACCAGCTGGCATTTTCTATATTTCACTTATTTATCTTGACTCTTACATAACTCTAACCACTAGAGGCAAGGTCCATAACAGCAGGATTCCATCCTCTTGGGTTACTGCTGCCTCAGTAAATGTGGGATGGATGGATGCATGCACGCATGAATGATGCACAGATGAATGAATGGATGCATGAAAGGATTGATAGATGAAAGGATGCATGGATGACAGATGGGTAAATGCATGGATGATGAATGGATGGAGGGATACATGAATGGAAGGATTCATGAATGGATGAATGGATGGGTGGCTCCATGGATGGATGAATGAATGAATGCATGATGAATGGATAGTTGGATGGATGGATGCATGCATGCATGAATGAATGGATGGATGGATGCATGGATGGATACATGAATGCATGGATGACTGGATGACTGCATGGATGGATGGATGGATACCTGGATGGATACTTGGATGGATGGATGGATGCACGGATGGATGGATGCATGGATAGATAGATGGGCACATGAGTAGATGAACAGATGCATAGATGGATGGATGAATGGATGCATGGATGGATGGATGGATGCATGGATGGATGCATGGATGCATGGATGGATACATGAATCCATGGATGAGTGGATGAGTGCATGGATGGATGGATGGATGGATGGATGGATGGATACTTGGATGGATGGATGGATGGATGGGTGGATGGATGGACGGATGGATGGATGCATGGATAGATGGATGGATGCATGAATAGATGAATGGATGCATAGATGGATGGATGAATGGATGCATGGATGGATGGATGCATGCATGGATGGAGGCATGGATGGATGCATGGATGGATACATGGATGAGTGGATGAATGCATGGATGGATGGATGGATAGATGATGGATACTTGGATGGACAGATGGATGGATGGATGGATGCATGGACGGATGGATGCATGGACGGATGGATGGATGCATGAATAGGTGAATGGATGCATAGATGGATGGATGGATGGATGCATGGATGGATGGATGGATGGATGGATGGATGGATGCATGAATTGATGGATGATGCATGGATGGATGGACAGATGGATGGATGGATAGCTGGATGGATGCACAGATGGATGGATGGATGCATGAATAGATGGATGATGCATAGATGGATGGATGCATGAATTGATGGATGATGCATAGATGGATGGATGCACGGATGGATGCACAGATGGGTGGATGCATAAATGGATGAATGCATGAATGGATGGATGAATGGATGCACAGATGGATGGATGATGCATAGATGGATGAAGGCATGAATGGATGGATGAATGGATGCATAGATAGATGGATGATGCATACATGGATGGATGAAATCATGCATGGATGCAAGAATTTATGGATGGTTGGATTGATGAATGGGTGCATGGATGAATAGATGGATGGATACGTGGATGGATGCATGGATAGTGTATGGATGCATAGATGCATGGATGGATGAATGTATTGATGGATGGATGGATGCATAGATGGATAGGTGCATGAATGAATGGATGCATTGATAATGGATGGATGCATGGATAATGGATGAATGGATGAATGGATGGATAGATGGGTGCATGGATGGATGGATGGATGGGTGCATGGATGAATGCCTGGATAATGGATGGATGCATGGATGGATGGATGAATACATGAATTTATGGATGAATAGATGGACAGATGCATGGATAATGAATGGACTCATGAGTGGATGCATGAGTGGATTCATAGATGCATGTATGGATTGATGCATGCATGGATTAATGAAAGCATGGATGGACAGATGCATGGATAATGGATGAATGAATGGAATGATGGATGGATGAACATGTGGATGGATGGATGCATGCATGCATGCATGGATAGATGGATGGATGAATACATGAATTTATGGATGAATAGATGGACAGATGCATGGATAATGAATGGACTCATGAGTGGATGCATGAGTGGATTCATAGATGCATGTATGGATTGATGCATGCATGGATTAATGAATGCATGGATGGACAGATGCATGGATAATGGATGAATGAATGGAATGATGGATGGATGAACATGTGGATGGATGGATGCATGCATGCATGCATGGATAGATGGATGATGCATAGGTACATGGATGGATGGATGGATGGAAGGATGCATAGATGGATGCATGCATAAATTGATGGATAGATGGATGGATGGATGGATGGATAGATGCATGGATGCATGGAAGGACAGAATACTTCTCTTTTCCTCTCCTCTATGGAAATTGATGGTGTTCACTTCTAATCTGCCTTGTGTACTAAAGGCAATCTCTTTCCCCAACTACAATTCACATAATCTATTAGAATATCACTAGCAGTCAAATAATTTTGAACTGTTGCCAACTTAGTTTAAGCCTAGTTAATCCACTTAGAAAGACCATTACTCAAGTATAATTACATTTCTTCTTCTGAAATGATGCCACTAAATTCAATAAATATTTGTTAAATAAATAGCAATATGTCATTTCTGAAAACACTGGAGCAGTTGACCAGCATACAGGAAGATAAGATGTTGAGTATGACCCTGAACTCTGAACTACCTGTTTTGTATCTCTTGGAGAAAATGTGAGTGCACACAGCATGCAATTCTAGCAGAGGCTCCCCAAAGCCTGCAGAGCTTTTCTAATTGCATGTTCATTATGAACACATAATTAAACTGGTAACATTAATTTTCAATTAGAGGAGCACATTAAAGTTTTGGTGTTTGGGCATTCATGTGGACATAATCCCTGAGTAATTAAAACACAGCCTTCCTTTCAGAGGACACAGTGCAATCTGTGACCTGCCTTGATGAAAAAAATGGGAAAGGAAAGTCCTGAGAGTGACACTGGCTTACAGGAGAACCAACACATTTTTGTGTCTGCAAGAGATGTGTTCTGGCTTGTAGACCTTGGGAGCAGCTCCCAGTGGGGTCGCCACCCCTCACAGACTCCTGAACAAACTCATCCTCTACTTGGTACTGACCACAGTAGTTTTTGAGGCCCAAGGCAAATCACACCTTTTTTTTTGCCAATATCATCCTTTCTATTACATCAAGTTAAAATTGCCCTCAAGAGCTAACTTGCAGAGGAAAATGTCAGCAAAGATCACCAGTTGCAGTCTGAAGCTGATGTGGACAGGGAACTGCTGTTGGCCACCCTTGATGAATGAGCCCCGGGCTATCCCAGTGGGAGGAACAAAGATGTCCACCGTTGCCAAAGGTGTCATGTGCGTTTCAGTGCCACCCAGTGGAGTTAGCACCTTCTTCCTGGGAAGATCTGACCCTGCAGCTGGCTGGCCCCCAAGCTAAGGGCTGGAATCACAATCTGCTCTGAAGAGGGCATGGACCATTCATATGGCCTGGGAGCAGCACAAGCACTGAGTGAGGAGCCCAGCTTTCCCTGGAGACTAAAACCCATTCCCAAGTGTCAGCTACGAGCTCACTCCCTGTGCCTCATCCGTCCTCTCTCGACCTATTCTGGGAGAGCTGCAGACAAGGTTCAGGAATGAGGCCATGCAGCCAAGGTGGACGAGACAGAGGAAAAGAGGGAGACAAAAGGTGCTTGGACCCACACCATGTCCACTCCTTTGTTTTTTGCCGCTTCACACTTTGGGTTCTGGAAAGATTCACCACCCAGAGTCTTTCTCCCCATGTTATCCGAAGTAAAAATTTACTGAGCAGCTCTTATGTGCCAGGCTCTGCATCAGGCACTTAGGGTATATCTGTGAACAAGCAAAACACAAAAAGGACCTTCATCCTGAAGGGCCCACGTTGACCTCCAAGCATGCCCACCCCACAGACTCATCGATATGATTTGGCTGTATCCCCACCCCAACCTCATCTTGAATTGTAGCTCCCATAATTCCCATGTGTTGTGGGAGGGACCCAGTGGGAGATAACAGAATCATGGGGGCAGTTCCCCCCATACTGTTCTTGTGGTAGTGAATAAGTCTCATGAGATCTGATGGGTTTATAAGGGGAAACCCCTTTCACTTGGTTCCCTCATTTTCTCTCTTGTCTGCTGCCATGTAAGACCTGCCTTTCACCTTCCACCGTGATTGTGAGGCCTCCTCAGACACGTGGAATTGTGAGTCCATTAAACCTTTTTTTCTTTATAAGTTACCCAGTCTCGGGTATGGCTTTATCAGCAGCATGAAAACAGACTCATACAATAAATTGGTACCAGTACAGTGGGGTGCTGCTGTAAAGATACCCAAAAATGTGGAAGCGACTTTGGAACTGGGTAACAGGCAGAGGTTGGAACAGTTTGGAGAGCTCAGAAGAAGACAGGAAAATGTGAGACAGTTTGGAACTTCCTAGAGACTTGTTGAATGGCTTTGACCAACATGCTGATAATGATATGGACAATAAAATCCAGACTGAGGTAGTCTCAGACGGAAATGAGGAATTTGTTGGCAACTGGAGCGAAGGCCACTCTTGTAATGTTTCAGCAAAGAGACTGCCAGCATTTTGCCCCTGCCCTAGAAATTTGTGGAACTTTGAATTTGAGAGAGATTATTTAGGATATCTGGTGGAAGAAATTTCTAAGTGGCAAAGCATTCAAGAGGTAACTTAGGCGCTGTTAAAGGCATTCAGTTTTATAAGGGAAGCAGAGCAGAAGAGTTCAGAAAATGTGCAGCCTGACAATGCAATAGAAAGGAAAGTCCCATTTTCTGAGGAGAAATTCAAGCCAGCTGCAGAAATTTGCATAAGTAACAAGGAGCTGAATGTTAATTGCCAAGACAATGGGGAAAATGTCTCCGGGACATGTCAGAGGCCTTCATGGCATCCCCTCCCATCACAGGCCCAGAGGCCTGGGAGGAAAAAATGGTTTCATGGGCGAGGCCCAGGATCCCTGTGCTGTGTGCAGTCTAGGGACTTGGTGCCCTGTGTCCCAGCCACTCCAGCCATGACTAAAAGGGGCCAAGGTACAGCTCAGGTCATGGCTTCAGAGGATGCAAACCCCAAGCCCTAGCAGCTTCCATGTGGTGTTGAGCCTGCAGGTGCAGAGAAGTCAATAATTGAGGTTTGGGAACCTCCACCTAGATGTTAGAGGATGTATGGAAATGCCTGGATGTTCAGGCAGAAGTTTGCTGCAGGGTCAGGGCCCTCATGGGGAACCCCTGCTAGGGCAGTGCAGAAGGGAATTGTGGGGTGGGCACCCCCACACACACAGAGTCACCACTGAGGTGCTACCTAGTGGAGCTGTGAGAAAGTCACCATCCTCCAGACCCCAGGATGGTAGATCCACCAACAACTTGCTCTGTGCACCTGGTAAAGCTGCAGACACTCAACACCAGCCTGTGAAAGCTCAGGAGGGAGACTGTACCTTGCTAAGCCACAGAGGCAGAGCTGCCCAAGACCATGGGAACCCACCTCTTGCATCAGTGTGAGCTGGATGTGAGACACGGAGTCAAAGATCACTTTGAAGCTTTAAGATTTGACTGCCCCGCTGGATTTTGGACTTACGTGGGGCCTGTAACTCCTTTGTTTTGGCCAATTTCTCCCATTTGGAATGGATATATTTACCCAATGCCTGTACCCCCATTGTATCTAGAAAGCAGCTAACTTGCCTTTGATTTTATAGGCTCATAGGCAGAAGGGACTTGCTTGTCTCAAATGAGACTTTGGACTGTGGACTTTTGAGTTAATGCTGAATTAAGACTTTGGGGACTGTTGGGAAGGTACGAGTGGTTTTAAAATGTGAAGACATGAGACTTGGGAGGAGCCAGGGGTGGAATTATATGGTTCAGCTGTGTCTCCACCAAAATCTCAGCTTGAATTGTAGCTCCCATAATTATTCCCATGTGTTGTGGGAGGGACCCAGTGGGAGATAACAGAATCACAGGGGTGGTTTCCCCCATATTGTTCTCGTGGTAGTGAATAAGTCTCACAAGATCTGATAGTTTTATAAAGGGAAACCCCTTTCACTTGGTTCCCTCATTTTTTCTCGTCTGCTGCCATGTAAGATGTGCCTTTCATCTTCCACCATGATTGTGAGGCCTCCCCAGCCACATGGAACTGTGAGTCCATTAAACCTCTTTTTCTTTATAACAAGAAAAAATATCAAAATACCCAGTCTCAGGTATGTCTTTATTGGCAGCATGAAAACAGAATAATACACTCGTGCTGGAGTTCATCTCTTTCCTCAGTGTGGGACACTTAGATCCTGTCTAATTTTTCACTAGTGTAAGCAGGGCTGCTGTTGATATCCTGGTGTGGAACTTTGGTATCAGAAGCTAGCCTCCATTTCTGGCAGCTGGAGAGCCAGTGAGATGGCTTCAGGCTGGCCTGGCCCCAGAGGGGTGGGCATGGCTCAGAGTTCATCACAAATGTGGCTTCCGTGTCCTTGCTGGAAAAATCAGCACATCAGACCAAAGCTCAAAACTCGCTTCTAAAACAATATTCTGTGGTCAGGACTCCGCAACAGCATTTTAAATTTATTCACAAAATCTGGAGTAGATGGTTTTGGAAAGCGTTTTGGTGAATGGTCTGTATTCAGCCTTAGATCTACCAAATATTTCAAAGACGTTCCTTGCAGAAACCCATGAGCTAGCCACTCGAGCAGGAGTGTTTACTCCCAGGCTCACTCAAACAGAAGACCTTCCCACTCGAGCAGGAGTGTTTACTCCCAGGATCACTCGAACAGAAGACCTTCCCACTCGAGCAGGAGTGTTTACTCCCAGGCTCACTCGAACAGAAGACTTTCCCACTCGAGCAGGAGTGTTCACTCCCAGGCTCACTCGAACAGAAGACTTTCCCACTCGAGCAGGAGTGTTTACTCCCAGGCTCACTCGAACAGAAGACTTTCCCACTCGAGCAGGAGTGTTTACTCCCAGGCTCACTCGAACAGAAGACTTTCCCACTCGAGCAGGAGTGTTTACTCCCAGGCTCACTCGAACAGAAGACTTTCCCACTCGAGCAGGAGTGTTTACTCCCAGGCTCACTCGAACAGAAGACTTTCCCACTCGAGCAGGAGTGTTTACTCCCAGGCTCACTCGAACAGAAGACTTTCCCACTCGAGCAGGAGTGTTTACTCCCAGGCTCACTCGAACAGAAGACTTTCCCACACAAGCCCTGGAGCCAGTCTCTTGGTCACCCTTTGGGTCTAGGGGAAGTGAGAGGTGGTCCTGTTCCTGGAAGAGGGGGTCTCTACCCCAAGAGAGGCTTCTCAGATCTCACACAAGAGGGAATTCAAGGCCAGTCACAGAGCACAGTGAAAGAGGCACGTTTATTAGAAATGACTCTGTTACAGAGCAGAAAGCAAGCAGAGGACACACCAACTTCTTTTTCCATTTTTCTTACACAGAAGTCTTGTCTGCAAAGCGAAGTGAAGCTGTGCATATGTGCAGCTGAGCAGAGAGCATGACAAGGTTTATCATTCTATTGGTTTAAAGAAAACCATCCTTGACATTTTAGTGTGTCAGTCATCATAGCATGACTCTTACTATCTTGAAAGCATAGACCTAATTATGGGTATTGGACGTCTGGACTTTCTGTTCTTGGAGTTTGCTTTGCAGGCATCACCAAGCTGCTTCCTTAGCTGTAAACATCTTAGGACCATGGCTTGTGTGTGGCAAGGAGTGTGCCTTGCTAGTTTAAGACGGTGCTGATTTTAAAATGGTGTCACCCTGGCTCCTCTGGACTCCTGCCTCGCTAACAGTCCAGTGACTGTCCATGGGGCTGCTAATCAAGTCCACAGCAGGAAGCAGCCTCTTCCCTGAGCCTCCCAACCCCCCAGACGACTTCTCCCCTGGACCTTCAGGTCCTAGGATCCAAACACCAGAGACGCACAGAGGCCTAGAGCTCCATGCTGTGCTGTGGCCTGCTTGGTCTGACCAGCCAGGCCCATAAATACTGATGGATAATCACAAGGGTAGGAGGGGAGTGGACAGGGAGACAGGTGTCACTCAGTCTACAGATTGCCCAAAAGGAGCATCAACGCCAAACCCGAAGTATTTACCTGAACCCAGAGTCCCAGAGTCTCCTCCCCTGTGACTTCTCCTGAGACTTGGGGGTGGTCCGGCCCCCTCCATCTCCAGCGAACACTCTGAAAATTTGCATCTGCCCACAGCACTGCCCTACGTGAATGTGTTTGGGGGCTCCCTTCCTTCACAGGACCATCCGGACACTGTGGCCTTGCCTGCGGCCCCTCCCCACCCGGCGCACCTCCCCCACATCCCCGCAGACCTTCCACTGTCAATGTCTGCCACTCCTTTCTGTCAATGTCTGCCACTCCTTTGCCTGGGGGTCTCCCACACTGCCCACCCCTCATCCTGGAGACCGCCAGGGGGCCCCTAGGAAGCACGTCTTGGACCCTGAGGTGATGTCACAACCTCTGTGGTGCCCCTGCACCCTGGACCATCTTCTCCGCCAGCTCCCATCACCCTTGCTGCGTCTGCCTCTGTCCATCGCTTTCTGTGATTACAAGTCCTTGGTGAGAAGTGCCACTGTGTGTGTGGAGATGTGGGTACAGAAAAATACCAAAACATCTGGGTGGGGTACAAGGAACAGGGTCAGGGGAGAAGCCTCACTCAGAGGTGAGAAGGGTGAGGCCCAGGGTCTCACCATCCCAAAGGGGTCCAGGGTTGGGCTCCAGGGTGCAGCCTGGACACCGCTTACATGTGCAGGTGTTGGCACCTGAGGTTCCACGCAGGAATTCAGGTTTGCCTGGAATAACCCCCGGCTGCCTTGTGGGAAATTAGATTAATTAAGAGAGGCCATGTGACCTGCTGCCAGTCGGCCCAAGGTGAGCTTCCAGGCCGTCTGCAGGTAGCCCTGCTCAGTGCTCCCCACGTGTTGTCCACAGTGCCTGCTGCCGGCAGGTCACCAATATGTCATTGCTGAGTGAGCAATTTGAGCACGGCACTGTCAGGTGCAGTGGGGCCTGCATCTGTCAGATCTGCAGGCTGGGGTGCGGCCAGGGTGGGGAGCTGTGGCCGCCCGCCCCAGCCTGACCTCCGCTCCACACACAGGAGGGTTTGGCCTTCCCTGCAGGCTTCCTCCTGAGCTCTGCTTTTTTTCTGCTTTGGAGTCTTCACGCTCAAGTTCGTGCTTTCCCTTACAACCAGGAGGACTCCGGAGGCCGGGCCGCAGCAAAACTTGCCTGTGGGTTTTATGAGAATTTACATAATCATCCCTGGTGTCACCCCCAGGGCGACTGCACTGATGATACAGGCTGTCTCCCTGGCTTGGCATCTAGCAGCACTTAAAGAGAGCCACGAAGTTTACAGCAGGGACTGAGCAGGCGGAGTTCTGGACTGAATCATCGTTTCCAGTTAGGAAGGGACTCGGGAGGGACCGGTCAGCAAGGCCTCAGCCTTGGCTTCTGTTTTTCTTTTGATGAAAGAAGGCAAGGCCGAGCCTCACAGAGACAGGGTGAACCTTGAACCACTCAGGGTGGCCAAAAAAAGTCTTCATGGAATCCTCCAGTGTATAAATGATCCTTTCAAAGCCTTCCCAAGGCAAGTGAGGCTGGACGGGGTTTTCTGCACCACAGTCCAAGCCTCCTCCTCCCCTGCTGCCTGGCTCTGACGGTGGCTACAAGAAGCTGCAAAGGCACCAATGGTTTGAAAGAGATTTAAAAGTAAAAAATCAGACAAACTGAGTGATTAGTTCCCAGAAGTAAGCACCTGGACGGAGAGAGGGAGCGGGAGGTAAGAGCTCCAGGGAGGCAGGAGGCCGCTGGTGGCAGCGCTCTGGGTCTCTGAGAATCTCAGGGAAACATTGGCGCTGACCCTTGTTGTGCGGAAGGCGAAGCTGCACCCCCAGGTGCATATTCCACTCTTATTCCTAGGAAGGTGGAAACCCCATCTGTGGTGGTTTAGGGCGACCGGTGCCTCGGAGTCTGATTTTCCCTTGGGTTTCAGGGCAGGGCGAGGTTCCCAGCTCCATCTGCAGCTGTAGCTTTCCTAGCCAGCCCGTCCCGAGAGCACGTCCAAGTGTCCATCCCGCCGTGGGTTCTGCCTAATTCTTGAGTAAACGGCTGCCATTTTGATGAACATCATTTGTCCTTATTGCTGTGGGGGTTTCCTGGCTTTTAGCAAATATTTACTCAATTTATCAACTGCACAATACAACATCGCCATTTATGACACTATTATTCTGCTCTCACCAGGGGTCTGGCCTTTGAAATGTAACCTCCGTGTATCCAGGGATTTCTCACTGAGCTTTAACATTTTACCCCCAGATAGTACTTGGCCCTGGAAACACGAAAGGCGGAGATTTGACTGTTATAAGGAGGAAAATAAATCTTTTTTTCAATTTAAAAGATGAATTCAAGTTAACAGACCTAGAAACGTTGGCTGAGCCTCCAAATGGAGACATGTGTACCCGCAGTCCCAGGCCATAAATAATCACGGCATCTGGCTAGCGAGCACCCAGTGCTATAAAGAATTATTGGACCATAAAAATAAGCCTTCAGTAATGTATAAAGAACCCCCACAACTCAACAACAAAAAAACAAACAGCTCGATTCAAAAATGGTCAAAGGACTTGAATAGACAATTTCTTCAGAGAAGACATACAAATGGCCAATAAACCCATGAAAAGATGCTCACTATCACAGGTCATTAGGGAAATTCAAATCAAAACCACAATGAGGTGCCACCTCACAGCCATTAGGGTAACAAGTATCAAAAATAGAAGACAGCAAGTGCTCGGGATGTGGAGAAACTGGAGGATGTGGGGACACCGGGACCCTTTACATTGCTTGAGGGGATGTAAAACAGGGCAGCCGCTGGGGAAGACAGTGTGGCGGCTCCTCAAAACCTTAAAAATAGAACTGCCATATGACCCAGCAATTTCACTTTTGGGTATTTCTCAAAAAGAACTGAGAGCAGGGACTTGGGCAGATGCCTGTGCACCCGTGTTTAGGGCAGCCTTATTCACACCCACTAAACATGGTCCAACCCAAGCGTCCGATAACGGATGAACGCATAAACAAAATGTGGTCTATCCATACGGTAAAGCATTATTCAGCCTTTAAAAAAGGAAGGGGATTCTGGCACCTGCCACAATGCGGATAAACCCTGAGGACATTATGCTCGGTGAAGTAAGCCAGACACAAAAGGCCCACGATGGTATGGCTGTGCTCAGAGACTGACGGTCATCAGATTCACAGAGACAGAAGGTAGAAGGGGGTGGGGGATGGGGAGCACTTGCTTAAAGGGACAGAATTTGTTGGGGAAAATGAAGGGGTTCTAGGGTGGACGATGGTGATGGCCACACATCATAGTGAATGCACTTAATGCCACACAACTGTGTACTTAAAAATAGTTAAAACCACTCATTTCACGTTAAAGAGCCTTCGGTGACAGTCTCAGGTGAGCTGATGTCATGAGCGGGAGACAGTGAGGGTGTGGACGTGTGGTTCATGGTGCAGCAGGGTCAGCCTTGGGGACCCAGAAAGCTGCACCGAATGTCGCCTCGGAAAAACGAAACAAAGTCAGGGCTCGCCCTCCCTTAAGTCTCCTCTTTCTGTTCGGACTTCACCTCCACCCTGCCTGTGTTCCTAACTTTGAAAGCTGTGGTGGGCGTGGGGAGTGGAGGAGCTGGGTGCCCCCCCGACCACCTGCCAGCCCCAGCTGGGAGCAGAGGCCTGAGGACGCGCACTGAGGGGCCAGGCGTGACCTTCTGCCTGTCATTTTTTCCTCTCTTCCTTTTTTTTTTTTTCGCTTTTCTTCAAGATTTTATCTTTTTGGAGCAGCTTTAAGTTCACATCAAATTACAAGAAAGGTACAGAGAGCTCCCACATACCTGACCCCCCAGAGCCTCTGCATTTCCAACAACGCCCAGCAGAGGGCGAATTTGCTACAGTTGATGAACCCACAGTAACGTCATTATCACCCAGAGCCACAGTTTTCATTAGGGCTCCGTCTCAGTGCTGTACGTGACGTTCTCATGGGATCTCTGGGGTGCCGATTTTTCCGGCCGGAAACCTCTGTGGCTGCAGCGCCTTTGCCAGAGCTCTTGTCCTGCGTCTAGGAAGAATGAGGTACGCAGACAAGTGAAGCGTGAAGAAGAAAAGTTGTATTTAGTGTCAGAACAGCTCAGAGGAGTGGGTGGCTCCTCTCGTAGGCAGGTCGTCTCTCGAGTGTTCAGCTTTCAGCAGAGAGGAGGCCCCAGAGAGGGAAGCTGCTCTCTGCAGGCAGGTCATTCAGATGTCTCTGCAGGTCTCTGAAGCTCTCAGCAGAGAGGGTAGCTCCTCTCTGTGGACAGGTTGTCTTGCCTTCTGCTGTTCTCAGTGGAGAGGGTACTCCTCTCTGCAGCTGGTCATCCCATCCGGTCGTCTCTCTGCCCTCTGTCCTCTTCATCCTGTGACCCTTCTCTGCCCTGCTCTGGCTGAGCCCAGAGCTTGTATGGACCTCTGAGGGGAGGAAGTGCATGCCGATTGGTCCATAAGTGGTCATGGGTGGGCCCAGAAGAGGCATCAAGAGTCCCCACTCCTGTCTGCAGCACTGGCAGCCCAGCCCCCAGCCTTCAGGCCCTCGCTGGCCTGAAGGTAGGGCCTTCCTGGGGACCTGCCCCTTCTACCCAGAAATCAATCTGCCTCCCACGGCCCTTCATGGCCCCTGGGCTTGGCCCCAGCCCCAGCTCTGAGATCGGAGCAGGCGCTAGGAGTGGAGAGAGGCCAGGCAGCAGAAGACACCCCCGAGCCTGCAGGGATGTGGTAGGGGGGGTCCTTCCTGGGGCCCCTGAGGGTGTAGGCTGCAGAAACACCCAGGTCCTGTACCCGGGAGGGCGGCCACAGCTGCACCTGGGAGCTCCCACCAACTCGGAAGGGGCAGGGCTCCTACTTGTCCCTAGCTCCTGCCCGCTTTTTGGAATAGGAGGCCCAGGTTTGCAGCCGTGGGTGCCGCAGCTGCAGCTGTACCCGGGAAGGCAGATCTTGCCTGTTCCCAGCTCCCTCAAGTGCACAGGGAGGCTCATATCCACAGCTGCAGTTTGGGCAGCTTCGTAGAGCAGGAGGCCTGGGTCTGCAGCTGTGGTTTGGGCAGGTGCAGCAGCACGGGGAGCACGGACAGCTCCCTTCCGAACTCAGAAGGGGCGGGGCACCCACTGGCTCCATGGAGTGTGAGGCCCCAGCCACGCTTCCCTGCTGCAGGCGGATGATGGCAGCAGCCACTGCTGTCAATGTAGGTTTGGCTACATGTGTAATGACACACATCCTCCATTATAGTATCATAGAGTTGTTCCACCGTCCCAAAAATATCCTGTGCTCCACCCATGCACCTCCCCTCCGTGCTCCACCCACGCACCTCCCCTCCGTGCTCCACCCACGCACCTCCCCTCCGTGCTCCACCCACGCACCTCCCCTCCGTGCTCCACCCACGCACCTCCCCTCCGTGCTCCACCCACGCACCTCCCCTCTTTGCCCCTCCTGTCTTCCTTCCCAGCTATGTAAACCCCTGACTTTAGCCGGGAAGGCGGGACGGATTTGAGTTTTGACTCCTGTCTCTCCAGCTGACACCGCCTGTAATAGAATAAAGCCTTCTTCCCCGGCAACTCTCTTTGTCTCAGAGACTGGGGGCTTTTTGTGCAGTGGGCAGCATGACCTGGACAGAACCCCTGGTGTTCGGGAACAACTTGTTGGAATTGTTGTTGGTATTGCATTAAATCTATGGATGAATTTGTGAGAAATTGACCTCTGATGATAGTGAGTCTTCCTGACCATGAATATGGAATATCTCTCCTTTCATTTAGTCCTTCTTTGACTTATTTCATCAGAGTTTTGTAGTTTTCCTCATATAGCTCTTGTACATACTTTGTTAGATTTATACCTCAGTATTTCATTTTCAGTAAATGGTATTATGTTTTTATTTTCAAATTCCACTCGCTCATTTGTAGTACATAGGAAAGCGACTGACTTTTACATATTAGCCTTGTTTCCTGCGACCTTGCTATAATTGCTTATTAGTTCCAGATCTGCCTTTCTTTCAGAGTCTATGTCTATCATGGCTCTGGGGTGTATTCTTAGCCCAACTTTACAACAAGCATCCTCAGTTTCTGCCTTGGTTCTTCTGACTATGGATGAGTATCATAAGAAATGAGATATTCACAGCTGGGCAGCCTCTTCTGTTTTAAAAATGTCCAACAGAGCTAAGAAGTCTACTAAGTTAACATGATTCCAAACAAAAGGCCAAAGAGGTCCTCATCCCACCCCCCAGGAAACTTAAAAATAAATTCACGGGAGGCTGAGGCAGGAGAATCGCTTGAACCCGGGAGGTGGAGGTTGCAGTGAGCCAAGATCGCACCACTGCACTCCAGCCTGGGCGACAGAGCAAGATTCCATCAAAAAAATTAAAGAAAGAGAAACCTGGGTGCCGCAGAGCCCCGAGGCCGGGCGGCCTTGCCTGCCTGGAACCCCCTTGGCGGCCCCGCGGGCTCCTCCCCACCCGCCTGGCCTCCCCCATCTCTGCGTTCGGGGCCTCCCCGGCTGCCCCAAGGCGCGTCCGTCCCCAGCAGGCAGCGCGTTTGCCTTCCCGTCCCTCCCACCACCCCCCCATTCCTGGCTACCTCGCCCCCCTCAAGTTGGGGCCGCCTTGGGGTCTTCGTTACTCCCGGGACGTCTCAGGCCGTTTCAGCCTCCGTTTATGGATGTTACCTTGCTCTGGAATGTTCTCCCCAGGGAACGCCCTCTCGCAGGGCCTCGGCGGCACACCCTCTGGAACCTTCCAGAATCCTCCGGAAGAGTCAGCAGAGCTGACTGCGCGGAGCGAGTGGCTGAAAGGAGGGCGGGGAGGCGGCCGCTCTCTATCTAAGAAGTGGCGGGTCTGGAGGGTGCGCGAGGGCAGGGCCGGGTGCCCAGGCCCCACCCACGGGCCCTGCGCGCCTGGACATTCTGTCAATGCCGGGAACGCGGAGGGCGGGCGCTGGCATCGGCCCTGGGAGGACAGGCGCTCCCGGAGCTCCAGACGCCAGGCCAGACCGCCGGGGACAGCGCGGGGTGCAAGGATGGGGGGCACAGAGAGGCGGGTGGGGGGCCTGGGCGAGGGTGGGGGGCGCGGAGAGGCCGGTGGGGGGCCTGGGCGAGGGTGGGGGGCGCGGAGAGGCGGGTGGGGGCCTGGGCGAGGGTGGGGGGCGCGGAGAGGCGGGGGGGGGGCCTGGGCGAGGGTGGGGGGCACGGATAGGCCGGTGGGGGGCCTGGGCGAGGGACCGCGCCTGCCCTGAGACTGAGCCGGGCCTGAGCGAGGGTTCCGCCGGGCGCCTGCAGTCGGGCAGCCTCGTGGCGCCCCAGCCACGGCCTCTGCACAGCACACATCTCCATCTGAGATGCAGAAACGCTAACCGGGTCCCTGCCACACGTCAAACGTCGGCGCGGGAAGCCACGGGCCTCCTCAGGCCGGAAAGGAACAGCCCGCCCCCTACTGTGCAGAGCGAGGCTCCGCGGCCTGAGGAAGGGAGACCTGCCTGGGCGCTGAGCTCACAGGCTTCTAGGCACCTTCGGAGGCCGCTGAAGAGCGGGGGTGGCGCGAGCTGGCGGTCACCGGGAAGCCCCGGTTACCATGGCAAGGCGATGGGTGCGCGGTTACCCGGCGTGCAGCCTCGCGAGGACACCTGGGCCACGGACGCGCCGCGCCCTCGGGGAGCCGGCTCCGGAGGCCTCTCTCTTCCTCCTCCTCCTACCCCTAATGACCATGGATTACTTTTGAAATGGAAAAACGGTAAACCTTTTCTAACATAAGTCACACTTATAAAGAAAGCATCTGCTAAAGAGGACGTGTTATGTCATGAAATGGGGGGCTCTCATCACG
This sequence comes from Homo sapiens, assembly GCF_000001405.40. Taxonomy (NCBI): domain Eukaryota; kingdom Metazoa; phylum Chordata; class Mammalia; order Primates; family Hominidae; genus Homo; species Homo sapiens. The sequence goes on along the minus strand of NC_000007.14, from coordinate 158,973,279 downwards.
GCGGGGGTCAGGGAAGGTCCGCTAGGGCTTTAGCAGAAGAGATTAACCTGCTGACTACCAGGCGCCTTCCAATACTAATATTCTGAGATTTTAATATATTTTATATTACCATAAAGATCTTGAGTGCTTTAGAAATAATACTAGGTAGCTGAGCACAGTGGCTCACCCCTGTAATCCCACGGCTTTGGGAGGCCGAGGTGGGAGGCCCGAGGCCAGGAGGTTGAGACCAGCCTGGACAACATAACATCCCATCTCTACAGAAACCCACCATTTCATTAAAACATTAGCGGGGCATGGTGGCAGTGTTCGTGGTCTGGGAGGCTAAGCTGGGAGGATCACTTGAGCCCAGGAGTTTGTGGCTGCAGTGCACCATGGTCTCACCACTGCACTCAAGCCTGGGCAACAGAGCAAAACTCAATCCTACTGCGTAAAGTAGAAATACCATTTCTGGGCCGGGCGTGGTGGCTCACGCCTGTAATCCCAGCACTTTGGGAGGCCGAGGCGGCCGGATCACGAGGTCAGGAGATCGAGACCTTCCTGGTTAACAAGGTGAAACCCCGTCTCTACTAAAAAAACCACAAAAAATTAGCTGGGCGTGGTGGCAGGTGCCTGTAGTCCCAGCTACTCCGGAGGCTGAGGCAGGAGAATGGTGTGAACCCCGGGGGGTGGCACTTGCAGTGAGCCGAGATTGCACCACTGCACTCTGGCCTGGGCGAAAGAGCGAGACTCTGTCTCAAAAAAAAAAAAAAAAAAAAAAGGAAATACCATTTCTGGGTCATAAAAAAATATTTCAGACATCATTATTCCGGATATGTTAACTTTTTGCTAATGGGATATAAATGCCTCCAATTTGAAATTGCTCTTCCAGGAGTGAATTTTAATTTTCTCCCACTGTGAAAATGCGTATTTGTCTTATGGAGAGAGTTTTTATTTATTACCAACTAACAGTAAAAGCTTCTTCTCACAATTCTGACAAAGTAGAGCCAATGTAAGAGTTTTGGTGTCATTTTTAATGTAGAGGCTTCAATTATTGTTAGTCAAAGGGAACATATCTTGAAACATTAACAACAAAATCACTAACCTTTGATTTTCTCTTTTAGATTTGCACATTGTTGTCTTTGTTCTAGGCAAGGCATTCCTGTTTCAATTTTTCCTTTATTCCTTTTCTTTTTTCCTGCACTGTTTTCAGAATATGTTCTCTGACATTTTAGGCCATCTAAGTCAAGAAACCAGTATATGAATTACTTTGACTGGAGAGAAGGGATGTTTGATCCCAAATTCCTGAATTGGGCTCCTCTGAAATATCAGTAGGAACTACAAGCAAAAAATTGATGGGGCGTGGTCCTGTGGTTTGGGGAATTTTTATTTACTTCAGTATACATGTCATATGTTCATATAAGTTATATATTATTTATTACTGTATTACTCCACTTTCTTTTGGAGAGTCACACTCCACGTTAACCTACTAAAGTCTCTGAAAAGTTCTGCAATATATGAAATTCTCTATTTTTAGCACAGTATTTCCAAAACTGTATTTTATTGAGTTTCAGAAGCTATTGATTGAAAGACGTGTACTTTTGAAAGAACAATAATCACTGCTAATAAAACTATGGCATGCCATGGAATTATAAGACACATCACAACTTTAAAAGCATTAAGATGTTCAAATGAGCATCTTAGAATCCATTGAAATTTGTTAATTTATCTTAAGTATGTTACCCATCACTGCAAAACACATGATACCAAAAGGAAGGGGCATAAAACAGCCACTTTATTTGCTCACAAGGCTGTGGGTCGGCAGTTTGGGTTGGGCTCAGCCATGTGGTTCATATGCTTTCTAGCTGGGACATTCTCACAGCTTCAGATGTACCCAGCTGGGGATGGCTGGTCAGGGATGGTCTGGTGAGTGAGACTTGCAGGTGCTGGCAGGGGAACCACAGCTCTCCAGGCCTCTGCAGCAGAGGAGATCATATCTGCTTGCATCATGGTCTCAGGTCCCCACACACAGCAAAAGGAAGACAGCCTCAATGTGCTGGCCTTTTTCCAGCCTCTGCTTTTCTTGGGTTAAATTTGCTAACATCACATTAACTAAGGCAAATTGCATGGACACATCAGATTCAAGAGGTGAAGAAATAAACTTGATGGGAAGAGTGGCAGAGTTGCACTGCATAGGGGCAAGCTGACAGATGGGAGAGGATTATTGCTGTCATCTTTCCACACACAAACTTTTAAAAAAGAATTTCCTAAGACATCTCTTAACATTTCATACATTATAGTTTAGAAAAATCTCCTGGATAACAATTGAATCTTCAGTACTGAGAAACAGATGAGACAGGTATGTATTTAGAGATGCTGTTGACACCTGAGACAACTGGACAAAGAGATGTCAGGGCCTTCCATTTTGCCTGCTCACAAGCTCACAGTCCACTTGTCACTGTTCCACAGAGACTGGCAGAAGACACAAGACTCCTGGATCAGAGACAAAGGACTTCATTATGACCCACGGCACAGCTAGCAGCATGAGCACTGTGTTGACCAGTTTCCTAGGCCCCCTAGTCCATAGGCATGGCATGAAGGGCCCACAGGGATGCTGTACACACATAGGTCAGCATTGCAGCTGAGGGGCAGTGGGCTTGGGGAATCTACTGCCCTTACAGGGAGCAGTAAGTGGGCCTGTTCTTTATCCAGAGAGAGATATTATCCCTATCCTCAGGGTTGTTCCCTGCAAACGCTACCCCCAAAAAATGGCCCAAGTAAAGATTATCAGAGCCTTGACTCCTTGACACACCCACCAAAAACATGCAGACTCAGGATAAGGCAGAGCAAGGGGATTGTGTGTGAAAGCCCTCCCCATGTTGCAAGGCTAGTTAGGTGGAAACCAGGCCATCCAGCTCCCTGCCCTCTGGCGCCCAGGGCGTTGTCATGTGACTTGGGCTGTCAATTGAATGCTTCTGTGGGGACAGTTAGGAAATTGCTCAAAGGTAGGGGAGAGGTGGCAAGTTTCCACTTATACCACTGGTGTCCAGGATCCAGGGGCACTGGCAGTGGTCAGTGTCCAGAGGTAGTAAGAGACGTCTGTAAACGTGAAGTGAGTTGCAATGCACTAAGCAAGTTTTCCTGCCTCCCAGCCCCCTTGGCTCCCGCCTGTTTGCACCACTCTTGCTCTACAGCTCTCCCATGATGTTGCAGGCTACCCAGGTCCTCAGTATAAATTCATTTCTGTTTGAGTTAGGCTGATGATGCTTAAAATCAAGAAAAATCTGTCTTTAGTAGGAACTTGACATTCCGATACAATATTTTTGATGCCAGAAACATATTAAAACCTAAAAAAACAAGACATGAAGTTAAAAGAAGTTAAGTCTAGTCTCTATGATATCCTAAGCCCTATATACAGTATATAATTTGTAAATTCCTGAACAAACAGAAAAATGTGACTTATACATAAGAGAAAAATCAGTCAGTAGAAGGAGACCCACCAATGACCATGATGTTCTAATTAGTAGAAAAGAGCTTTGAAATAACAATGATAAATATGTTGAAGATTCTACAGGAAAAGATAGTTATAATGCTAAGAAATTTTAGAAGATATTTAGAAACTTTTCTTTAAAAAGGATATTCTAGAAATGAAAAATACAGTATCTGAAATAAAAAAAAATTATTGAATGAACTGGCCACAGTGTCTGCTTTTGTAAAAACCTCCAAAAAGTTATGCATTGAGTATTTCCATTTCAGATTCATCTGCTGCCCACCTCTCACCACAGATGAATGATCACTATGAATGGTGGTGACCAGGTGGGCAGGGGAGGGGCTTGTCTGAGTGCCTTAGCCCAGGCTTCTGGCCTGCCAACCTTGAAAACAGCAATATCAGCTGGGCGCAGTGGCTCACCACTGTAATCCCAACACTTTGGGATGCCAAGGCAGGCAGATCACTTGAAGCCAGGAGGTCGAGACCTGCCTGGCCAACTTAGTGAAACTCCGTCTCTACTAAAAATACAAAAATTAGTCTGGAGTGGTGGTGCACACCTGTAGTCCCAGCGATTTGGGAGGCTGAGGCACAAGAATAGCTTGAACCTGGGAGACAAAGGTAGCAGTGAACTGAGATCGCACCACTGCACATCAGTCTGGGCGATAGAGCAAGAGGGTTTAAAAAAAGAAAAGCAATATCACTTCCTTGTTAGATCCAGTTACCAAGCCAGTGAGAAGGGATGAACGGGAAGGAAGTCACATCCTTAATGTCCAGGGGGGACTGTTACTTCTGTTATTTCTTTTTTTATGTATTTATTTTTTTGAGACAGGGTTTTGCTATGTCTGGAGCACTGCACCCTGGCTGGAGTGCAGTGGTGCAATTACAGCTCACTGCAGCCTCAACCTCCCAGGCTCAGGCAGTCCTCCCACCCCAGCCCCGAGTAGCTGGGACCACAGACGTGCACCACCACACCTGGCTCATTTTCGATTTTTTTGTTGAGGGGGGTCTCACCGTGTTGCCCAGGCTGGTCCTGAACTCCTGGGCTCAAGTGAGGAGCTGTTACTTCTGGACAGTATGCCTTGGACAGTTTGCCCGGCCCCAGTGGGTGTGTTTCTCCTCTGTCGGTGTGGCTAATTTTCATCTGCCTTTATCCCTCAGTCATCCAAGTATAACCTCAGCAGTAACGGTACTGCGGCCAGAACAGTGTTCTCAGCTGGCGCCCCTCCCCTCTCCTCTTACGCACTTTCTGAACCTTTGAAGTTCAGGCACAACTGATCAGCATTCACGTTAAAACAGAGATCCTAAGACTGACAGAACAGACGCTCTGTAGCAATTAGATACCAAATTCCCAACCAACTCAAGTATAGCATCACATGACAGAGGGCAGGTACTGAAGGAAATCAAAGTATTTTACCCCAAAATATATTTCTTTTACATATTTTGCTTTTGTTGTTGTCGTTTTTGTTTTTGTTTGTTTGTTTGTTTGTTTTTGAGACAGAGTCTTGTTCTGTCTCCCAGGCTGGAGTGCACTGGTACAATCTCAGCTCACTGCAGCCTCTACCTCCTGGGTCCAAATGATTCTCAAGCCTCAGCTTCCCAAGTAGCTGGGATTACAGGTGCATGTCACCATATCCAACTAATTTTTGTATTTTTGGAGAGATGGGGTTTCACCATGTTGACCAGGCTGGTCTCCAACTCCTGACCTGAGGTGATCCACCCACCTTGGCCTCCTAAAGTGCTGGGATTACAGGCATGAGCCACCATGCCTAGCCCCTTTGACATATTTTGAAATGGCCCTGCAAAGCTGTCTCTGGTGGGGAAATTTTACATTCTGTACAGAATCCCTTTCCCTTTCAAGATCTTTTTCCAAACCTGAAATGATTGACTGAGAGTCTAGCACCTTTTAAGGTCTGAATAGGAGCCATTTGCCATCTGTTGCCTCCTGGGTGGCCACCTACGAGACATCTACATAATAAGAACCTGAGTCCTCACAACCCCTTATCTTGACCCAGACACTCCTTTCTATTGAATCCAGGTCCTTAGATAACTCTTTTGACCAACGGTCAATCAGAAAACCTTTGAATCCATCTATGACATGGAAGTCCCTTCCCTTGGAGTTGTCCTGCCTTTGCAGTCCAAACCAACATATGCCTCACATGTATTGATTGATGTCTCATGTCTCCCTAAAATGTATAAAACCGAGCTGTACCCTGAACACCTTGGGCACATGTTCTCAGGACCTCCTGAGGCTTTGTCATCAGTCATGACCTATAACCTTGGCAAAATAAGCTTCTAATTGGATTGAGACCTGTCTCAGATGCTCTTTGGTTTACAACAGATTTAAGAAGCTCAGAAAACCCCAAACAAGGACAAATCAACAAAAAATAAAACATCTAATTACATCATGGTCAAACCACTGAAAATTAAAAAAAAAAAAAAAAAGCAAAAGCTTACAATTAACCAGAAAAAAAGATGTATTTCGTGGAGGGAAACAATAATAATGACAAACAGGAAACCTGTTAGCAATGCCTGTTCCCCAGTGCCACAAAGAAATAGCACTTGAACATAAATTCTCTGAGCAAGGCAATTTTTACTTTCTGCAGAAAGGGTACTCTCGCCAGCAGTTTTGCCACAAGAGTACACCAAACAAAGGAAAAGCAGACATATGTATCCCTTACGCATTTGGGTCATCCTTACTACTGTGTCCTGCATCCATTGCCTGGAGCCAGACCTCACAGTCTAAAATGATACCTGATTTGCTAACAACCTAAAACTTTCTTAAATAGGTAAATGCAAGGAAGAACAAAGGAAAAGAGGAAGTTGCTTGCGAAAGATTTAAAGAAGCAATAACATTTCCAAATAAGGAAGAGGCATAGGCCGTGAGCTGGATGTCCAACAGCTACGTAGGATAGGACTCAACAAAGAGTAATTAGCACAAAGCAAGGAGGCTTGAAGGAAGTTAGTCTTTAAAAGAAACTATTACTTCTAACACTTATGATTTATTATTTAACAAGGGAAACTTTGAAGAGGAAACTTTTTACTTTCTACAAAACTTCTTACCAGAAACAATGGACACTGAAGACCACAGAAGACACCTCTACAGAGCTGAAAGGAAAAACGCCAATCTAGAATTTAACGTCCAAAGGAAATATCTCCCAAAAATGAAGGCAACATAAAGATAATTGTAGATATTAGTTTCCACCCTACCCTGTCCCCATATTAAATATAGTAAGGTCACTTACACATGCGAACCATTATACAAACTAGTAGAGTACATCCCCAGAAGAAGGGAAAGGCATCCACAGGAAGGAAAGGTGCGGGGTGAGCCCCAGTGCTCATGGGACCTCCAACTCCTTCACACCCCCATAGCACAGGTGAGCCCAAGGCAACGTGCCTGCCCTACCTACCCTGCCAGGTCACAATGTTCATCCCAGATAATATTAGTGAAAAACATCTTTTGGCAATGACCTTTTTATCTTAAAACTGCAAACAAATGTAATGATACTTCGGTTTTGAAAAAAATATCATCAGTCCACAGGAGATCTTACAAGACAGTCTAAAGCTCAGACTCTTACATTATATTGAAAATACATGGGGTGCGTCACCCCCACCAGTGTCCCCAGCTGACCATCTGCATCTTGGAGAACAATCTATTTTCAATAACAAATGCTCACAAAGTGTTTTGAGGAAATAAAAGCAAAAAATAAGATGGTGGGGGGCGGGGAGAAAGAAAACCTACGAGTGTTTTTGCAGCATTCCTGGTTGTTCTCACACAGCACTCTTATGAGTCCTGTATGAAAAATCCCAGAGGAATGAACAGCACCACAGCTCGGGTGCTGTGACCATTTTTATTCACAACTTAGGAGTTGTATATGTTCACAAGCCCCAAGACCAGTTATCCACACCAATCCCCTCAGGCACAGCTGCCAATCTCAAGTAAGATGAGCCACTATTGGAGGCACTGATATCACACTGTTACCCTCACTCACTTCCTCAGCTGAAGCCATCAGCCTGTATATTAGTCTGTTCTCACATTGCTATAAAGAAATACCTGAGACTGGGTATTGTATAAAGAAAAGAGATTTAATTGGCTTACACTTCCTCAGGCTGTATGGGAAGGATGGCTGGGGAGGCCTCAGGAAATTTTTGATCATGGCAGAGGGCAAAGAGGAAGGAGGCATGTCTTCCATGGCCAGAGCAGGAAGAAGAAGAGAGAAAAGGAGGTGCCACACACTTTCAAACACCAGGTCTCCTGAGAACTCACTCACTGATATGGTTTGGCTCTGTGTCCCCACCCAGCTCTCATTCCGAATTGTAATCCCCACATGTCAAGGACCTGGTGGGAGGTGACTGGATCATAGGGGCGGTTTCCCCCATGCTGTTTTCATGATAGTGAGGGAGTCCTCGTGAGAGCTGATGGTTTTATAAGTGTTTGACAGTTCCTCCTTCACACGCTGTCTCTCGCCTGCTGCCATGTAAGATGTGCCTACTTCCCCTTCTACCATGATTGTAAGTTTCCTGAGGCCTCCCCAGCCATGTGGAACTATGATTCAATTAAACCTCTTTCCTTTATAAACTCCCCAGTCTCAGGGAAGCTCCTTATAGCAGTGTGAGATGGAGTAATACACTCACTATCACAAGAACAGCAAAGGGGAAATCCACCCCATGATCCAATCACCACCCACCAGACCTCACTTCCAACACTGAGGATTACAGTTGGACATGAGATTTAGGCAGGGACAAAATCCAAACCATATCAGCCTGGTTAAAGTCAGGCCCTTCAGTGAACCAGGCTGCGTTTCAGATGGGTTCCCTGGGAGCTCCCAGCAGGACCCCCTTCAGGTGTCCCAGGGTGACCCAGGAGCTGGAGGAGCAGCCACAGCTCCTCTGCCCATGTAGCTTGGGCAGGTCCCCCACGTTCCCTGAGCCTTAATGTCCTTGTACACAAGATGATTATGAGAGGACCAGCTCTAAGCCCCAGGACACCAGATGCAGAGGCACCTAGGACAGCAGCAACAACATGCCGAGTACATGCCAAGCACACACCAAGGACATGCTGAGTACATACCAAGCACATGCCAAGTACATGTCAAGTACACACCAAGCACATGCCAAGTATACATCAAGCGCGTGCCAGGTGCATGCCGAGTACACACCAAGTACATGCCAGGCACACACCAAGTACATATCAAGCATACACCAAGTACATGCCAAGCACAAAGTCGTTTTTAGTTGTATTGACAGCCACCAGTGTGAGATACAGGCTTCTCTTGAGCCCTTGTACTACATTCCAGAGACTACACAAATGTACCAAAAAGTAAGTGGTAAATCCCAATTTTTACAAAGTAGTTCCTTTAGAAATCCTACACAGAAACTATCTAAAACTCAACCTTTCCTCTGAGGAAAAATAGCTACTGTTTAACCCAAAAGTAGGGTATGTTATTTTAATTTAGGAGAACATCTGGATTCCTTACAAACTATTAATTCTTACACTAAATAACTAAGACGTTTCCACAAGGTCAAGAGGTGATTAATTACAAACGGTCACCCTGGAAACACAGAACTTTCCTTCATTTCTGATTTTTCCCGAATAGCTCCTTGTTCTGACATCTGATGATGCTGTGTCCACAAGGTCTGTGCACACCAGCTGGCGCCTGTCAAGGCCATGGCCAGGCCACTGACCTCTGTTCATTAGTTTATTTACCAAGCATCCCCATGGGCCAGACCCTGTTCTAGGCAGGAAGAGCAGCAGAAGGTGAACCATAAACAAACCAAAATCCACCAGCAAGCGAGTCTTCAGCATGCAGAAGGCAACAGTGCCATGGAGGGCAGGCACCAGGCAGGTGGAAGAGGGGCCAGGTGGCCGGGGCAGGCCGCTGGGAGGAGGCGTTGGCTCTGTCCACGCCTGGAGAAGGCAATCAAAGATGCCTTCAAAGGACAATTTTATTTTAGACTTTTCTCCTATTTCTGGGTCAGTGTTTGTTGTTCTGTTGCTATGGAAACACTAAAACCCTGGATTCTTTTTTACTAATAAATGGATTTCTTAGCCACGACCATCAGCCAAAACATGCTAATGGATTTGGTCTTTGATTTTTTTCAAGTTAAACAACCATATTCATCCATAATTTAACCATGTACTTAACGGTTCTTCAGAACTGACATAGACCAAGGCGTGCGTTTACTTCATCCCTACCCTGAGCCAGGAACTGTGCGAAACATTTTGTGTAGATTACTTCATTTACCCGACATAGCAACTCTATGAAGGAGGTATGTTGTCCCAGTTCCTGAAGGAGCCCCAGGCACAGGGGCACAGAGACATTAACACCTCACCCAGGTAACACGGCCAGACTAGCGTAGCTGAGACTTGAACCCCCTTGTCTAGCTCCAGACCCTATGCTCTTAACCAGCATTCTGTCTAAATCCCCTTTAATGCCATCATTTTTAGAGCAATGGAGAGTTGGAGCAAGACAGGTATTCACAAATTCCTCAAGTGCCACCTTCCCTGTAGAATTCCAATAGAAATGAATGGATGTTATGTTTTCAGGAAGGGTAACAAGAAGAGAAGTTTATCTGTCCATAAACATCAGAAAGAAAGAAAAATGGTGGGGCTTGGGGTGGCTTGTAAAAAGCCCTGGGGCTGTATGACATGCCCCTCCACCCTGCAAGGAGGAAAACTTGTCAGATGCATCATAATGAACTTAAAACTCTGGACATTTCCAGCAGCCAGTCTTGAGTAAGACATGCACACGCACACATAAATGTCTGCATGTGCAAATCCACACAAAGGAAACGCTGTGAGAGTTCACACATGAGAAAGGTAGTTGAGTCCTGTCCTAGGAGGTCACCTCCCACCCACACTGTCTGGAAGGAAAATCTGCTAAAAGGGCCAGAATATGTAAGACAGTATCTTGTTCATAAAAACTAACAGAAATTTAGTGGTCAGCAAGTTTGAGCCCATTAAGAGTCCAACTCTGCCCCTAGGGGACAACAGGCTTCAGAAAAAAACAGGAAGAGTCACATGTGTATGCACACACATACACGGGCATACACACATGCAAACATGCATACATGCACACACATAATATACATGCATATATATGCATACACACATGCATACATGCACGTATATAATACACATACATGCACGTGTGCATACACACACAATACACATACATGCAGATGTACATATACACACAGGTGCATACATGCATGCACATAATACACCTACATGCACACAAGTGAATAAACGCACACACAACACGTGTGCACATATACACATACATGCACACATACATGCACATACACATTTACACATTCATACATGCATGTACATAATACACATATGTGCACATGTACATATATATGCACACATACACACATGCACATAATATACACGCACACATACACATACACACGCACACATGCACCAACTTCTCTCTTGATGCACAAGATATTTCTCAAAATAACCTTGGCCACTTAGCACCTAGGGACAGAATTATTGACAGAACATTGGGAATGAGGGTCTAGACTGGCCACAGGTCCCTCATGCTACTGTGACACCTTCAAATGAGTGACTGAGCAAAGTTTCTCAGAGGCCCCAGGAGTGAGCTGGTAGCACCATAGCACCACACACAGATGACTGGTGCTATGAGGGGGCCTAATTCTTCAGACATTCTGTGCATTTAGTGATGGCAAAGCACGTTGCTCGGCTTTTCCCTTGTTCAGTTAACAGGGTGCTGTTCCGGGCATTACTTGAGTCTTTTTTGGAACCCAAAGTGCTCATGACACGTGACAGCAATTGTGTTTGTCAGGGATCTTCAGAGAAACTGAACCGATAGGATGAATATAGAGATTTAGAGGGAGATTTTTATTTCATATGGGCTCACACAATGATGAAGTCCCATGATCTTCTGTCAGCAGGCTGGAGATACAGGCGAGCCAGTGGTGTCGTTCCAGTCCAAACCCAAAGGCCCAAGAACCCGGAACTCAGATGTTCAAGGGCAAGAGAAGAGGACGTCCCAGCTCAAGAGGTGAGAGCAGTCTCCCTTTCTCCACCTCCATGTCTTATTCCAGCCCTCAGCGGGTTGGATGACACCCATTCCCGTTCCGGAGTGTGAGATGCTATTCAGTCCAATTCAGATGCCCATCTCATCCGTATGCCCTCAGACACACCCCAGAGTCACGTGTGCCAGCTATCTGGGCACCTCTTAGCCCAGGCAAGCTGACACATAAAATTAACCATCACCACATTTTGCCATGTAAGGACCTGAAAGGCCTGATTTGGCCGGGCTCACTGCAAGGGCCTGGTTTAAGCAGGTGCTCAGCCTGTCTTGGCCTCATTCTCATCCCCATGAACTCCAGCCCATATCTCCCAGTCATTGGGGATCCTTTCCTGGAGGAGCTGCTTGGTTTGCAAGGACAACGCTGACTGGCCATTATCTCAAGGGCCATCAGCTATGCATGCACCTTACATGGGGGGTAAGCATTTTGTTTGGTTTTGTTTTTTAGCTGAAACTGTAAAAAAAAATTAACATGAACTGATGAGAATCACCCATACCATTTCATGAAACGCAATCATTGGTCATGACTAGGGAGAGCATCTGAGTTGGATACTGTTAAGGATACAATTTAGGCTTTGCCTGCGTGATTTGGAACAGAAATCTTGACTTAGAACTTACAGAAAAACATTTCAACCTGAGAAAGCTGATTACAAAATAAAAAGGTTAAGAAAACATGACACATTAAAAAAAAATCTAAAAAGTGAAAACTTCAGTCATCCAATTATTTGGCATTGGGCTGACAAAATAAAAGAACTTTTTAAGACACCACACACAAAAAATGAGTCCAGCTTCTCATTGAGAGTGAGCATGTTATTGACACAGACAGATTCAAAATCCTAAGAAGGATAATGAGGAAAATCGGTTTTTACAAATAATTATTAATAGACCCAATGCTCTTAGAGATTCCTCCTCCCTGAGCACCTTTTGAGCAAGAATCTTTCCTCGGAGCTTTGGGAATTCCCCTTCTAGCCCTGTGGGAACCCACAAATCATAGACCAGGGGCTCTGTAAATTCTGCAGGGGGAAAATCCATTTTGTGGATAATTTATTGCAAAAGAGTTGAAAAGGGGTGTTGGTTAACTAGAAAAGCTTATGCAGTAAATAGAGAAACCAACCATTCGACTCCATTGTGGCTACAAAAATGGTGGAAAATGACAGGTCTTTCAGTCCTCGCCACCTACTTCCCACACTTCAATAGTGTTAACCCTTAAGGACCATCATCATCAAGAGGCCTTAATAGAGAATCCACTGAAATGAAACCACAATCAATTCAATGCTAGCTACTTGGCCTATAAATTGAAAGCAAAGTAAATACAAATTACTCTGCCTGCTGTGATGGTGAATGAGGTTTTTAAACACAGCTACTTGTCAGATTTTGGCCCTTTATTTTTATTTTCCCCCTCCTTTATCTGAGTTTTACTTTTCTCCTAGGGCGCCTTTCCAAGGTGTTTGTAAATTGCCCCCAAACGTCAGGTCTGCAGTTGGCATCTCACCACTTATGCCTGCGCTTCACTGAGGTCCGCAGGGCTATGGAGGCTGAGCTGAAAGCACTTCCAAGTGATTCCCCAAGGAACGTCCTCACAGGAGCGTTCAGAGGGGCCCAGCCAGTGCTCTTGCTGCTGAAGGAGCATCCCAGGGAGGTGACGAGCCCAGGGCCCCTGGCACAGGGTGGCCCTGGAAGAAAGCACTGTGCTCCCAGCACTTGAACAGGACCCTTCTGCAAACACAGCGCTCGAACGGAACCCTTCTGCAAACACAGGGCTCGAACGGAACCCTTCTGCAAACACAGGGCTCGAACGGAACCCTTCTGCAAACACAGGGCTCCAACGGAACCCTTCTGCAAACACAGCGCTCCAACGGAACCCTTCTGCAAACACAGCGCTCGAATGGAACCCTTCTGCAAACACAGGGCTCGAACGGAACCCTTCTGCAAACACAGGGCTCGAACGGAACCCTTCTGCAAACACAGCGCTCGAACGGAACCCTTCTGCAAACACAGCGCTCGAACGGAACCCTTCTGCAAACAGCATTTGCATAAATTGCACCGTCATTTTTGTACTTATTTTACATCAGAGAGGTAGGCTGGGCTTTTTGAAAGAGGCACACTGGCTGATCTTGCTCCTGATCAGCTGAATCCCTTCTTTGTAAAGCAGGGAAGATAACAGCCACCTCTGAGGGCCAATGTCAAGACCCAGGCCTTCAAGGCTCCTAAGAGAACAAGGTGGCTGTGCCTTGGGAGGCTGAGGCCAGAGGATTGCTTGAGGCCAGAAGGTCTAGACCAGCCTGGACAGCATAGCAAGACCCTGTCTCTACAAAAAAAAAAAAAAAAAGTAAAAATTAGCAAACATGGTGGCTGGCATCTGTAGTCCCAGCTACTCTGGAGGCTGGGGCAGGAGGATGGCTTGAGCCCAGGAGGTTGATGCTGCAGTGAAACATGATCATACTACTGCACTCCAGCCTGGGCAATAGAGCAAGACCTTGCCTCAAAACAAACAAAAACAGCACGAGGCAGCCACATGGCTATTGCAGGAGCAGGAGGGGCTCTCCCAGCAAACTTCTGCTTGGGCTGACGTTGGGCCCTGTGGGCATGGAGCTTTGGGCCCCTCCCCCTGGAATGGGTTGTGCTGCAGCACAAGGCACTGTCTCCTGCGGAGGAGCCTGGTGGAGTCGGCCACAGAGGAAAGGGTTTAATTCATCCTCGCTACGTTTCCCACACATGCTGGGGAGTACCATACACGCCAGCATTGCACTGGCTTCTCCTGGGTTGACCAGAAGTTTCTGTTGTGCCTGGTGTGGGCAGTTGTAAATTACAGGCTTTGAGTCAGAAGAAACCTTAAGCCCACCTGATGCTCTCGGCTCCGACTGTGCTCAGGCTCTGGCTCAGCAGCCTGTGCTCCCCGGCGTGTCCCCGCCTCACTTCGTCTAGGGGGTTGCTCTCCTGGAGGGCAAGGAGGCTGCAGTGTCACGGCTGCACCTCCCCGCACGATTCGGCAGGACGTGCCCAGACGGCAGGACTGAATTTTCCTGTTGTGGCAAAATTAAATTCTGAGCAAGTGTTATAGGAGGAGTTTTGTCTGTAAACGTTTATTCAAGAGGCAAAGGTAGCCTTTCTGGCTGAAAACTAGAAACTCATTCTATTTAACTAATGTGTAGTTTGCGGGGAGGTGGGATTTAGATGTATTTAAACCCCACCCCTGAACTATTGTGAGCTTTCTAGTGTGTGAAGCCAAGATACCGAACAAGTCGGCAAGAGACAAAAACGGGGAGATGCCAGGACGAGCATCCGTTCTGCTCCGCAGTGGCCCGGGGGCCGGTGTTCCCGCAGACACCAGCAGCTGATCCGCGCACAGAACAGGACCCCGGCCACGGTGAGGAAGAGAGAACGCGCACGCTTCAGATCTCTGGTCGGTAGGTGGCTGGAACGCCAGGTGTGGGGCGGGCGCTGCAGAGCCTCCCACGCGGCACAGGCTTCTGCCTGCTTTTCAACCACGGCTTTGCTGCTTTGACATTTCTGGAATCAAGGTGCACCTCATAAGCAACACCAACGAAAATCAAGTAGGGACGAGGCTGTGGCTGACGGGCAGGTGCAGACCACACCCTCTCCACGACCTGGGGCGTGTCTGTGGCTGACGGGCAGGTGCAGACCTCACCCTCTCCACGACCTGGGGCGTGTCTGTGGCTGACGGGCAGGTGCAGACCACACCCTCTCCACGACCTAGGGTGTGGCTGTGGCTGACGGGCAGATAGTGAGTAAATTGAGGCACTTCAGGTGCTCCCCGGAGCGGAAGGCCGAGGGGCCCTCAGGGTCCCACAGACACTGGGGGGCAGTGGCTGACACGTCAGGAAGGGCTGGCCTCAGCGCGTGGCATTTAAAGCCCCCAGGCAGGGAGGGGTCCCCTGTGTCTGATACAGCACGTAGCTAAACAGCCCTTGTGTAAAAAGTGACACGCCCGGCGCTGCTCTTTCCCTAGGAGCGCTGTTATGGAGTTGGCGGTGGACCTCACGAGTGCCGAGTGCATTTGCTCCCCGGGGAGGCTCGATGCTCAGGGACTCCAGGCCTCGGCGTCTGCAGCAGATAATCACAGAGGCTTGCCAGGTGGCCTCCGGTGAGCTCCGTGTGGCTGCAGCCCAGCTGGAATCGCTGAGATTAGGGAGGAAGAGGGGCCGGTTCCTCATAGCCCGTGGCACGTGGGAAGGATGCGCCCCCGGCGTAGAGCCCGCGCTGGGGACCACAAACACGCCCCTCCAGCTGCTACCCACTTTCATATTCTGTTCAGGAGCTACCTGGTAGGTTTTTTGGTTAATTTTCAATGAATGTAAGTCTATATTTCTAATGTATAGGAATAAAACAAACAAAGAAGTAGTCTATCCACAACACACTTCCCAGGGGTTGGGCAGCAGTGGGCTCAGTCCTGCCAGAATCGGCCCCACAGGAGCAGCCCCAGCAGCCGGGACCTGGAGCCTGAGGCCAGCGCCGCAGAGGTTGGAATCCGGAAAGGAAGGCGCCCTCCAAAATGACGTGCAGTGAGTCTGGATGACTTGAGGAAAAGAAGAAGAACATGCATTTTGGATGTCTATTTACAACAACACTGATTTCTTAGATTTAGAGAAGGTGGCAAAACCCTCCACTGAATGTGATTAAAGTCGTGGAGAGCAAGGTGGGACCCAGGCCGGCAGCAGCAGCAGCGAAATAGATCAACAGACAACAGGGTGTTCAGGACCCAGTTCAGGGCTGGAGAGGACAGAGATCAACAAAGAACTTGGTCATCGCCAAGGAGCCCGATGCCGGGTGAGTGTGGACGGCAGCTCACGGGAGCCCTGCCCGTGCCCATCCTGGTCCAGCCACGCTTGCTCGAACCACAGAGAGGGACAGCTCAGCCCACAGCTACACAGAGGAAGAGCCTGGGCAGCTGCCCACAGCCCCAGGGATCAGGCCTAACATTTTCCTAAAACTTCCTATCTGTGTTGCCTTTTCCACTCGCACCGTCTCACTTACGCCACAGGCTGGGAGGTAAGCAGGGCACGTATAGTCCCCACCGGGCACTGGGATCTGAAGCAGTCGGCGACTTGCCTGGGGACAGGGCTGCTCCACAGATCTGGGCATCAAGCTGAGGTTCCGGCTCCAAGCCCTGTCGCCTTCTCGCCTCTTCATTTGCTTTGTGGCATCACAGCCTAAGCAAAAAGGAGAAAGCAGTTCGCTCAGGATGGGAGTACTCTCGTCCTGGCTTCCGGAAGGTTCCCGACACAGGTCCCCTCCTCCTACGGTGCAGGCCCCGGCGCTTACGGAGCCACTTCCCAGCCTCCCTGGCAGCCTCAGCACCACGCTGTCTCCGCTGCCGCTTTAACTGTGGACGTGGTGACCAGCAGCCTTCCAGAGGTGGCCCCTCCAGGAACGGTGGCATCAGCTCTGTGCAGGGAGGACAGCTGCTCCCAGACGAAGGGAGGAGGCCTGGGTCCCCACACAGTCCCTGATTCAGGGTCGTGCTGGACACGTATTCTGCACGGGGCAGATTATGCGGATTTTAGCCTTGTGGATCCTACAGCCGCAGCCACAGAAAGATGGAGACAAGGGCACGTGGCTGTGTCCCAGGAAAACTCTCTCTACAGCTGCCGGCCACTTCTGGCCGCCTCCCGGTCTAGACGCTCACATGAGAGAAAAACAGATTTAAAAAATCATTTAAGCCATTGCCTCAAGGCCATTTCACAAATCCAATGACAGGCCAAATTGGGCAAGCACAACTATGAGTAAGGCCTATTCCAATATTACAGAAAATCTGCAAGACAGTTTAGAGGCGAGGTTCCGCCATACCTGCCAGATCGCCCAACCCCTGGGGCGACACCAGGCTGAGGACACACATTTCTACTTCTCGTCTCTGTGCCTTTGACCTTCCCATCCCTCATGCTTCTCCAGCTTTGTGGCTCCCCACAGGGCTGTGTTTATTCTGTGATCACTGCCCATTTTGGAGGTCACAAGCTCTGGAGCTTACAGGAACTGGGCAGGACATTAAAAAGCAGCGTGTGGGGAGTGCTGTGGGGAACTCACGGGCCCTGTCCCATGGAAAATATTCAAGTTCAAACGTTAGTAGAACATCACGAGGGTCAAACAAAATACGCCTGCAGGCAGGACCTCTGATTTATGTTAGCGCTGGGTGTCTCCGCCTACCCACAAGGCAGCGCCAGAACCACCGCCTGGCTCTTAGCACAAAATCTGCTCATAAGTGGATGCTTAGGGAGTGTTTGTTGAACTGAACAGAGGTGAATTATAGGCTATTACCCCAAGACTCTGAAATAGTAGACATGTTCTGTGAAAACCTAGGGGACCTTTTTCCAAATCGGGGGCCGATTAATTCAGCTGTTGGAGGCTCTGGCCCCCATGCAGACTGAAGCCTCGGTTCAGGGCCAGCGGATGGCAGAGGTGCGGCAGGGTCAGAGCTGCGATCCCTGCAGATCCTTCAGCACTGGAGGAGAAACAGCCAAAGGGCAGGCGTGGCCCAGAGCCAGCGGCAGCTCTCCTGCACCAGCCTGGGCAGAGACGGCATGAACAGAGAGTAAAGTGTTAAGTCCAGGGATGCTTCCCCCAACATTATTTGATGGTCTCTTTCTTAAGAAAACAAAGGAAGCAACAATGTTTCAACGTGCCTCTTCAGGTATCCTCAGTGATTTATATTAAAAACCAGAGCCTTTAGAAACATCTTGAAATCACACTCTCCAGACTCACCCCAAAATACCCAACAGTGAAGGAGGACTTACTGTCCCACTAGAATGGGCACTTTCTCTGGAGGGAGGAGAAGGTTGTCTAAAGACACTAACAGTAGGTGGGGCTTGTCTAGGCCTGTGGGGGACGGGGCATGGTGGGGGTGTGGGGAGGGACCGCCTTCCACCAGAAAGGATGAAATGAGCTGGATTTTCATGTCATAAACAGATTTACTCTCCATGTCCTGATGTGTATAAACCTTTAAAAAGACTCTAGAAATGCTATAATATTCAGAGCATTCTCTCTGGATGGTGAGACTATAATTTTTTCTTACTTATTTTTAATATAATTTCAGTTGTCTTCAATATATAAATATTACTTTTAGAATGTAGGAAATAAGTGTAATTTTTTTAGAGAGAGAGTCTCATTCTGTCGTCCAGGCTGGAGAGCACTGGCACGAGCTCAGCTCACTGCAAGCTCCACCTCCTGGGCTCAAGCAATTCTCCCACCTCAGCCTCCCAAGTAGCTGGGACCACAGGCACACACCTCCACACCCATCTAATTTTTATATTTTTAGGAGAGATGGGGTTTCTCTATGTTTCCCAAAAGGCTGGTCTTGAGCTCCTAGACTCAAGTGATCTGCCCACCTTGGCCTCCCAAAGTGCTGAGATTACAGGTGTGAGCCACTACACCCAGACTAAATGTAATTTTCAAAAGAATATATGTACAATGCCCTGGTCTTAATAAGTATCTGATGCATGATAGGTGCATTAGTCTGTTCACACACTGCTTATAAAGACATACTGGAGACGGGGTAATTCATAAAGGAAAGAGGTGTAATGGACTCACAGTTCCACATGGCTGGGGAGGCCTCACAATCATGGCCAAAGGCAAAGGAGAAGCAAAGGCACGTCTTCCAAGGTGCAGACAGGAGCGTGTGTGCAGGGGAACCGCCCTTAATAAAACCACCAGATCACGTGAGACTTACTCACTATCTCGAGAACAGCACAGGAAAAACCTGCCCCCACGATTCAGTTACTTCCCACCAGATCCCTCTGAAAACACGTGGGGATTACAGGAGATACGCTGCAAGATGACATTTGGGTGGGGACACAGCCACCCACAGCAATAGGTTTTATACAAATATACACGTATGCTTGTATGTATATGCCATTCACCACCTTCCCCAAGCTAATTTTTAGGCATATATATAACATATATGCCATTCACCACCTTCCCCAAGCTAATTTGTAGGCATATATATAACATATATATAACCTATGATGCATCAGGTACTTATTACACATATATGTAACATACACACACATGTAACATATATATACACACACGCATATGTAAGCTACTTTTCTGCAGCCTCAACCTCTCCAGCTCAAGCCATTCTCCTACCTCAGCCGTCTTGAGTAGCTGGGACTAGAGGTGTGTGCCACCATTCGCCCCCAGCTATGTTTATTTGTAGAGATAGGGTCTTGCCATGTTTCCCAGACTGGTCTCAAACTCTGGGCTCAAGCAACCCTCTGTCTTGGCCTCCCAAAGTGCTGGGATTATGATAGGTTATATTTGTATCAAAGTACCATGTGAGCAGGAACCTTGTACTATGATCTCACTTTATAGTTTTAAATAATACCATCATATTTAAGAGAATTACTTTATTCTAACCTGCATAAGTAAAATAAGCCAAGTGACTTTAGACTTTAGAATTCAGTGTCACTCAATTCAGGAGAGGAGGGCGAGGAGGGTAGGAACAGCCACATGTGGGTCAGCTCAGTGTCACTCAATTCAGGAGAGGAGGGCGAGGAGGGTAGGAGCAGCCACATGTGGGTCATCTCAGTGTCACTCAATTTAGGAGAGGAGGGCGAGGAGGGTAGGAGCAGCCACATGTGGGTCAGCTCAGTGTCACTCACTTCAGGAGAGGTGGGCGAGGAGGGTAGGAACAGCTACAGGTGCTGAGAATTCCCACCAGGGTCTGTCTGGCCACAGGGCGCCCTGTCCTGTTAGCCCATGGGTGCGGATGCCACCTGGGCTGGCATTGCACAGGTGGGAAGGATGGGGGAGCGTGATGCTGGCAGAGGTTGGGCAGGAGCCCGAGGCAGTGGGCTCTGGACTCACCACCGTGCACAGCAGGCGCTGAGGCTCACGGAGTTTCAAGGGGGCGCACCCTGGGAGGTGGAAGGTGCGGTGGGTCCTGAAGGGTGCTGAGGAGAG
This sequence comes from Homo sapiens, assembly GCF_000001405.40. Classification (NCBI taxonomy): domain Eukaryota; kingdom Metazoa; phylum Chordata; class Mammalia; order Primates; family Hominidae; genus Homo; species Homo sapiens. The sequence goes on along the minus strand of NC_000007.14, from coordinate 158,952,837 downwards.
TCCCCTCAGGCTGAGCCCACGCTGTGCAACATGAAGGTGCGGATTCTGTCTTACGACGCGGCTGGGGGTTCACCCTCCTTTTCTCCCTGTCCACACAATATGAAGGTGCGGACTCTGTCTTACGATGCGGCTGGGGGTTCACCCTCCTTTTCTCCCTGTCCACACAATATGAAGGTGCGGATTCTGTCTTATGATGCGGCTGGGGGTTCACCCTCCTTTTCTCCCTGTCCACAGTTCAAGGCTCCTTCTTATTCCCTTAGGATATTTTTTTAAGTATCTAGTTTACTTTTCTGCTTTTACTGTCAGGCTGTAAAGAGCCCACCAAAACCACCTCCTTAAAGAGCAAAAAATCCAACTGGCATTGGAGACCCCATCTCAGCCACGGAAGAGGCCTTCTCTAACCCAGACCTAGGAAGCTTCTTGCACCCCCTTAGCCATGGAGAAGAAAAGCTAAAAATACCAATTCAGGTAGGCGGGATGTCCACTTTTTCCCTGGAATCCTTAGCTTGCGTGGGACACACTGGGATGGGAGCTGCTCCTCCCGTGCTCACTGGGGAACCTCCTCAGAAACTGCTCTGGACAGAAGGTGGGAGGAACCTGCCCACTTTGAGGATTCCCATCCCCCACAACATGTGACTCTAGCGCATCCCACAGGTGCCAGCGTGCGTGTTTACCGCGCCCTCCTCGGAAGCCCCTCTGGGCTCTTCTTCTGCTGGTGGATTCTTCTGCTCCTCTTCCCACGTGGATTTCCACCGCGACCTTGCCACGTACCATGGCTTCGGGCCCCATGAGTTTCACACCCACCATGGGTGATGCACGCCTGTGAGGTTTGGTGGTGGTGAGAGCTTTGCAGCAGGAAAGGCGGGTCTGGAGGATGCCTCAACCCAGGGCGATTCTATTCCCAGGGGGTGTCAACACGGAGGCTCCAGAACACATCCTTCTAAAACTCCCTGGAAGCCCTCACGTCCCCCGAGGCACAGCACCCAGGGCAAAGGCCAGGCCTTGGATGCAGGGAGGTAGGAGGAGCTTCCCATGGACACACTGGAGAAGAACATGCTCCTTCAGCTCCTCAGAACCGGTGCCAGCTCAGCCTCAGGCAGCCCCAATGCCAGCTGAGCCCCAGAGGGAGTTAGAGGGGTGAAGACTCAGAGGAGCCCGGGAAGAACCACCAGTTCACTTCTCCGCTCCCTGCCCTCTCACTTGACACCTCTCAGTACCCAAGCACTCCCCAAACTGTGTACCTCCCACACAGGTGCCAGGACAGAGGCCAGCATGCCCTGGGGCTCCAGCACCTTCCTGTGGCTGGTAGGAACACGCCCAGTCTCTCCTTGTGGCCCTGGGCCTCCAGCTCACGCTCCCAGCACCTGCACCTCCAGGCCTGGCTGGGGACCCCGTCTCCCTGTGCCTCTCGCAGACTCCCTGCCCGTCTTTGCTTCACTCCCACTTGTCCTTTGAGACCTGGCTTGGTGCCATCGCCCAGGGACCTGCCAGGATCCCAGCTGTGCCTGATGATGGGGGCAGGGTCCCTGCCAAGTAGAAGGAAAGGCACAGCCACATCCAGGCCAAAAAATAAAAGACAATGATTTACCTCCCTCTCTACTGTCCATAAAACAGGTCCAGCATTCAACCAAAATGCTTAAGTAACACAGAAAAAAGCAAGAATAAAACCACATTCCCAAGAGACAAAACAACCATCAGAACAAGACACAGATATGACTCAGATGTTGGAACTATTTGAAAGGGGATTTTAAATAACTATGACTGACACATTAAAGGCTGTGATGGAAAACGTGGACAACATGCAAGATCAGATGGGCTGGGCCAGATTCAGTAGCTCACAACTGGAATCATATATAGGCCAGGCACGGTGCTCACACCTGGAATCATATAGAGGCTGGTCCCGGTGCAGTATATCACACCTGGAATCATATAGAACACCTGGAATCGTATAGAGGCTGGTCCCGGTGCAGTATATCACACCTGGAATCATATAGAACACCTGGAATCATATAGAGGCTGGTCCCGGTGCAGTATATCACACCTGGAATCATATAGAACACCTGGAATTGTATAGAGGCTGGTCCCCATGCAGTATATCACACCTGGAATCATATAGAACACCTGGAATCATATAGAGGCTGGTCCCGGTGCAGTATATCACACCTGGAATCATATAGAACACCTGGAATCGTATAGAGGCTGGTCCCCGTGCAGTATATCACACCTGGAATCATATAGAACACCTGGAATCGTATAGAGGCTGGTCCCCGTGCAGTATATCACACCTGGAATCATATAGAACACCTGGAATCGTATAGAGGCTGGTCCCCGTGCAGTATATCACACCTGGAATCATATAGAACACCTGGAATCGTATAGAGGCTGGTCCCCGTGCAGTATATCACACCTGGAATCATATAGAACACCTGGAATCATATAGAGGCTGGTCCTGGTGCTCACACCTGGAATCTTAGGCCAGGCACAGTGGCTCATACCTGGAATCCCAGCACTTCGGGAGGCCAAGGTGGGCAGATCACTTGAGGTCAGGAGTTCAAGAACCAGCCTGCCCAACATGGCAAAACCCCATCTCTATTAAAAATACAAAAATCAGCCGAGTGTGGTGGTGCACACCTGTCATCCCAGGTACTTGGGAGGCTGGAGCACGAGAATCACTTGAACCTGGGAGGCAGAGGCTGCAGTGAGCCAAGATCACACCAGAGTGAGACTCTGTCTCAAAAATAAATAAAATTTTAAAAACGCTCGACTTGGCTGGGCACGGTGGCTCATGCCTGTAATCCCAGCACTTTGGGAGGCCGAGGCAGGCAGATCACCTGAGGTTGGGAGTTCGAGACCAGCCTGATCAACATGGAGAAACCCCATCTCTACTAAAAATACAAAATTAGCCAGGTGTGGTGGCACATGCCTGTAATCCCAGATACTTGGGAGGCTGAGGCAGAAGAATCGCTTGAACCTGGGAGGCGGAGGTTGCGGTGAGGCGAGATTGCGCCATTGCACTCCAGCCTAGACAAGGAGAGCGAAACTCCGTCTGAAAAAAAAAAAAAAGGAAAAATGAAAGGTATTTCCTTGATTCTTAAGCATCCTTACTTGTCTTGCTTTGCCCCATTCTCCCGGCCTTTGATGCTCCTCCCATGCTCTCCTCTAGCTTTCCGCTCCTTTCCCTGAAGCCGCGCCGCCTGCACCTCCTGCTCCGCTGAACTGCGCCGTCTGTGCGGCTCGGGCCCCTCCCTCCTACCTTTGCTGCTGTGCGATGATTCGTTCCACGGCACTGCCTCTGCTGTCATGGGGCCCTCAACAGACGGGCTGCCAACAAGCAGGGCGGGGTGGACCCTGGCTCTCGTCTACACACTGGAGTGGGGACAGGGCCGGGTGCACCCTTCCTCTTGTCTACTCCCTGGAGTGAGTGGGGACTGTCTACAGTCCTGCCCAGGCAGACGCTTTTCCAGGACAGATCAGCTCAGCTAAAGCAGCATCTTCTCTCCCAGGCTTCACTGTCTCTCAGATATTCTAAATAAACTATTTTAAAAAGCCTACTTCCGCATTCAGGACTGTGTGTGACTATGTGTGACTATGTGTGACTCTGTATCTTCAGAGATTATTTCTGGCGAAATTACATTTTGGCATTTCACCACCTGCGGGGTGTTCCTGGTGTTGAGTCTCCAAGAGGATGGGAGGCCAGAGGTGCTGTTGGACGGTGGTGCTGTCGCCCAGGGCAGCACCCACTGCTTGGAGGAACTGCTCTCTCGGGGGCAGACGTGGACCTCAGGGCGCAGAGGCTGCCCGGTTCTGTGCCATGTTCTCCAGTCCAGGACCAGCCATCTGTTCATTAGGAGTCAGTCCGAGATTAGCGGAACCTTCCTTAGTAGGAGGGCCGTGTCTCCTCTTTGCGTCTTCCTGAGCATTTTAGTGAGATTTGGAAGAGCTGATGATGTTAACCATCTGCCATTTTATTGTGAGGCCCCAAAACTTAAATTTCCTACTTGTGCTTTTACCATACCTGGGACCTTGAACATCTACATGTCACTGGGTAAACCACAGCCGCGACTGGACCCCCCTCTTGACTCCAGTTTACGTCAAATGGAATTTTGTAAATAATTGTGGGGGGTGTGGGGTCATTGAGGGACCAGACTGTAGCCTCCAGGAATAAAAGTCTGCATATCCAGTTGCGCTTGTACATTCCGATATGACTCTGCCCTGCAGACACAACTGCCACTCAGCCATCCCCCGCGCCACCTTCACTGAGCACCTCCCGTGTCCGAAGCACCCGGGGGCGATGACTGTGAGAAAACAGAAGTGCCTCCGTCCTCAAGAGCTCAGTCCAGCACAGCAAGCGGGGTATCCTCAGCACACAAATAACCACACGTGAGGTAACGAACGTTTTAATTTACTTCTACTGATGTGGCAAATGTTGAAAGAAAAGTGTTTTCTAAATAACAAAAACACGACTGAAAAAGAGAAAATTAAATTACCGCTGTCTGCCTTGGAAGAAAGCGCTCAGCCTGCGTGCAGCAAGGCACCAGGGTGGGCTTGGAGACCCCCGTGTGGAAGCGGCCTTGCTGTAAAGTCAGACGGGAAGCCCACGGTGGGAAGGAACCGCCTCCCGCACTGTCGGCCCACCTCTTGCCACGTCTGTTTTCCTAATCTGCTGTGAAATGTGTTTTTTAGAGGCTGCGATTACTCCATCCTGTTGCCTGTCTCACCTTCCTCTGGAAGATCCCGGAGGCATCGCTAGCGCCAGGGCAGGCTGCACCTGGGAGGGGCCCACAAGCACCGGGCCAGCTCCTCCCTGGGGGTGAGGCTGAGGGGCAGATCGTTGGCCTTTTTGGATGTTTCTTTCTTCACGAACTTCACATTTCTATATGGCTCAAAAAACACCCAATGCTTAGGAGCCTGGGAAGGACACATTCAAGGACATCATGGAGCAGAAGCTGCACAGGCCAACCAGCCACAGGGCAGAAGCCGCCCAATGGCCACAGGTGCTTCCGAGGCAGCGCGTCAGACACGGCAGCTGGGGAGAGCTGGGCCTCCTCTCGCCCCTGGCCTCCGTGAGGCTGCACCTCCTGGGCACTGGCAGAGCATGAGCAAGGGCTTCAGAGGGGGGAGTGAGCCCCCAGCCAGGCAGGAGGCTCACGTCAGGAGGACGTAACTGAGCTGCAGATGGTCCTCCCTTGGGAGCTCCCCCTAAAGGAGCAGCACTGTGACCGGGCACATAACTCAGGAGCCAGACAGAACTCCCTGGATTCCCTTGAGCTGATTTACTGAGCAGTTTCAGAGACCTGAGCCCAAGCAGACTGCCTCCCAGGTTACAAAGGAGTCAGGACAGAGAACGAACTGTGAACTGCAGATGATAGCTGAGAATTCGCAGACACCAAAGCCCAGAAGAGGCCCAAAGAAAAGGAGGGACAAATATTCATTCTAACTTTAAATAAGATGGAATCTGAGGCTAAGAACTTACCTCAGTCTCAAAACTTCTAGACCAATCATCAAGCGGGTTGCAAAACAGCAGCAAGGACGGTGAGTGGGTGTGGACTCGAGAGGCCGTGTGTCCACTCCACTTCCTTTCCACGCAACTGTGAACCTGGGTTCCGCGAAGATGCAGAGAGAGGCCGCGTGCCTGTCCACTTCCTTCCCCACGTGACTGTGACCCTGAGTTCCATGAAGATGCAGACGGAAGATGAACAAATTCCAGCCATTTGTTGAATGAGGATTGGCTAAGACTCTACTGACACAGCAGGCGCTGTAGCAGGCACCTGGAATTCAGCGGCCAACAGTTTCAAATCAATGATTAAAAAGCAAAGAAAGGCTGGCGGTTGCTCGGGTGGCTGGAGAGGCCCACGCGAGACGTGCAGCCCTGCCGTTGGGGAGGGGGCTGTGTCTGCAGCGTCACAGCCGGTCTGGTGGGTCCCTCCCAGACACCTTCCAGGTCTAAGACAAGTAAGCGGAGGTGATCTTGTGCCCCAGTGAGAAGACCTAACTGTGCCCATCCGTTCACCTCACAGACCCATCGATGGCCAACGGTGCTGGGAACATTCTAGGAGGGTGATGGGACAGAGGGATGGGTGTTTGTGACACATTCTGGGATTTTCCTGTCCTCACCCCAGAACTCTCCTGTCTTTGTGCTATGGTTTGAATGTGTGTGTCCCTCCAACATTCAAAGCCTGGAACTTAAGCACAAGGGTGATGCTGTTAAGGGGCAGGGCCCTTTGAGACGCAGAGCCCTAGTGAATGGATCGGTGCTGTCAGCAGAGAGGCTGAAGGCCCCAGGGCCTTTCTGTCCTCCGCTACTGTGCGAGGGCACAGCCATGAGGTACTGCGGAAAGCAGAGGGCAGCTGACCAGACACGAAACACGGGGCGCCTTGATGCTGAATTCCACCTGCAGGAAACAGGAGGTGCAGATTTCTGTTGCTGATAAACTACCCAGCCCAGGGCATTTTGTTAACAGCAGCATGATTCCTAGTCTACCTGAGCTACAAAATTCAAGAGAGTTTATTTACTTGTATGATTTCTACACAAGGACAACTTTTAGTACTAATGGAAAACGTGTCTGACTTGCTCTGCAAATATAACATTCCAATAATCCCAAAAGAAGGTGCTCAAGAATTTTAAGAAAACACTATTGGCAGAGGTCATTTCGGTGGAGTAATTCCTTTTAATTTAGACATGTGTTCACATACTTTATGCATAAGAAAATAGTTCATTAAGATACATTTTCATGGTAGGCTGTTTAAAATCTAGCAGTAATGTGACAATATTTAAACTGTTCTAAAAATAACTCGAAATACTCTCAGAAAAGAGCACCCTGGACGTGGCTCTACATTCCCCTGGAAGTTTTGTAAATGCTAGAATGTTCTTTGTTTCCACTCAAAAGTAGTCATCTATTTACTGGGAATACCAAAGACATATTCATGTAAAATAAATTATATACAGAATATACATAGTCTATATACATAAATATACTTGCACACAAATGTAGAATTATCCACCTTATGTCTTTTAAATCTGGGTCATTACAGAAACGCGGTCCTCTCAGCCACACCCGCTACTTGTGCAGTTTTCCCTCTGGCCACAGGGCTTCCTGCAAAAGCAGACGCAGCCTGTTGCACTCGTCCACCTCCGGGGCCGCCCACCGCCTCTTCAGGTGCTGGATGTCGATGGAGCCAGACGCCCTGGCCAGCACCAGGGCCAGGAAGCTGCCACCAGCCTTCTCAGGCTCACCCACCGCAGCCATGGCCACCAGCCTGCAGGGAGAGGGGCAGAAGCAGAGGGTCAGTGCACACAAAGGGACATTCGGTTCTGTCTGAGTCTTCAAAATGTCTACCTTCCATGGGAAGAGTGAAACGGATGAGAAATTCTAAAAATACCAATAGCCAAAATGAAAGCTAGACCAGAAATAAATGTGTGAAAATGCATTTCCGCATGTCAGAGGCCTGCCAGATGGAACTTCGCAGAGGTAAGTGATGAGGACGTGCTGCTGTCTCCTCAGGCCGGGAGTCAGTAGCCCCCAGCAGGTCCCTGGAGAAGGTGGGGGCCATCAGCAGCACAGGCAGGCCCATCTATCAGAGCCTCGTCCTTGGTCTCCAGCCTCCCTGGATCTCACCCACAGCTGAGTGTCAGGACTCACAAGTCTGCGTCTCCAGCCCGGACTCACCCTGGAGCCCCGGACCCCTCCACTCCTGGCCTCCATGGGACCAGCACCTCCATCATCCACCCAGTGCCCAACACGAGACCTGTGGCCACCCTGTCTCCCCGATCTCACTCCCAGGGGCCCCTTCCCTCACTCTGATGACCACACGCTCCCTGACCAGGCCCCAGCTCTAATCCTCTCCTGAGGCTGACAGAGACTCTCAAAGACACACCTCTGCTGTCCACCTGGCCCCCATTCAAACCCCCTCCTGTGGCTGGTAGAAACACGCCCAGTCTCCTTGTGGCCCTGGGCCTACGGCTCACACTCCTGGCACCTGCAACTCCAGGCGTGGCTGGGGACCCCGTCTCCCCGTGCCTCTTGCAGACTCCCTGCCCGTCTTTGCTTCACTCCCACTTGTCCTTTGAGATCCAACTTGGTGCCATCACCTGCCAGGATCCTGGCTGTGCCTGATGATGGGGGTAGGGTCCCTGCCCTTGTCACTACAGGGGTGAAAATCACATCCAACCTGACAGCTACCTGAGTGCACCCCCTCCCTGCTCACTCCACAGGACGTGGGGCGGCAGAGTGTGGGAATGAAGCCTCGTGACACCCCAAAAGGGGCAGACCATGAGGAACTACAAGCCACTCGGATTTTCACCAGCGGATACTTTAAAACTGCTATTCAATTGCGTGTGTAAAGCATGGGCAATGTTTAGCTGCAGACTTGAAAACATCAGTAACAGACGGTGGACACCAAAGGCTTCCCTGACACCGGGCAAATAAAACAGTCCCTTGGTAAACTATGTCTAGATGCTTTAAAACTACACCTACGGCAGATGTGCAAACACAGTACTAGCACCCGTCAGCTCTTTTACACATCCTTCATATTTGTTAAGGTAGACAGAATCCAAGCAAAGAGGGCAGAGGACAAAAGCAAAAGTTGGGCCCAACACTGAGCCACCACAAGGCTCCTGCCACCTCCCGTGCTGGCCCTGAGGGCCCTGCCTGTTCCCCACAGCCAACCTGCTTCTCAACCACATGCAACGGGTAAGTCATTGTCAGAGATTGTAACGTAACTCTAAAAGTGTTAAATCCTTGCTTGTATCTAAACTCCTTCCTTCCAAACATCCGTTTCTTCTTGTTCTGTTTCTCTGTCTAACCAGAGAAAAGTAACTGGGCACTTTCTGTGTCAGGTCCCTCTGGCTGCTCAACAGGAGGAGAGAGCGCCACCTCCTTCCAGAGCCTTTTCCCGTGTGGGAAGTAGAAGTAGAGGAACGTGGGCCGGGCTGCCGCCTCCTTCCTGACAGATGGACAGGGTTGACCCGGCGTCCGGCACTGCTGAGGGGTTAGGGGAGCTCCAGGGCAGCCAGTCATCGGGGTCTCAGCTGGAGATTGAAGCTGAGGTCCCTAGCACGTTCTCCTTCATGGAAAGCCATGATGCCCCTAAGACAAGGCTCCAGAACCGAAGGGTGCGTAACCTGCTAATGACAACAAACATGCTCTCCACTATGAGCCACGTTTGGAGTCCATCACACACAGAGCTGGGGCTCCTGTGCTCAGACCCTCCGGTCCCCGCCACAGCAGCACAGCCCACCTTGGGGTGTGCTACCCGCCCCTGCCCAGGCCCTGCTGCCTTCACCCAGACCTCATCTCCTAGGTTTCTGCCCAAACGTCCCCACAACAGGACCATCCTTCCTGCCCCCTCGGCCCTGACCCACGCTCGTGACCTCTTCCTCATCATCTGCCTCCACAGCACGTTTTCCAGCACATTTCGGGACCCCCTCGTTCACTCTGCTCATTGTCTTTCTTGCCCACCAGGGAGGGAGAGATCTCAGGGTGTGGAGCCCCGGCCGCCAGGCACACAGTCGGTGCTGGGTAAATGTGTTTATCCTGTAACGCAGGCATGGACATGCTTTCTGGAATAATAAACTGCAGGTGTGTTGTGTGGTTATCTGCAAATCACAGTCTGGATTTTAATGTATTTTTTAATAATCAGAATAACGTAAGTAAACCTAGGAATCAAACTAAATAAATGCAATTCTTAATTTCATTCAGATCTCACTGGGATACCCCCAACATTCTATTAAACTCTTATCTTTCCTTTACAAAAGGGCTGTGGGATTTCTCTCCCCAGGTCAACATGAACCCTCACAGTAGGAGAATTTATTAAAAAGAAATGTAAAAATCTCAAGAAAAAAAACACAGGTGAACAGACAAGCAGGGCCAAGGCAGAGCACCTCATGACGAAAGCTTTCGTGAACACTTCTGCTGTGAAACAAACAAAGCAACGAAGAACTACCTAACAGTGGTGTTGATGGGAGTGCAGCCGTCTTAATTCCATCAGTGACATCACGTGAACTGACATGCACGCCCCAGCCATACTGGTCTGCCTGTGAGCTGGGAGCCCCTCGAGGGGCCTGGGCTGGAATGGCTTTAGTGTGGCGTCATGTGGACCATTAATTCCACACACCATCCTCCTTTCCCCCTTTAGACACTAGGGGAACACCAAGTACCTCGTTCAGACATTACAAACTTATAGCTCATAAGATTGGCAAAGGAACATAACTAAGAAGCTCTCACAAACTATCATTTCTTACTCACAGAACACTAATGATGGGGAAATACCGCATGATGAATCTGTTAATCCAATAGACTAGCTTGGGCTAAATATAAAATAATCACACTTTAAAGTGATTTTAAAAATATTATTTAAATGCACAACCCAAGAGTGAACCCTCAGGTAAGCCGTCGACTCGGTGGTGGTGGTGTGGGAACAGGCCCGTGATTGCACCGCACGTGCCTCCGGCCGGGATGTGGGACAGGGTGCTAGAAATCTCTGCCTTCCACTCAAATTTCTGTGAACCTAACACCGCTCTCAAAAACAATACTTTTTAATTTTTAACTGAACATATTATTTAAATTTACATATGGCCACATCTTAAAATGTAGCAGCCTCATGCAAAAATTAATGAAGAAAGACCGTAAGTGGCACCCGTGGCCGAAGCCCCCCCACAACCAGCAGCTGGTCCAGAGCTTCCCCACTTGCCTGTTGGGGGAGACCTGCTGTTTGGCGACAGGACCCAGATCGCTCTGGAGGAGGTCCCAGATGTAGATGTTGGATGTGTCGTCCTGCACCAGGAACACGGCAGGCCTGGTTGGGGACCACTGCAGGCCGGTGACCGCATGGCTGTCCGTGCTGCTGTCCCACTGCAGGAGCGGAAACGCGGAGCTCAGCTGGTGCAGCCTGATGCTTCCGTCCGAACAGCCGGCCTATGACCAGGAAGAAAGAACACTGCTGAGCATGGCCTTTTTCTTTTTGAGACAGGGTCTCACTCTGTCACCCAGCCTGGAGTGCAGTGGTGCAATCACAGCTCATGGCAGCTTGACCTCCCGGGCTCAATCAATCCTCCTGCCTCGGCCTCCTGAGTAGCTGAGACTACACGCAGGCACCACTACACCCACCTTTTATATCGTTCGTAGAGATGAGGTCTCACTATGTTGCCCAAGCTGGTCTCGAACTCCTGGCCTCAAGTGATCCTCCTACCTTGGCCTCCCAAAGTGCTGGGAGTACAGGTGTGAGCCATCATGCCCAGCCTCTTTTTTGTTTTTTTCGTAACTTGATCTCAGCAGCCAGAGAAATTTTTTGGAGGATGAGCTTGCTTTAGTTTGTACTGCAAAAACATTAATTTGTTGTTTTCCTAACATAAAATTGTAACATTGAATCTCTCCTCACAAATTACAAAGGTGAGCACTCACCTGACTCTGATACACTTTCTCTTCCAAAATGGCCAATAATCAACAGATTCAGCGTATATATAAACACAAATTTAACAAAGTTGAATATCAGTGATTCAAATATGGGCCATTAAGATTGGCTCCATGAAAATATGGCACCTTTTAAAAAACTACATACATTTGTGTCAATAATATGGTTATATACTTCTCTTGGATTGAAATTTTCATAAAATCAAATTTGTTTTCCAATTTGTTGGCTTATAGATGTTCATAATAGTCTCTAATGATTATTTGTATTTCTGAGGGCTCAGTTGTTGTATCTCCTCTTTGGTTTCTGATTTTATTTTATTTGGGTCTTCTTTTTTCTTAGTTATTCTAGCTAAAAGTTTGTCGATTTTGCTTATCTTTCAAAACCTAACCTTTCATTTCATTGATCTTCTGTAATTTCTTTGTCTCAATTTATTTATTTCTGCTCTGAACTTTACTATTTCTTTCCTTCCACTAATTTTGAGTTTGGTTTGTTCTTGCTTTTCTCCTTCCTTGAGGTGCATTGTTACATTGTTTATTTGAAGTCTTTCTACTTTTTTAGATGTAGGCATTTATTACTATCAACTTCTCTCTTAGTATTGCTTTTGCCATATCCCATAGATTTTGATATGCCACATTTCCATTTTCATTTGTTTCAATAAATTTTTAAATGTCCTTCTTAATTTCTTAATTGACCCACTGGACATTCAGGAAGATGTTTAATTTCCATGTGTTTGTGTATTTTCCAAGGTTCCTCCTGTTATTGATCTCTAGTTCTATTCCATGATAATCATAAGATACTCAATATGATTTCTATTCTTCTGAATTTGTACGACTTGTCTGGGGCCTAAGATATGGTGTATTCTGGATGATGTCTCATGTGCTAGTGTAAAGAATGGGTATTCTGCAGCAGTTGAGAGAAATATTCTGTAAATGTTAGGCCTATTTGGTCTAGTGCAGGGGTCCCCAGCCTCTGGGCCATGGACCAGTACCAGACCACGGCCTATTACGAACTGGGCCACACAGCAACAGGTGAGCAGCAGGCGAGTGAGCATTACCACCTGAACCCCACCTCCTGTCAGATCAGCGGCAGCACTAGATTCTCACAGAAGCATGAACCCTATTGTGAACTGTGTATGCGAGGGATCTAGGCTGCAGTCTCCTCATGAGAATCTAATGCCTGATGATCTGAGGTGGAACAATTTCATCCTGAAACTGTCCCCCAAATCCCCAGTTCTGGGAAAAAATGTCTTCCACAAAAACCAGTCTCTGGTGCCAAAAAGGTTGGGGACCACTGGTCTAGTGTGTAGTTTAACTCTGATGCTTCTTTGTTGACTTTCTGTCTGGGTAATCTGTCCATTACTGAGAGTGGGGTGCTGAAGTACCCTACTATTATTGCATTACAGTCTATTTCTGTTTTAGATCTATTAATCTTTGCTTTCTATACTTGGGAGCTCTGGTGTTGGGTACATAGATACTTGTAACTGTTATATCCTCTTGCTGAATTGACCCCTGTATCATTATATAGTAAATTCACCCATTATCATTATATATAGACCCCTTTTTGTCATTTTTTACAGTCTTTGATTTGTAGTCTAATTTATCTGCCATGAGTATAGCCACTCTTGCTCTTCTTTGGTTTCTAGTTGTATAGAATACCTTTTTCCACCCTTTTAGTATGAGTGTGTCTTTATAGGTGAAGTGAATTTCTTGAGAGCAGCCTACAGTTGGGTCTTGTTTCTTTAACCATTCAGCCATTCTATGCCTTTTAATTGGAGAATTGAGACCATTTACATTCAGTGATATTATGGCTAAGTGAGAACATTCTACTGCCATTTTGTTGCTTGATTTCTGCTTAAGACTCCTCTCTTCCTTTGTTCCTTTCTGCCTGTCTTCCTTCTCTCTGCTAGTATGTTCTAATTTGTTGCTTTTTGTTTTGAATGAAGCTATTATAGGTTTTTGTATTGTGATTATTTACTTATTTATTGAGACGGGATCTCATTCTGTGACCTAGACTGAAGTACAGTGGCAAGATCACAGCTCACTGCAGCTTCGACCTCCTAGGCTCAATCAACCTTCCCTCATCAGCCTCCCAAGTAGCTAGCTGGGACTACAGGTGGGCATGGGCACCACTGTACCCAGCTGATTGGTTTTGTTTGGGTTTTTTTTTGTAGAGATGAGGTCTATGTTGCTCAAACTGGTCTCAAACTCCCAGACTCAAGCAATCTTCCCACCTCAGCCTCCCAAAGTGCTGGGATTATAGGCATAAGCCCCAGCACCCAGCCCTAAAACAAGTTATTTTAAAGAGATAACAACTTACCTTAGAATACAAATAAGGAAATAAAAACAAAGGAAAGAAAACACCAAACAAAAAATTCTACACTTTAACCCTCTCACATTTTGACTTTTAGTTGTCTCAATTTATATATTTTTAAATTACTTATATCTTAAGAAGTTGCTATAGCTATTATTGTTTTTAATAGGTCTTTTTGGCTTCATAGTAGAGTTATGAGCATATTGTACAAATACAGTAACACAGTATTCTGGGTTTGTCCATGTATTTAATTACATGAATGGGTTTTATACCTTGATAAGTTTTTTGTTTTTGCGTGTATTTTTTTTTCTTTCAGGTTGAAGAACTCCCTTTAGCATTTCTTTTGTTGTTGTTGTTGTTGTTGAGATGGAGTTTCACTCTGTCACCCAGACTGGAGTGCGGTGGTGCAATCTCAGCTCACTGCAACCTTTGCCTCCCATGTTAAAGCGATTCTCCTGTCTTAGCTTCCTTAGTAGCTGGGATTACAGGTGCCCGCCACCACATCTGGCTAATTTTTATATTTTTAGTAGAGACATATTTCATCATGTTGGCCAGGCTGGTCTCGAACTCCTGACCTCAACTGATCCACCCGCTTCAACCTTCAAAGTGCTGCGATTACAGGCGTGAGCCACCATGCCCAGCCTCCCTTTAGCATTTCTTGCAAGATGGGTCTGAGGATGGTGAATTCTCTCAGCTTTTGTATATCTGGGAAAGACTTTAACCCTCCCTCATATTTGAATGACAGTTTTGCTGGATACGGTATTCTTGGATGGCAATGTTCTTCATTTAGCACTTTGAAAATGTCACTCTACTCCCTCCTGGCCTGTATGGTTTCCACTGAGATGTCTGTTGCCAGATGAACTGGAACTCCTTTATATGTTATTTGCTTCTTATCTCTCACTGCTTTTAGGATCTTCTCTTTCTCCTTCACCTTTGAGAGTCTGATTATTAAATGCCTTGGGGTAATCTTATTTGGGTTGAATCTGTTTGATGTTCTCTGACCTTCCTATACCTGGATATTGATCTCCTTATGAAGTTTTGGAAAGTTTTCTGTTATCATTTCTTTGAATACATTTTCTAACCCTTGTTAGCTCCCTCTTGAATACCAATAATTCTTAGATTTGGTCTTTTGTGGTTATTTTCTGTCTTGTAGGTAGTCTTTATTCCTTTTTGTTCTTTTTTCTCCTCTGATTATATATTTCCTTTCTTTTTTCTTTTTAGAAACAGTATTCACTCTGTCACCCAGGCTGGAGGACAATGGCACAATCAGGGCTCACTGCAGCCTTGGCCTTCCAGGCTCAAGTGATCCTACTGCCTCAGCCTCCATTTGCCTCCACATGCCACCATTCTTGGCAAATTTTTTAATTTTTTTTGTAGAGATAGGGTCTCCCTATGTTGCTCAAGCTGGCTCAAGAGATCCTCCTGCCTTGGCCTCCCAAATGCTGGGATTACAGGCATGGGCCACTGCACCCAGCCTTGTGTCTTTTTTTTTTTTTCTTGAGACAGTCTCACCCTGTCACCCAGGCTGGAGTGCCCACAATCTCAGCTCACTGCAAGCTCTGCCTCCCAGGTTCACACCATTCTCCTGCCTTAGCCTCCCAAGTAGCTGGGACTACAGGCGCCCGCCACCACGCCAGGCTAATTTTTTGTATTTTTAGTACAGATGGGGTTTCACCGTGTCAGCCAGGATGCTCTCGATCTCCTGACCTCGTGATCCACCCGCCTCGGCCTCCCAAAGTGCTGGGATTATAGGCGTGAGCCACCGCGCCCAGCATTGATTGTGTATTTTCTAATAGCCTGTTTTGATCTCACCTATTCATTCCTCTACTTGATCCACTCTGCTGCTGACAGCCTATAATGAATTTCTGCAGTCCAGCAAATATGTTTCTCAGTTCCAAGATTTGTTTGATTTTTTAAATTATTTCAATCTCTTTGTTAAATTTCTCTGATAAATTTCTGAATTGCTTTTCTGTGTTGTCTTGGAGATCACAGAGTTTCCTTAAAATTGCTCTTCTGAACTCTTGGTCAGAGAGCTCACAAATCACTGCCTCATTAGGTCAGTCACTGGATTTTTGCTTTGTCCTTCTGGGGAGGTCATGATTCCCTGTTTGCTGCTGTTTCTTGTGGGTGTATGTCTGTGTCTTTGCATTGCAGGATTAGTTATTTATTCCAGTTTTCTCTGTCCAGCTTGTTTTGGTTTTTATTGAATATATTTACTTAGCAAATCTTCTCTGCTAGGTTGCTGCCTCCTTTTCAGCTATAGGTGTCACCTTAAGACGAGGTTCACTTTGGCTGTATTTAGTGATTGAGGGAGGCCTGTCCCAAATGAGGGAAGTCTCAAAGGGAAGTCTCCCTGCCTGTGTCAGGGTTTGTGTTCAGAAGACCTGTGGAATAAACCTCCTGGAGCATGGTGCTATGAGCGGCCACTCTGATTGAGTGCCTCCTTTGGCTGAGGTGCAGAATTTTCAGGGCTGCAGACAGTAGTCCTGCCTCCCAGCTTTGTTTCTGGGTGTCCTCAGGGGTATTTCTTCCTTCAGGCACTCGGGATGCTCCCCATGGGCTGAGGCAGGGACAGGGCACCCAAGAAAGTAGAAAAACTGGTTGTCCACCTCAATTTTACTTTCACAAACCATGAGTTAAGGGGAGATTTTCCATGCACTTGGTGCCAGGCCAAATAAGGGGGAAGGGACATTGTGGATATGGAAGCCCAGTTCTCCTCCCATCTGCTTGGAGCTTTTCTACTCTCTGTGGCCCCAGGAACTGTCTTATCTTCACAATTGAGTTCTAAGTTCTTATTGGTGAAGATCTTGGTGCTATGTATTTGGTTTTGGTTTTTTGTGGGGAGAGAAGCCAAAAAAAGCTCAAGAGCTCCACACTGGAAATCACCAACAACAAAATTATTAATGAGACTTTTTTTGTTTTTGTTTTGAGACGGAGTTTTGCTTTTGTTGCCCAGGCTGAGTGCAATGGCACTATCTCGGCTCATCACAACCTCTGACTCCTGGGTTAAAGCGATTCTCTTGCCTCAGCCTCCCAAGTAGCTGGGATTACAGGCATGTGTCACCACGCCAGGCTAATTTTATGTTTTTAGTAGAGACGGAGTTTTGCCATGTTGGCCAGCATGGTTTTGAACCCCTACCTCAGGTGACCCACCTGCCTGGGATGCCCGAAGTGCTGGGATTTGGGCCACCGTGCCCAGATAACTTTGTATTTTTAGTAGAGATGGGGCTTCTCCATGTTGGTCAGGCTGGTCTTGAACTCCCGACCTCAGGTGATCTGCCCACCTCAGCCTCCCAAAGTGCTGGGATTACAGGCGTGAGCCACAGCACCCAGCCTAAAGAGACATTTTACATTCTTTTATTCACACTAATTCTTCAAAATTTGGTGTGTATTTCACACCTCCAGCACATCCCAGCCTTGCCTGACCACATTCCAGGCTCCCAACAGCCACAGGGGGACATTACTCAGCAGCTCAAATGCAGTCTTTGGAAATACAAAGATACATGAAATACCATCTCTGCCCTCAGCAACCTTAGTTTATGTGACTGACATATAAACATAATTTATAATGTTTTAAGTACTATAAGAGTAGTGTGAATAAATAACAATCTTTCCCCTCAATCTCAAGTACACGGAAATTTGTAAACACTAGTGAGAGAAGGGGATATCTGAGTTATAACTTAATGCCTTGACTGTCATATAATTCTTGTTAACTATCACATTTAATCACGTATAAAGTTGTTTAATATTTTGCCTTCTGTCCTATCTTACCCAAACCAACCCATAAACTGACCTTGGAGTCTACAGGACAACTGTGACTAGGGTGAGCTGGGCTGACACCAGGCCCTGGAGGGGAAGACAGCAAGCAGCTCGCACCCACACACACATTTCCTGCAGCATGAGTGCAGCGCAGGGACTGCTGCCTGCCCGACGGCCATCCCTGGACTTTCAGGTTCAAGACTCTGAACATTAATTTCTATTGTGTTAAACAGTAAAAGAACACAGGCAAAAATCCTCACACTAAGAATTTCTTCACATTTTTGGCTGTATCATAGGTTTTGGTATTTCATATTCTTCTGTTAAATTCTAACTAGTTTGTAATTGAACCAAGTATTACTCGAGAGTTTAATTTCTACATAGGTTTTGTTTTTAAAATTTGTTATTAATTTCATGTTTCTCCTTTTTAAACCACTGACGCCCCATAAATGACCAATTTGTGCTCTAGTAAATGATTAACTTTTAAAATTTTCCAATGGATCACTGCAAGTGTTATGCTGCCCAAACAGGCAAAGAGTATCACTAAAAAGAACTGGCAAGCCTAGGCAACACAGGGAGACCTCGTCTCTACAAAAAAATACATTTTTTAAATTAGCCAGGCATAGTGGCATGCACCTGTACAGGTCCCAGCTACTCGGGAGGCTGAGGTGGGAGGGTCATTTGAGCCCAGGAGTTCAAGGCTGCAGTGAGCTATGACCACATCACTGCACTCCAGCTTGGGTGACAGAGCAAGACCCTGTCTCAAAAAACAAAAAAAGAAGAATTGGAGCTCTGAAAAACAAACTTTCTTACCAAAAATATTGGTTCTCCAAATGGTGAAAAATCAATGACATTAACTTTCACTGGTCTTATACCATGTTGCTGAGGTTTGAATAGTTTGGGAGCCACTCTCAAATCTTGTCTTGTGCCATGGCTTATGAGACCCTGTGAAGAAGAAGCCCAAGAGTGACTGAACGAGTGCATTACACACGAGATTGGATACAGCTACTGTTCCTCAAACAATTTAAACTTTATAAAGAAAAGAGTAAGTTAATCCTAAATCAAGATATTTATCAGGTAAGTCAGGAAAACAAGGAGAATGAGTAATAGGATTAAATTTAAAATACTACTCACCATGTCTGTGCCAATAATAAAGTGATTAGGATCTGAAGGCAGAAATTTAACATTCAGTGTTTGTGTAGTGCCCCAAAATTCATTACCTTTATGGGAAAGACTGAAAAAATAAAGTAACAAAATGAACAGATGGACTGTTTCCAACCTTAAGAATAATGATGGTATTAACACTGATTTGCACTACAATACATCGATGTATAACAGGCCATGTCACATTCCTCTGTGGGTTTAGCCACTCTGTTTCTATTTTCTTCTGCTACTACACTCTTGATAATTTTTTCAGAGTTATCCTTCTGTTCCCTAATTCTTTCTTCAGCTATATCTAATCTGCTATGTAACCATTCACTTGGTTGTAAATTTCAGAGATAACAGTTTCATTTCTAGAAATTTCTTTTAGATTGTACAACTGTCTCAAGTTCTTAGTGTGTGACTCCTACTTTTTGCACCAAGGTAGACTATTTCTTCATGCTTGTAGTTGTGAGCTCATCTGCAGCAGACTGCTTCTCATAAGAAACCTGTGAGCCCCAATTTGCAAACATATCTTTACCCACCAGGGGGTTTTGCGTCTACTTTAACTATGAACCCACTGAGGCCACTGGTCTAGAACTGTGATGCTAACATCTCAGCTTGTGGGTTCCCACACACCCACTCAGCTTAGGATTTCAAGCTCTTCCAAGCTCCTCTGTCTTCCCTTGGCTGTGGTGCGGCTTTCTGAATTTCCCTATCACTGCAGGAGCAGTGAGTTCCAGAGTCCTGTGCAGGGGTCTCAGTTCTACCTCCTTGCCTCAGGCAAACCCAATGCGTCGCCTGGTTCTGCATGGGGCTCAAGCCCCAGAGACAGCTCAGAAGGTCTGAGACAGCCTGGGCTTCACACCCAGCCTCCAAGCCATCACATAGCAGCTCAAAAGCTTATGACACTAACTTTAAGCTCTCTCCTGTTTATGGCATTTAGAGATTTTCCTTTCCTTTTAAAAACTATACTTAGTTTTATTTTTTCCTTTATATGGCCTATGTATTTGTAACAGAGAGATGCCCACAGTTGCTCCATCTGCCACACCCACATCATCAAAGTCAGCATGTGGCCATGCTATCAGCCTCCTTTCCAATTTTCTCTTTCTGTCCACATTCAGGACTGCAAATGCCACCTCTTGGTTGACGACTCCCAAATCCTTACCTCCATCTGGGGTTTCTGCTATGGAGGCCCCTAGCTCCTGGGCATCTCCACAGGCACCACAAGCTCAGCCTGTCCTCACTGGAACACACTGGGCTGCTCCCAACCCTCCCTGCTCCTATCCTCGCCTGGCAAGTGGTGCCCAGTCACCAACCAGACATGCTGGTGGAGGCAGAGGCCAACCTAGGCTCCTCCCTCCCACTGCTCCTATAATTGATGAGCTCCTGGGTTTTTTAAGTTCTACCCCTTTAGCCTGTGTCCAGCCCTCTGTACCTGTAATTGCTGCCTTTGTTCAGATCCTGGTTGTTCATGTCAGTCACTCCAGAAGCCTCCTAACTGCTCTCCCTGACTCCAGCCTCCCTTCCTCTGTTCCCAACTTACGCCACTGCCACACTGACCCATCTACATCACAGACAAGATGTGCTGCTCCTCGGCTCAACGTGCTGCAATGGCTCCTGACCACCTTTATGCTAATGTCCACACCCTTTAGCACGGCAGACAGACTCGTTAGGGCCTGACTCACCTGCCTCCCTCACCATCAGACCCACTGACAGCTCGTGACCACCTTTATGCTAATGTCCACACCCTTTAGCACGGCAGACAGACTCGTTAGGGCCTGGCTCACCTGCCTCCCTCAACATCGGACCCACTGACAGCTCCAAATGTGCCTCTGGGCACCCCCAGGTTCTGCTCCCTCTGACCATCTAACTCCACCTCAAAGGCCTGGCTCAGTCTTTGCCTCCTCAAGATGTCCCCACTGCACTCCATCCCCCAAGCTGCCCCCATCCTTTGAGCTCCCACAAGCCTTGTGCACATCCTGACAGCACACTTCGTCCTCTGCACGACAACCCTGAGGGACGGGGCCTCGCTGCAGGGGCGGTGCAGACAGAGCTGCAGGACCTGCTTCCCTGCAGGCAATGTCCTCCTGGGGACACTCATGCTCAGTGACTGATGGGATGCGGGGTACAAAGTCCCAGCCACGTGATTCTGGGAGGCCATTCCAGCTCACAACTCCTGGGCCCTGGGGAGTTGGCCGTGGGACCTGCCTCACAGCTCAGCTCCTCCTCTCGGCCCCATTCTGCCTCCTCCCGGCCCTTTCCCAGGCAGTAAGCCCAAGGAACTCCTTAAGAAACATCCTCACTCTGAACTCCACTGCAGAGCCTTCTTCCTGGGAAAGCAGGGAGCGCCCCCTGCAATCACGTAATGTTTACTCATCCGCCTCCTTCTCGGAGCACCTTGACGGAGGATGCTCCCCACTAGTGCTACAAAGCCTAGCACGTAGAATAAGCTCAACATGGTTGGTTGAGCAGAGTCTGAGGGAACATTTATTATGCATGGATCTCAGGAAGACACTGCTAGGAGTTTTTGGGTAAGAAAAAACCCAAACAGCGGACAGATTAGACACTTTCCTTCAAAGAGTGTGTGTGTAGTTAAGTACAGGAGAAGCTGATAGTTAAAGATAAATACAATGCACCATATAAAGCAATAAGGGCCCTAGCAGAGATAAAAAGTCGTAAAGAAACTCAGTGGGGGAACTGTAGAGGCTGGAGGGGTCAGGGGCTTGCCCAGGAACCATGTATGTTTGGCTCTGCAATACAGTAAATGACTTTTTAAAATATAATTGATTCTCTTTCATAATTAGTTGTAATTACTAATTACAACTGTAGTTGATTTAAAGTCTCCAAGCATGCATGAATTCATTAACACAACCCACAGGTTTTCTGATTAGGAAGAACCAGACCCCAAAATTTTGACCCCTGAGTGCAGTAAATGACAAGAAAAGATACTTTAGGAAATAAATTAACATAAAACATATAAATACCACAAATAATATTTGTACATTTGTGAAGACTTTTTATGTCATATTAAGTTATATGAGTAAAAGCATAAATCTAAATCTCTGAATAAAACTTTTTATCAATGTTTCTGGTTCCTGAAACTTTAAGTTTAACCTCAGGGTTGCATGAGAACTGAAGAATAGTTAAGTAAGACCAATTTAAAAGAAAATAACCTCTACTTAATGACAAAATGTTAGCTCTACACCTGGAAGCTGCATTTATTACATTCACTCATTAATAACAGACTAACAAGGCCGGGCGTGGGGGCTCACACCTGTAATCCCAGCACTTTGGGAGGCTGAGGTGGGTGGATCACCTGAGATCAGGTGTTCGAGACCAGCCTGATCAATATGATGAAACCCCATCTCTACTAAAAATACAAAAATTAGCCGGGCACGGTGGCAGGCGCCTGTAATCCCAGCTACTCAGAAGGCTGAACAGGAGAATCGCTTGAACCAGGGAGGCAGAGTTTGCAGCAAGCCAAGATTGCACCACTGCACTCCAGCCGGGGCAACAAGAGTGAAACTCCGTCTCAAAAAAATAAAAAAATAAAAATAATAGACTAACAAAACAGTAAAAAAACAATGTGAGAAAATGGACTTCTTCATCGCAAAAGCTCACCATTTACCGTATATGCAATTCCCCAATGTTATTTTCCTTCTAGGTCTTTGTGAGATAGTGAAGCATTTTCCCTCACATCTTACCTGTCACCCAACTGGATCAGAGCACTATGTACCAGCTTGACCCTCCCTCCAGGCATCAGACCTAAAAAGAGATGAACCAAAATCAATGCACCTTTCAATAGAAGCTAAATCAAAATCTAGTTATAGTTGCCTGGAATCATTTTTCATTGCTTAAATATCTGTGTTAGGAAATAACATCAAATGCAAATCAATACACAGCATCCCTCCCTTCCTCTGGGTGAGGTTCACGTATCCTGCCTTAGGAGAAGAATCGAGAATTCACAGTTCAAAGTCTTATGGGAAGAAAGATTGTAGAACCATGATCTGGGAGCCTTTATATCATTAGATCTGATAAAATAAGGGGGGTAAGCAAACCATACATGTGTACGAGTGTACATACACTAAATAAGCCTTAGATCACAGCAGCAAACGCTGTCCTGTGAATGTCCACCGAGGCTCCAACGCCTACAGGAAACTTGCAGGACCTCTCTCTCCACCATCCCAGAGACTCAGAAATCTGCTGGTCTCCGGGCAGAATGCACAGGAGGCAGAGTGGCTCCTCAGCCGAGTGCGTCTGGCCTCACTCTCTGTTCCAGCAGCTTCTCCAGCTTCCTTCTCAAACAACACAGAGCCACGGCTCTGAGGCCTGACTGCTCTTCCTTTCCTTCCTGAAAGCGTTCATGGCTACAGCGCTGGCTCCTCGGCCACCCACTGGTTTTGCCTCCTGTGTCTGCTCCCAATATCACTTTCCCTCTAAAACTACTACAAGGGGAAAAACTAGAAATCTATGGATATTAAAACCCAAATTCTGGGCAAGGCATTGCCTAAAACTCTGGGGGCAGGTGAATTAAAAGGAGATAGAAATAAGCCCAACCTGCAGCTGGGCAGGGTCCCTGTAGCTGCTGCGTATCTCCTGCCAGTCACAACCACAGTGAAGAAGGGTCAACGCCACTATTCACAAATGTGAAGCTTCCCGGCATGCCCCCCACCTGGCGTCTCGGCTCCCACGCCACCGCCTGTGGGCAGCTTTTCTGGCCGGGTCCTCCCACTGGCCCCTACACGCCATAGCCCACAGGCAGCCTTTCTGGCCAGGCCCTTTCCGACTGGGCCCCTACACGCCACCGCCCACGGGCAGCCTTTCTGGCCAGGCCTTCCCACTGCGCCTCCGCTCCAGTAAGTCCACCACCACTCGCCCTCTCCCGGGCTGGGGTCTTCGCCCAGGTCTCCTGGCACCTAGGACTGGACCTCGCTTATGCAGAGAACATTTCATAAAAAGATGGTGGCTGACTCCTTCTGAGACTTCAGCTCTCCAACAGCAACTCATCCAATGCCTACACAAAGAGCTGGCAGCCACCCTGAACAACGGGCTGGTCGGAACGTCCTCCCTTCCTAAAGGCAAGGCTGGAACATGGTTGCAATTTGGGTAAGTGGTTCAGTGAAGAAAGGGTGTTTTTATACATCAATATTTTAAAATGAAATACTCACCACCCCAGGATATCCTTTATATGACCATCATGTACTACAAAACATTTGTATGCAAATACTTTTTATGCAAAATGATTTTGTCTCCATAGCCGGATTATCACCTGACTATGGACAGAAATGATCTCAGTACCATCCGTAATTGCTTGACAAATACCTTGATCATGTAACAAGTTAACGGCACAACCAGCCTCAAGGCGCACTCTTAAGGTCACAAGAGTTCTGGGCATTTGGGGCGGAATCCTGGGTGTGAAGGGGGGTTGGTGCTGAGACTGACTATGTGGGTCTCGCCCCATCACTAACCCATCCCGTGACCTGTGTACGTTGAGAAGGAGGCACCAGGACCCCTGCCCAGGCTCCCTAGCTCTGACACTCCAGGATTCTAGGGGCAGCCTGGAGTGGACAACACAGAGCAGAACGGCTCCATGAGCAGAGAGGGTGCCGCATAAAGAATACATTGAGAAACATGGTGACTCCACCTCAAAAGCATTTAGCAGTGAAATGAGCACCACGACTGTCTTATTTTTACTGAAGTCAGAATCAACAGTAAACTTGTAAGGGCCACCACAGACGTGTGACTACGGGGCACAGAGCATTTGCTCCAAGGGCCAAAGTGGCCTCTTCCCTCATCTCAAGAGGTTAGGAACAAAGCCGGTCTCACTCATATTATTTTTTGCCAGATCTACATGGGAAAACACCCCTGATTCAAGCAAGGTGAAAGGGGGGTTTGTCATTACAAACTGGGTTGTGGGAGGCCAATGAGGTGAGAAAGAAGTTGAGATCAAAACATGGGCTAATCTCAACCACAGAACACAACAGGACTGAATTACTCCGTCACTTCTGAGCCCTTTCTGGAACTGAAAATCGTACTCCATAGCATCAAGAGCAGCCACCTGTGAGAGGTGCTATTAGCTTTGCTTCAAGTCACTTCTGCTCTGCCCAAACCCGGGGACCTTTGCCACCCTGGGATCCAGTCTAAGGGCCCTCGGGGCAGCATCCAGTGTTCCTGATACACCCTGGGGTTGTAAATCCAAAACTGAGAGGAAGAAGCCCCAAAATGAATGCGCACTGAAAGACTCGGACACCTGAAATACATAGGGAACAGCTACAGAACACAGCTGTCCTTGACTTGTCTGACAGAACTGAATGGTACTCAGCTGTAAACAGAACTCATTAAACCCTACTAAGATCAAAACATTCACTCAGGCTGGACGGTGGCTCATGCCTGTAATCCCAGCACTATGGGAGGCTGAGGTGGGTGGATGACCTCAAGTCAGGAGTTCAAGACCAGCCTGACCAACATGGTGAAACCCTGTCTCTACTAAAAATACAAAAATTAGCCGGGCGTGTTGGCAAGCACCTGTAATCCCAGCTACTTGGGAGGTTGAGGCAAGAGAATTGCTTGAACCCAGGAGGCAGAGGTTGCAGTGAGCCAAGATCACACCACTGCAGCAGCCTGGGCAACAGAGCGGGACTCTGTCTCAAAAAAAAAAAAAATTCATTCAGAATATCATTTGATTATTCTAGTTAATTGAGATGCCCGTTCAACAGTTTATAAGGTTATATGACATACACCTTTAATTTTCATTTTTCAGGTAGTAATTTATATTTTTCAAAGCAGTTATTGGTATCTTTTTTTTTTTTTTAACAGAGAGACAAGGTCTCATTCCATCACCCAGGCTGGAGTGTAGTGGCATGATCACGGCTCACTGCAGCCTCAAACTCCTAGGCTCAAGCAATCCTCCCACCTTAGCCTCCCAAGCAGTTGGGACTACAGGTGTGTGCCACCACGCCCAGCCAATTTTTGAATTTTTTTGTAGAGACGGGGTCTTGCTATGTTGTCCAGGCTGGTCTGGAACTCCTGGGCTCAAGCAATCCTCCTTCCTCAGCCTCCCAACGTGCTGAGGCTCCCAGCAGGTGTGAGCCACTGCACCTGACCGCAGTTATCAGTACTTTTAATCTCGATTCATTTTAGAAAACACTAAAATTAATTTTTTTACTTAATAGTTACCTAAATCACTTATTGAACCTGCGATGTCTGCCTTTGGTAATTCAACAACCACCTAAAAACAGAATATTGAAAATGAATATTGATACATTTTATAATTATGAAACAACCTAAGCAAAGCATAGCTCTAATTAAGATGGAGTGCTATTTAGGTACTAAAACATAACTGCTCCAGAAAAAGAGACTGATCTTTAGCCTCAGAACTAACACTCTACAAGTTGACTCCTTTGCTTTGATCTCCTCGTGTTCTCTTCACTTGGTGACTTAATCAACAGTCTTGGCGCATCCTCCAGGACAAGCCAATCCAGCATCACCTCAGCCCTAACATTTTGTTCCCTTCTCACTTTCATTCCGCGTTCCCAAAGCCCTGTGTGAGAGTCCCTATTTCACTGTCACGAAAGGGCCCCAAACCTGCCATGTGTGGCCTTCTGCATCCCTTCTGCTCAGGACCAAGAAGCCCAGTCTTGCTCTCCGTTTCCCACCACAGCTAACTGGGTCCCGCCCCCTGCGCCATTCAGGCGCCACCTCCACCCAGACCACCTCACTCAGGCCCCGCATGTGCCCGGCCTGGGCCACTACTCACCCATACATTGAGAACCCCACTCTCATCCAAGGAAGCGATGTGGAAGGACAAACCTGACATTTCTGATGAAGACAGAAACAAAAAGAAAGAAATGGCTTTAAATAAGGAAACCATATTTCACAACCATTGATGAAGGATTTTAAGAAAGTGAAGAATCACGTACCTTCTTGAGTAGAAAAGGGTGAAAGCACAAAGCTCTGCTTTTTGTGGACGGACGTTGAGATAGGTTCTACTGCTTGAAGAGGGCTTCGGTGGTTTACTGAGGTAAGGATTCCATCTGGAGTTCAAAAGCCCACAGCATCCACGTGTAAGTAGTAAGTTGAAGAAATGCAGTTCGCATCACACAGGGACAAACACGAGGTGCTTCTGGGTCTCACAGATCCAACTCTCTCCACACATCTTCCCAAAACACCCCAAAACCAACATGGACCACACACGACTGACACACACAACTGACACAGGACCACGACTTTCAGATTCCTAGGACACACGGGCCCCAGCCCCTGCTCTCCAGTCTGGAAGGCAGGAAGAAAGCTAAAGCCCACCATCCAAACAGAGCATGCCACACAGCCCGAAAGAAAACTCAGACAGAGAAAGTCTCTGCGAGGCCAAATCCTGGGGGCCACTCAAACAACTGAGGGGAAGGAGCTGGGAGGCAGAGGAGGTCGGAGCAGCACGGCCGATGGGAAGGGGGACGTGAACAGGAAATGGGGGAGACCTCCGCACACACCTCACAACTGCCAGCAAGAGCAAAATCCAGGCATTTGCAAAACCAAAGGAAAGGCAAACCCACCCCACCTACCACCTCGAGGCACAATGCCCACTGAAAAGATACCTGTCGCCAATCAATAAAGCAAAGCTCACTGACCTAAAATATACACCTACAGAATGTCTACAAGTAGAAAAACGCCAAACTCCATAGAAAGCTACTATAAGAAGAAAACAGAAAAAATGTAAATGAAAGCATTTCAGCTGATGAAAATTATCCCTCCTAAAAACAAGCAAAAGGCAGAAGACACAAAACTCAACGTTCCAAATGGAATCACATCTCCTCAAAGGGCATCTGGAAACATATCAAAACAACAAGCAAGAAAAAACACCGGGAATCAGAAATCAAGAACAGAATTAGACCCAAAAAAGCAAGAAATGAAATGAGAACTGGGATTGAACTCAGGAAAGAAACTGAAGAAAAAGACAAAACCATCTCAGAAATTAAGAATAAATTACAGGGTGTCTAAGTGAGAGGACCCAGATGAAGCACTGATGGCTCGACTGAGGAAAGGGCTGGTCTCCCGGGTGAGAATTTGGTTCCTCTGACTCATGGTCTGAATCAGAAGTTCCACAGCTCCTCACTACTGGGAGTTTATTTAAAACTTTGTAGGTTTTATTGATAATATTTCAAAGACAAGGCCGGGTGCGGTGGCTTATGCCTGTAATCCCAGCGCTTTGGGAGGCCAAGGAGGGCAGATCACCTGAAGTCAGGAGTTCAAGACCAGCCTGACCAACATGGAGAAACCCCGTCTCTACTAAAAATACAGAAATTAGCCGAGCACTGGTGGTGGGCACCTGTAATCCCAGATACTCAGGAGTCTGAAGCAGGAGAATCACTTGAATCCAGGAGGCAGAAATTCCAGTGAGCTAAGATCGTGCCACTGTACTCCAGCCTGGGCTACAGAGCCAGACCACATCTCAAAAAAAAAAAGAAGGATGTATTTTAATGGAATAATTTATTTGTATGTACAGTCTAGAGATTTACTGTTTTTGAAAACGGTGCTGAATTCAAAAATTTTTTAGTAATAGCAGCAGCAGTTAGAAAAGGCAAAGATTATTTATTTAAAAGATATCTTTTAAAATAGCATCGCAACCCATAAGTTGCGATAAATTCAAACAGCCTTAACAGTAAGTAGTAGTATTGCCCCACACAGAGGGGCACAATTCATGGTTGGGGAATTTAAAAAGTGGCCCTCTTATGTACAATGTACAGATACACATGTCAAACACAGACAGACACGCAACATATCTATGATAATAAAGCCACACAGAGGGGTGAGTGATGACCTCGGCCTGCACCTTCAGTCCACAGCGCCCCAACCCCTACGGGAAGGGGCGGTGCAGGGCGTGGCATGGGGTCCCAGTGCAGGCCCGACCATGTCGTCAGCGTGACCTTGGATAAACGCGGCATCTTCCTGTGGAGCTAGGATACAGGGCTATCAGGGGAATTAAATGAGACAATGTACACTACACACTAGGGCGAGTCCCAGAACACAGGGAACACTTATGCCAGGTGCCTACTGTGGTGGCTGGGCACGGCATAGTATGAATGTCCACCCGAGTCAAGCCAAGGCTCAGGGAGGCCCAATTGTGCTGGTTCCTGGCAGCCCTCAGGGTGACTGGCTTTGCTCACGTGAGTGTGAGCTATCTTTGCCCTGAAGAACACCCATGCCAAGATGCCTCAAGCTACTTTAAAACTAAAGGTAATTTCATTGAGGATTTTTTAGAATCCACAAATTTATTAAGAAAGGAAATTCAAGTCATTCTTGGTCACTGGATAATCATGATTGGAATTGATTTCTGTTTTTTGTATTTATCAAATGCCTCTTTTGCCCATGGGTCAGACCCCGTCCTCTGGGATAATGTGAATAAATAAATGCAAATCCATGTAAAGCTTTGTTCCTCAAATCCGTGTGGCTTTTCTAGCAGACACACAATTGGCAGGCAGATGACACTGACCGGTGGAAAACGTGGCGGTCCGGAACGTCCAGAAGCCATCGCTCAGCGTCACAGAGTAATGCAGCCTTGAGTCTTCTCTCAAATCCCAGACGACAACTGAGCCGTGCGCTGTTCCGGCAAACAGTAAAAATGCTTTCAAAGGGCTCAAGCAGCAACACGTGACCTAAAAGACAAAGGCACAGAAAGCCAATGACAGAAGAATATGAGAAGCATGCTAACACAAGCTGCATTTACTGAGTGGGGTGTCTGACCATGTTTCACTTTGCACGGGAGTCACCTGCAGGGCCCAGTAAGCAGAACGTAGACTCCTGCACAGAAATAAAAGGTGGCTTGTCAGGTTCCTGAAATGGAGAATAGGGATGAGAAACCCACCCCGTAGGCTTGTTATGATCACAAACGCAAGGTGCTGACACTCATCTGGTCACACAAAGCCTGCCGGGAGCCTGTCCACTCAGCTCAATCGGCTGAACCTCAGAAGTAGCAGTTCCATCCTGCGCCATTTTATTTACATCTTGTATTACAAAAGTTACAATTTCAAGTTATTCTTCTCTACAGCTTTTGTGGAAATCAATGGGTTTGAGGCCAGGGAATACATAACTAGGAAAATACAAATGCACATTTTCCCAAACATAAGAGAGGCAGCCCTGACCCCTCACCGCACAGTCCTCAAGCCTCGGTGCCAGCCTCCTGGGCGGTGAATGGGAGGCCTCCAGAAGGGCTGTGAGCGACAGCACACTTCAACACAGTCTAAGAAACCTCAGTGCAGTTGAAGAAACCTCCATGCAGTCTAAGAAACCTCCACGCAGTCTAAGAAACCTCTAAAACACTCAGGACCAAAACAGTGCAAGGCAAAAACACAGGCATCTAGGGCCCCAGAGCTACACCCAGCATGGTGAGTATTTTCATTCAGCCTACAACCACCTCCATTTCCTAATTCTCAGCTGACCCAAAGGGCTGCTCTGTGAAAATTCTCGTTTGCTCATTCTGAACTACAAGCACACCCATGTGTCTCGCTGCACCCACAGCACAGCTGAGGCCAGCTGTGAGAGACAGAGAATGGCCCATAAGTCCCTACCCACCTCCTGTCCCTGCACCTCTCTCCGTGACTCTCCCCACCTGCACCTTCACGCTCTGTCCACTGCCCATCCTCCCATCAAACGTGCGACTCTCATCCTGAGCTGTACCTGGGACTCACATATCAGAACTTTCTGTGGCCCTGAAGGCTGCCAAATATCCCACACACAGAGGACGTATTTGCTGTCCAGCAGGGGCACAAAGCTCTTCTCGGGTAAGTCGTGAACGGAGACCACCATCTGCCTCTGAACTCGGGAGGTGTGCAAGGAGGATACTTTTCGATCTAGGGAGAAGAAAAATATGTTCACATTTCAACGACCTGCCAGAATCCAAGTTAAATTTAACACACTTCCGAATACTCAAAAAAAAATTCAGCTTCATGAAGAAACAAACGTGGTCCTTTCGAAACCAACATACATGAAACGTAGGTTTTGATGAACGGCCACAGCCTATGCCCCAACACTCTGTCCAAGCTGACCTCAGAGTCTGGCTAAAATGTGGTCACATGCAGCCCAAGACACCTGTGGCTCCACGAGCGACTCCCACAGAAACCAGCTGCCCACCAGAAGCCGGGAGTCGGGATCTCAGAGCTGGGAGGTAATGCAGTGCGCCTGGCTGCCCCTCTGCTTTAGAACATTGCTAATACACCAGCTGCAGGGGCTTCAGCACTGGAACACCACGTGGCACACTGCTCTCCTCAAAGGCTGCGAGCGGCTGAGCGCCGTTCCAGACACTGCTCCACCCGGCGAGGGACTGCACTCCAAGGCGTTACTGTTGCCACTGCTGGCCGTGCCGGCAGCTCTCACACATCAGCAGAAGATGGAGATGGAGCTCGTGAAACAGGAGGATAGGAAGTCCATGACTGGCGAGAACTTCAGTCAAAGAACTGGACCGCACCGCTGGCAGGCGCCAAGTCAATGTGGAAAGCAGCACCCGGCCAACCCCAGCCACACACACACCACAAACACCTATCAGCCCCTCAGTTCACATCCTGCTACCCACACCATCCATGCTTGGGTCACAACGTCCCCTCCAATTCCAGGGAACCCTCCTTCCACCTCGTCACAATCGCTCATAGCTGCAGCCTTCTGGGGCCACTTCCACCAGCAAGCGTCAGGTCTTCTTCCAGCTGCCGTATTTAATAGTTGTTTTTAGTGGGATGAGGTTCTCGAGTGCTGTGACCTGACCCCGTTTTCTCCTAAGCCCTGTGGTTTTTATTGGCAGTCTTCCACGGTGTAGCGATTTTTAGGAACGTGTACCTCCTGTTACAGCGGAACTATGATATGGCAACCAACGCCTGACCCATCGCTGCCCCGACCTCACCTCCCACTGTCCACCGTGGTCTCCTCGCTTCTACCCAAGACACAGGTGTGCCCACCGCTCAGACCTGTGTGCGTGCAGCGCCTCCTCCAGAAGCTCCCATCTCCCTGTGGCCCGTCTCTCATCTCCGTCCGGTTTTCACTCACAGTGAGGCCTCCTCTATCAGAACTGTCTTTATTTTTCTCCTTAGAACTTACCCCTCTCTGATAGACTGTGTGTTGACCTGTTTAGCCAGTGCAGAGCCTACTTGACCCAGCGAAACACAAGTTCAGGAGGGCAGAGTTGCTGTCGTCCTACTCACTGCTGAACTGCAGCTCCCCGACAGTGCCCAGGGCATAGCACCCGCTACAGAACATTTGTCAAGATGAACGACCTGCTGGCTGCGTCATTCTGCCGCGTGTTTTAATAGAGATGAGGACGACCCGCTGGCTGTGTCATTCTGCCGCGTGTTTTAATAGTGATGAGGGTACTGGGTGGACCCTAGGAAGGCTGAAGTATCTCTACATCTGATCACAGATCAGAATCTAATGTGAGTCAAATTCTGGATTCGCAGGGTGAGACAACCCACACACTCCGTCTCATGCCTCTCTTGCAGTCTCATATTCCTTCTGCTATCTCAATATTCATTTTACCAGAACACAAAACTAAGCAAACAAGACCCTCCACTCCTTGAACATGTGGGAAGTGCAACACACACACACTTCACGAGTTCCCCAACGGAGGCCACACACTGCAGTACACACATGCACTTCACGTGTTCCCCGACAGAGGCCACGCACTGAAGTACACACATACACTTCACGAGTTCCCCAACAGAGGCCACACACTTCAGTACACACACACACTTCATGTGTTCCCTGATGGAGGCCTGGCGCTGCAGTATGCACACATACTTCACGTGTTCCCAGATGGAGGCCACACACTGTGGTACACACACGCACTTCACGTGTTCCCCGACGGAGGCCACACGCTGTGGTACACACACACACTTCATGTGTTCCCTGATGGAGGCCCGGCGCTGCAGTATGCACACACACTTCACGTGTTCCCCGATGGAGGCCACACGCTGTGGTACACACACACACTTCATGTGTTCCCTGATGGAGGCCCGGCGCTGCAGTATGCGCACACACTTCACGTGTTCCCCGACGGAGGCCACATGCTGTGGTACACACACACACTTCACATGTTCTCTGACGGAGGCCACACGCTGTGGTACACACACACACTTCACGTGTTCCCCGACGGAGGCCCGGCGCTGCCATACACACACACACTTCACGTGTTCCCCGTTGGAGGCCACACGCTGTGGTACACACACACACTTCACGTGTTCTCCGACGGAGGCCACAGCGCTGCAGTACACACACACACTTCACGTGTTCTCCGACGGAGGCCATGGCACCACTGCCGCTCTCATGCATCTGCTGTCACTGCTCAGTGTCGGCTCCCTGGGGGCGGCGCACACTCGGTTCCCTTCTTGGTGTCTGCTGGGTGTGGGAGTGTGGATGCCAATGTGTTGAATGATACAGGTACAGAGATTTATTATTTTTCTAACAGGAAAAGACAAAACCCTCTCAAAGAATGTGAAGACTTGTTAAATTAACAATGCCATTTTTGTTAACGTTAAAAGACAGAGAAATGTAAATAAACTGAAATCTCTAAATAGCAGGCAGGACGGAAGAAATGCCTGGAACAGTGGCACCAACTGCTCTGGTCTCACACGTGCCCCGAAGCACGTTTACCCTGCAGCACACCCGCACCTGCTACCAAGCAGACGGCCACACGGACCACCTCTGCTGGTTCTCCACAAAAACCGGGACCATGGCTGCCCTCCGGTACCCGACAGCCACTTTTTCAGAGACAAAGAGGTTACTAGCTCAAGAAATTTCAGTTTGGTCTTGCAAATGCAGTTTGTCTGAACTGATTAAACAGTTACATGCAACTGTACTTTCTGTTTGAGATCCTGGGCTTTGCTTCCCGTTTTATGTTCCATAACCACGGATTGACCTAAAAATCTAAGTCTATCTACACTAAATGTTAAGCGTCTTGCTTGTAACTATATCTAAACTATTAACACAACTTTGATCTGAACACTCTCTCATGCTCGTCCAACTATTTCTACTACTCTATCTCAAGAAAAGAAACTGAATAACTGGAAGAGAAAAGAAAACAGGATTTCAAACACATAGAAAATCTCAGTTCCCATTCATTCAAACAATCTCACATGTTTAAATTACTGTGGATCCCTCTTCTATTCATCTTACTAAAATCCTTAATCACAAATTTAACATGCACACTTAAGAGGGAAAAACCACTCACTTTTGAATTCTGCAGAAACTCAGTCTTTCTCAGTTTTATGTACATTAAACCCCATCACATTAAAATAAAATATTATACTACAGAGTATTATTTCAACATGAATGTTTAGTCACTGGATTTAAAATCATATTTGAGAACAGCCTCTTACTTTGAAGGAATGGTAGACTGGTGTTCAGCTGAGATGAGCTGTCACTAAAATACAGGGCCCTGTCTTGAGCCCTAAGATTCCAGCTGGGTTCAGCTGCCAAGCGATCCTCTTCCAGCAAAACGGCCATCACCTGTCAGACATAAGTGAGTAGTCTTTAATAAAAACTTCACAATGGATTATCTTTTCCAAAAAAAAATTACCTTTTCATCTTATCCATATCTGCAAATAACTGCTTAGATCCATGACGCTATCATAACTACAAGAAAAACGATACGGTCCTTTCTGCTCAATACTGAAAACTAATACAGTAAGATTAACTAAAACTCCACAGGAGAATCATCATTTGCCCTGAATGTTGTTTTTCACACCACATACACTGCTAAAAATCACAGTGGGAGAAAGGGGGCTGGGTATCCAGCATTCATAAATGAACAAAGCAGTGTAAAGAGCAGTCATGAACCCACCGAGTCTCTCTCACTGGGTTTTGGTAAAAAGCCAGAGTGAGTGGTAAAACACTGTCATTGTTCCAGGAGGGTCATCCTTAGGATTTGACAGGGCAGAAAGAGAAGATTGGGAGACAAAACAGGATTGATGGAAAAAGAACTGGAAATGTTCCTGAGAACTAACACAAGGAAAGTGAGGAAGGCAGAGAGTGTTGAATGAGAAGCAACAGGATTTGTGCGAGGAAGAGGGAGCTGCGTAGTGAGAATGGAGGCCAGGAAGTGTTCATTGGGAACTGACATGACCCGGGAACACTCAGGGTCAGGACGGCCGGGAATACTGAGTGAGAAGTGACAGAATATGGGAGGGCGGGAGGCAGGAAATGTTGAGTGAGAGCTGACTGTGTGAGAGTGAGGAAGGCAGAAACAGACAGTGAAAGCCAACCGTATGGGAGTGAGGAAGGCAGAGAATGTTTCATGTGAACTGACAGAACGGGAGAGTGAGAGACAGGAAATGTTGAGTGAGAATTGATAGGATTCGTGTGAGAAAGGGAATGTGTAGTGAGGACTGACAGGATGGGTGTGAAGAAGGAAGAAAATGTTAATGAGAACTGACAGGAAGAGAGTGTGGAAGGCAGGAGATTTGAAGTGAGAAATGACAGGATGGGAACGGGCAAGAAAAGGAGTGTTTAGTGAGAGGCAGAGGGTGGAGTGTGGAGGGCAGGGGGTGTTTAGTGAGAGGTGGAGGGTGGAGTGTGGAGGGCAGGGGGTGTTTAGCGAGAGGCGGAGGGTGGAGTGTGGAGGACAGGAGGTGTTTAGTGAGAGGTGGAGGGTGGAGTGTGGAGGGCAGGGGGTGTTTAGCGAGAGGCGGAGGGTGGAGTGTGGAGGACAGGAGGTGTTTAGTGAGAGGCAGAGGGTGGAGTGTGGAGGACAGGAGGTGTTTAGTGAGAGGTGGAGGGTGGAGTGTGGAGGACAGGAGGTGTTTAGCGAGAGGCGGAGGGTGGAGTGTGGAGGACAGGAGGTGTTTAGTGAGAGGCAGAGGGTGGAGTGTGGAGGACAGGAGGTGTTTAGTGAGAGGTGGAGGGTGGAGTGTGGAGGGCAGGGGGTGTTTAGTGACGTCTCACAATCATCCTTAATTTCAACCAGCATGTCGACGTTTCACAATCATCCTTAATGTCAACGAGCGTGTCAACATTTCACAATCATCCTTAATCTCAACCAGCGTGTCGACGTTTCACAATCATCCTTAATGTCAACCACGTGTCAACATTTCACAATCATCCTTAATCTCAACCAGCGTGTCGAGGTTTCACAATCATCCTTAATGTCAACCAGCGTGTAGACGTTTCACAATCATCCTTAATGTCAACCAGCGTGTCGACGTTTCACAATCATCCTTAATGTCAACCAGCGTGTCGACGTTTCACAATCATCCTTAATGTCAACCAGCGTGTAGACGTTTCACAATCATCCTTAATGTCAACCAGCGTGTAGACGTTTCACAATCATCCTTAATCTCAACCACCGTGTCGAGGTTTCACAATCATCCTAAATGTCAACCAGCGTGTAGACGTTTCACAATCATCCTTAATGTCAACCAGCGTGTCGACGTTTCACAATCATCCTTAATGTCAACCAGCGTGTCGACGTTTCACAATCATCCTTAATGTCAACCAGCGTGTAGACGTTTCACAATCATCCTTAATGTCAACCAGCGTGCAGACGTTTCACAATCATCCTTAATCTCAACCACCGTGTCGAGGTTTCACAATCACCCTAAATGTCAACCAGCGTGTAGACGTTTCACAATCATCCTTAATGTCAACCAGCGTGTCGACGTTTCACAATCATCCTTAATGTCAACCAGCGTGTCGACGTTTCACAATCATCCTTAATGTCAACCAGCGTGTAGACGTTTCACAATCATCCTTAATGTCAACCAGCATGTAGACGTTTCACAATCATCCTAAATGTCAACCAGCGTGTCGACGTTTCACAATCATCCTTAATGTCAACCAGCGTGTCGACGTTTCACAATCATCCTTAATGTCAACCAGCGTGTCGACGTTTCACAATCATCCTTAATGTCAACCAGCGTGTAGACGTTTCACAATCATCCTTAATCTCAACCACCGTGTCGAGGTTTCACAATCATCCTAAATGTCAACCAGCGTGTAGACGTTTCACAATCATCCTTAATGTCAACCAGCGTGTAGACGTTTCACAATCATCCTTAATGTCAACCAGCGTGTCGACGTTTCACAATCATCCTTAATGTCAACCACCATGTCGACGTTTCACAATCATCCTTAATGTCAACCAGCGTGTCGACGTTTCACAATCCTTAATCTCAACCAGCGTGTCAACGTTTCACAATCATCCTTAATCTCAACCAGCGTGTAGACGTTTCACAATCATCCTTAATGTCAACCAGCGTGTCGACGTTTCACAATCATCCTTAATGTCAACCACTGTGTCAACGTTTCACAATCATCCTTAATGTCAACCAGCGTGTCGACGTTTCACAATCATCCTTAATCTCAACCAGCGTGTCGACGTTTCACAATCATCCTTAATGTCAACCAGCGTGTTGACGTTTCACAATCATCCTTAATGTCAACCAGCGTGTCGACGTTTCACAATCATCCTTAATCTCAACCAGCGTGTAGACGTTTCACAATCATCCTTAATGTCAACCAGCGTGTCGACGTTTCACAATCATCCTTAATGTCAACCAGCGTGTCGACGTTTCACAATCATCCTTAATGTCAACCACCGTGTCGAGGTTTCACAATCATCCTGTCAACCAGCGTGTCGATGTTTCACAATCATCCTTAATCTCAACCAGCGTGTCGAGGTTTCACAATCATCCTTAATCTCAACCACCGTGTCGAGGTTTCACCATCATCCTTTATCTCAACCACCGTGTCGAGGTTTCACAATCATCCTTAATGTCAACCAGCGTGTCGACGTTTCACAATCATCCTTAATCTCAACCAGCGTGTCGACGTTTCACAATCATCCTTAATGTCAACCAGCATGTCGACGTTTCACAATCATCCTTAATGTCAACCAGCGTGTCGACGTTTCACAATCATCCTTAATGTCAACCAGCGTGTCCAGGTTTCACAATCATCCTTAATCTCAACCACCGTGTCGAGGTTTCACAATCATTCTTAATGTCAACCAGCATGTCGATGTTTCACAGTCATCCTTAATGTCAACCAGCGTGTCGAGGTTTCACAATCATCCTGTCAACCAGCGTGTTGACATTTCACAATCATCCTTAATCTCAACCAGCGTGTCAAGGTTTTACAATCATCCTTAATGTCAACCAGCATGTCGAGGTTTCACAATCATCCTTAATCTCAACTAGCGTGTTGAGGTTTCACAACGTTCCACTCTTCAGTGCTGCAGTAGACTCAAGTGCTGAGCTTACATACAAGAAAGTGATGAGACAGCTGGCGAAATGTGAATGCCAACTTCATATCTGACTGCATTATAAGTTATTACTAATTACTCTTTTAGACATTCTCTGCTTTTTGAGATTCATACTGAACTGTATTTGGAGGCAAAGTTAGATGATTGGGATTTGTTTCAAAATAACTGATGGGGTGGGTGGTGGAGTGGGCAGGGGGGTCAGACGAGACCCACAGCCATGAGGTGATAACCACTAAAGTACCTGTAGCTTCACAGGACTGTTCCATGTCTCTTTGTATGGATTTTTAAAATTTTTCAGTTTATAAATCAGCTTGTAAAATCAGAAGTTTAATATTTTCAAATACCCTAGATTTATGCTTGCCTTGCCAACTTCGTGTCTGCTAGTCTATAGTTGTTTTAAAATGTAAGAAATTAATAATAAAATTCACAATCCAAATACACACATAGTACTTCAGTGATATACATTTACCCAGGGTCATTCTGCCCACAAGGGCTTAATGAATGTACCACTGATAATTTGTAAGAAAATAATACTTGAAAATGAATAACTGATTCTGATTTATCCAAGCTACAAAGACTTTAAGATCTTAAAAGCTCCTATGTTTCTATGTAGAATGAAACTTTAAGCACTTACACAGAGAACACAACATATATAGGTTGAGTATACCTGACAAGCAGCCCGCAGAAAGCTACATAACCTTGGAGTATCAATCTTTGGCATAACTACAGCATCAGAGGTATCTCTTTGTTCACTGCCTAAAAAAAACAGTTTATATAAAATCAACGAAGTCGACTCTAAAATAATCATGCATTACACATCTTAAGAGTTCAAACAGGCCTAACAAATCAACATTAAGAGTCCCAGAAGGAAAAGACAGAAAACTTCAAGCTATACTCTCTAGATTTACTACTGTTAACTCCCCAAAACAACTGCATATTGTTTTATAGAAGTCTGTAAATGCATTTAGAAAAACATTCAGGCCAGGCATGGTGGCTCACGCCTGTAATCCCAGCACTTTGGGTGGCCGAGGCAGGTGGATCATCTGAGGTCAGGAGTTCAAGACCAGCCTGGCCAACATGGCGAAACCCCATCTCTACTAAAAAATACAAAAATTAGCCAGGCATGATAGCAGGCGCTTGTAGTCCCAGCTACTCGGGAGGCTGAGGCAGGAGAATCACTTGAACCCAAGAGGCGGAGGTTACAGTGAGCTGAGATCATGCCACTGCACTCCAGCCTGGGTGACAGAGCAAGGCTCCATCTCAAAAAAAAAATTTTTTTTCAAAGGCATCAATTTAATTATCATGTAAGTCTTAAGTTTAGGTATATTACTTTCTTAAGGTGAGGCTTACCTGAGAAAAGGGAGTAATATACATCCCTGCCATACAGAGGCAATTCCTTGAGAAAAACCAGTAAAGTATTCAACATGTAAATCGCTCCAGAGTACTTAGCAGAAACCATATATTCTAGGGACCTTCGATATAAATTGATGGAACATTTTTGCAAACTGCACTTGAAACATAAAAATTCTATATTCATGAGAATAGGCTTCCCCTAAGTTAAAAACACAGTGTGCTTCAAAGGTCCAGCGACACAGTGGTTGTTTGGAATGTGGAATCTCTCCCTCTACACAGGAATAAAATCTGTCATAAATCCTGGCAATGGCACAGACTGGGCCTCGAGAGCAGGTTTCCTCCCACTTGTAGTTCAGCAGCTCTGTGGCTGCTGGTTAGCGTTTCTTTAAAAGAAAATTGGGTACTGCTATTGTCACATGCTAACAACCATACAGAAGAGAAAGACAAAATGAAAGTGAACCAGAAAGGGAATAAGTAAAAATAAAACAAAAAAGAATGTAAAGAGAGTCAATGGTCAACACTCAAGAGCAAGATGTTACCTCCAGATACAACAGTACTTTCTCCCGGGTGCTGGGTCCACACTTCCCTGGTCTCTATTTCCTCCGTTTGAATGTCTCTTTCAACATTATCTTCGTTACACTGAACATATGCCTTAAAAACAAAAATATGCCAAAATTAACATTGGTTTCAATTTCGGAGCAATCTGTCATTACTGAAATAATAATGAGAGTCACTGTGTCAAAAGTAAGTATCAAAGCATAAAGAACAATCATGCAAAGACAACCTGTGCTTAAACGTTCGATATAGATATATACAGGTCTAATTTTCAAAAGTGTGTTCAAAAAGTCTCACCAAACGATTTCCCTTTAGTCTGAAAATACTGCCACCTCACCTGCCCACACCCTATTTTCTTAGGACATGCTGGTTTTGCAAAACTACATATATATTTCAAAAGGTACATGCTTCAGTGAAATCAGTTTTGTTACTAACAGCTTTATGATGAGGAAAACCACCAAAGATAAATAATCTACTTAAGGTCAGAGTGAATCAGCTGCAAAACCAGGATTAATATTGTCAGTGTCCGAGGAGTTCAAGGCTACAGTGAGATATGATCTTGCTACTGCACTCCATCCAGCCTGGGTGGCAGAGCAAGACCCTGTCTCTTAAAAAAAATTTAAAAATTTAAAAATTGTAAAAGCCATCAGCTTCTTCAGCTTCATCCCGTGACCTTCCTCCTTTTAAAAGGATTTTATTGAGTGTACCAACTAGACAATGTTAAGATTGGTGGTACCAGTAACAGGAATGTAAGAAAAATGTTAGATAAGACGTCTGACTTCAAAATCTTTAGAACCTTGTTGTGAAGTGAGACCATCACATAATGAATTAATGATTGGAAATACTACAGGGAAGTACAAAATTGCATGAAATAGTAAATTGTAGGAACTCTGGAATAGGAGAAAGAATTCATTGTAAGTCACTAGGAAGGGTTCACCCAGAAAACAGGCCTTGGACACTGAGGAACAGACAGGCAGGTAAGGCAGGCTGAGGCACGAGAATCACTTGAACCCAGGAGGTGGAGTTTGCAGTGAGCCAAGATCACTCCACTGCACTCTGGCCTGGGCGACAGAGTGAGACTGTCTCTAAATAAATAAATAAAACATTTGCACAGCATAAAGCTTCACTCCAAGGTCAGGACAGCAGCCATTCTGTCCCCATTCCGAGCAGATCACCCACCAGAGCTCCTGAAGGCTCTGGAGTGCCTCCGGCTTTGCCTGTGCCCGGCCTCTCGGGTGAATGGGCCCCATGTGAAGATGGGTCCCCATTTTCCCTAAGCTTGTATCCTTCACAGACCATCCCCAAGTTCTAATATTGCAGAACATTATTCAGGAAGACACAAAGTTATCCTACTAGACTTTACTTGCATTTTATCACTTAGTTAACACATCTCATACTTACCTGCTTGGTATTTTTTTTCCCAAAGTTTCTGATATACATGTCATATTCATTTACTGGTGGTAGATCCAAGAGAGAGAAAGTAAATGAAAAATCTAAGTCAATGAGCCGAAGCAGTTTTGTACTTCGCATCCTTTGAAATAAATTGGAAACAAGACAAAAATTAACTCGAATAATATACGTGGGGAAGTGTAGGGAGAACAGAAGTAAACTTAGAGTTAAATGCATGTTATTGTCAGAAACCTAGCTTCAGGCTGGGGTGAGTCTGAGATATTTAACAGCTGTTAAAAATAACTGAGTAGTAGACAGTCGTGGGAACCTGGTGTGTGACCTTGGCATTTGGTGATTCTGCTCCCCGACTGCCTCGTGTGTGTGTCACGAACCTCATGTGTGACCGTTCTAATGCGTATGCCTGAGCTAACACAAAATCAAGTCACACAACATATATGCCTGGGATGTTCCTAAGGACTAATTCATTTGACTTCAGGAGCTGACATACTGACTATGCAATCACCTGCACCATGGTCGGACCACGCAGCCAGTAAGTGTTTTGGGCCACGCTCTTTTCCAGGCCACAGCCAACCTCTGTGCTTCCCCCAGGACTTGACCTGCCTTTCACGCTCCAATCGCCCTCCGCCCACAGGCCTGACACAGCCAATCGCCCTCGGCCCACGGGCCTGAAACAGCCATTCGCGCTCCTCCCACAGGCCTGAAACAGCCAATCGCCCTTGGCCCACAAGCCTGACACAGCCAATCGCACTCCTCCCACAGGCCTGACACAGCCAACGCTCCTCGCTCACAGGCCTGACACAGCCAATCGCCCTCCGCCCACAGGCCTGACACAGCCAATCAC
Source organism: Homo sapiens (assembly GCF_000001405.40). NCBI lineage: Eukaryota > Metazoa > Chordata > Mammalia > Primates > Hominidae > Homo > Homo sapiens. The sequence goes on along the minus strand of NC_000007.14, from coordinate 158,910,829 downwards.
CCTTGGCCCACAGGCTGACACAGCCAATCGCCCTGCGCACACAGGCCTGACACAGCCAATGGCCCTCCACCCACAGGTCTGACACAGCCAACTGCCCTCTAATCGTCCTCCGCCCACAGGTCTGACACAGCAAATAGTGATCGGCCCACGAGCCTGACACAGCCAATTGCCCTCCAATTGCCCTCGGCCCACAGGCCTGACACAGCCAAGTGCCCTCGGCCCACAGGCCTGACACAGCTGATGGCCCTCCAATCACCCTCAGCCCACAGGCCTGACACAGCCAATCGTGCTCCGCCCACAAGCCTGACACAGCCAATGGCCCTCCACCCACAGGCCTGACACAGCCAATCGCACTCGGCCCACAGGCCTGACATAGCCAATTGCCCTCGGCCCACAGGCCTGACACAGCCAATCGCGCTCCCACAGGTCTGACACAGCTGATCGCCCTCCAATCGCCCTCAGCCCACAGGCCTGACACAGCCCATCATGCTCCACCCACAGACCTGACACAGCCAATGGCCCTGCACCCACAGGCCTGACACGGCCGATGGCCCTCTGCCCACAGGCCCCGAAACGCCGCACCCACGTGGCTTCCTCTTGCTTCACAAACAGTTCCTTTTCCATCGCCTGTGCTGGGTTTTCCTTTCCTAAGTTTCACCCTAACATTAGTGTGCCCGGGGTCAAATCCTTAAGATATTTGTTTGTTACTCCTCACTGGGATATAAACTCGCAAGGGCAGAGATTTTTGTTTCTTTACTGTTATCGCCACACAGCCGGTGCTCAATGAATGCACAGTGAATGACCGAGTGAACGACCCGCCCAACATCCAGGTGCCTCGGCCACCGGGTCTGCTCTCTGCTCCTCCTCCTCCCCCGATCCTTCACCTCACACTCCTCCAGGTCTGCCCTGCTTCCTAGAGCACAGGCCTGCAGGAGGCTCGACCAAAACCTAGGATGTTTTATCAGAAATTCTCCCACCGGAAGGCTCTCAACTTCCATTTTCATCCCCTCGACCCTGTGCGAACGTCAAATGCCCTAGGCCATCAGATCTTTCTGTTTCACTCTACTGTCTTGAGAAATCAAGATGCAAACCTGAATGGAAACAGGGATCGCCTCCATGTTTCCCTTCTTTCCAGGACCTCGGCTCTTCAGGGCCCAGCGGCCTTGGTTGCTCCGGTATATTCAATCAGCTGGAGTGTTTTTGTTGTTTTAAATCCAACTTTTACCCTTGTTTTAGCTGGAGGATTTCTCTGATACAAGCCATTCCATCAAGAAAGTAGGACTCTGTACATATTCTTTTGTAAGATGCTTTTCTCGTATCACTGGAGCGTTTTTCATGACATTATATCCTCAGAGTATCCATCGTTTTGATACCTATATTTCATACCTGATAGAATGCTGCCTATGCAGACATTGTACCAATTTGTTTCAAGCAAGCTTTTTCTCTACATTCTCATCAGTACTGAAGTATTATCTTTTTTTTTTTTTTTTTTTTTTTTTGAGACAGAGTCTTGCTCTGTCGCCCAGGCTGTAGTGCAGTGGTGCGATCTCAGCTCGCTGCAACCTCCACCTCCCAGGTTCAAGCAATTCTCCTGCCTCAGCCTCCCGAGTGGCTGGGATTACAGGCATGTGCCACCATGCCTGGCTAATTTCTGTATTTTTGGTAGGCACGGGGTTTCACCATGTTGGCCAGGCTGGTCTCGAACTCCTGACCTCAGGTGATCCGCCCGCCTCAGTCTTCCAAAGTGCTGGGATTACAGGCATGAGCCACTATGCCTGGCCTAAGTATTATCATTTTTTAATACCTTGCCTATTCCATAAAAGAAAAATTCATCCCATTGTTTCAATATACATTTCTCTGACAGGACATATTTTCATACATTTACTGACAGCCTAATTTTTTTCTGTTGTGAATTCTCTCTGTGTCCTTTACCACCCTGGGGCCATCTGGTGAGAGACTGGGGAATAATGTAAGAGAAAACAAGCAAACACATTACTTTTCTACCTCTCTACCTTGAGCCACCGACAGGTATTTCCTGTGGCCCCAGCAGGCCGGCCATGGCTCCAGCTCCCGACCGCCCAGCCTCTCCGGCTCAGGGGAAGGGGTGGCTCCTGCTGCGGCAAATCTCTGAGCTGCTCCTGGGCCCTGCTGAAGCTCAGCTCTTCCAACACCTAAGGAATTCACTCCCTGTGTCACATCCTTCTGTTTAATACCCAAATTAGTTTTTGTTTTCCTGACTGGATCTCAAGTCTTGTATGATCTGTGCCCATTTTTAACTAGGGTTATTTAACTTTGCTTATTAAATTATAAAAACATTTTATGCATTAGGGATAATAAGTCTCTATCATATATTTTACAAATATATTTTCCCAATTGGTCAATTACCTTTAAATTTTGTCAGATTTACAGACAATTGTACCTTGCAGAAATTCAATTTTTGAGGTACATTCCAGTAATTTTTAATTTTTATTCTTTTTATTCTTAGAAAGTCCTTTCTTATCACTGAAATAACCATTTACACTAGCTATGCTCTCTTTTTCATTTTTTTTTTAAATCCATTTGGAATTTATCTTGGGTATACTATGAAGCAGGTATCTATTTTCCCTCAAATTTCAAGTTGATTTACTAAATGTATATCTAGTAGTAAAAGTGCCTCTATACTATTTCCTTACAACACACAAATGCCAGAACTCACCCCACACGCGTATAAAGTGTGGACTCCTACATTTTTCTCAAAAACTTTTTTATTTATCATCAATCCCTTTATGTTTCGGCCTTTCATTTCTTAAATTTTTCTTTTAAAATATTTAATAAAATTTTTGATCCAAAATAATCCATATAATCTACTTGTACATTATATATCAATCTAGTTAACATCCTAGGACCTAACTAGAAAACTACCAATTACTAGATTACCAGCCGGGCACAGCAGCTCACACCTGTAATCCCAATACTTTGGGAGGCTGAGGTGGGTGGATTGCTTGAGCCCAGAAGTTCAAGACCAGCCTGGGCAACATGGCAAGACACTGCCTCTACATAAAAAAAAAATAAAAATTAGCTGGGTGTGGTGGTGCACACCTGTAATCCCAGCTACTCAGGAGGCTGAGGTGGAGGGTCACCTGAGCCCAGAAGGTTAGGGCTGCAGCAAACCAAGATCATGCCACTGCATTCCAGCCTGGGTGCCAGAGTGAGACCCTGTCTCAAAAGCAGAAGACGTAAAAGAAAGAAAAGGGAAAGGAAAGGGAACGGAAAGGGAAAGGGAAAGGAAAAGGGAAAGGGAAATGGAAAGGGAGGGAAGGCAACCAATGACCCCCATCTACTTAGTGGCTCCTCCCTGACACATTCCAAGATCCCCCACTGCCCACAACAATCACTAGACTGAATTTTGTGGTTATCAGTTTCTTGTTTTTCAAAATATAATTTTATCTCATATTTATATGAGTCTAAACAACATACTGTGTAGCTTTATTTCTGAGTTTATAAAAATTGCATTAAACCATATGTAGTTTTCTGAGAACTTGAATCAGGTTTAAAAAAAAAAAAAAAAAAAAAAAAAGAAGGCCATGGGGCCAGAAACCAGTTTTGCTACCTCCACAGGAGAACCAAAATATAAAGGCAGCAAAACTGCTGTGAAAACTGTCACCTTTATTAGTTTTTTTTTTTTTCTTTTTTGAGACAGGGTCTCGCTCTGCCACCCAGGCTGGAGTGCAGTGGTGCAGCCACAGCTCAGTGCAGCCTCAAGGCTGGAGTGCAATGGTGCAGTCACGGCTCAGTGCGGCCTCGACCTCTCAGGCTCAAGCCATCTCCCACCTAAGCACTCCCCAGGAGCTGGGACCACAGGTGCGTCTCGCTATGCTGCTCAGGCCCTTGAACTCCTCCTTGCTCAGGCTCTTGAACTCCTGTGCTCAAAGTGCTGGGATTATAGGCATATACCACCATGCCCAACCACTTTTATTATTAATGATTGATTTTTTCATTTAGTAAATATTTATTGAGTACTGACTAAGGAAGGCCATATACTGAGCTAGGTGATAAGAGATTTTAAATCCACTTTTAAAAATCTTTATTTTTTGGCCAGGCATGCTGGCTCATGCCTGTAATCCCAGCACTTTGGGAGGCCAAGGCAGGTGGATCACCTGAGGTCGGGAGTTCGAGACCAGCCTGACTAACATGGAGAAACCCTGTCTCTACTAAAAATACAAAATTAGCCAGGCGTGGTGGCGGCCACCTGTAATCCCAGCTACTCAAGAGACTGAGACAGAAGAATCACTTGAACCCGGGAGGCAGAGGTTGCAGTGAGCCAAGATCGTGCCATTGCACTCCAGCCTGGGCAACAAGAGTGAAACTCTGTCTCAAAAAAATAAATAAATAAAAATATTTATTTTTTTCATTTACTCCTCAGTCATATTTGGGCTTAGTATAATAGACCCTTGACTTTAAAATATATCTTTTATAGATTTCTAAATTTTACAAATTTCTCGATTTACTCCCAGGGTAGCTCCAACTGTCCGCCACAAATCTAAGAACAAACATCCAACATCAGCACATGGTACGTAGCGGCTCACACACCTGCTCTACTAACATAAGATCTCAACACAAAAGTGTAGTACAAATTAAGTCATACACCCCAAAAAACAGTAGTAAAAATGCATTTTAAAACTCGATTTTTTAAAAGTATGTGAAAGAAAAGTTAAGCTAAAACCCTGAACACCTTTGGCTGCTTTCCCAATACACCTACTTTTGCTTAAGGGCCTGAGTCCGACTCTTTTGACGGTGTGAAGCTGAGGCAAAATCCACAAAAATTCCACAAACAGAGGCTCTGGAAGGGGAACTGTTTGTATCTGTGTGAGGGAGAAAAACACTATTTTTCCAACACGGAAATATGTCTTCCAAGCAAAAAAATATCTGGAGTAAAACAATTATAGGCATATATAACAATTATAGTCAATAAACCCTTCAACTAATGACAAACATCTTTCATAAGCATTTGAGAGACCTCTCTTGATTATTTCATCTAAAACTTTCAGGCAACAAAGCAAAATTTACTGATCATCTATTGTATGTGCCACTCACACTATTAAAGAGTTTTAGAAATACTTAAGAATGCACAAAAGATGCAGTTCTAAGCCCCCATCCCGCCCATTCTGCAAAAAAAACAAAGATTATCTTTTAGTAAGGGAAGTGGAACAAGGACATACAAAATTGCTAAAAAACAGAAACAAGTGCAAATTAATATTGAATCAATTACTTAATATGTCAAAGGGCACGAAACAAAAGAGAATGAAGGCATGAGCTTCCTCAGAAGCTCTAAAATTTCTGAAGATGTGATTAGATTATTGAATTGTCAGGCTGATGGAAAAGGTTCATATTATATAAGAATGAACAACTTGGCCAGATACGATGGCTCATGCCTGTAATCCCAGCCCTCTGGGAGGCCGAGGCAGGCGGATCACTTGAGGGCTGGAGCTCCAGACCAGCCGGGCCAACATGGCAAAACCCCGTCTCTACTAAAAATACAAAAATTAGACAGGCATGGTGACGAGCACCTGTAGTCCCAGCTACTCGGGAGGCTGAAGCAGAAGAATCGCTTGAATCCAGGAAATGAAGGTTGCAGTGAGCCGAGATCATGCCACTGTACTCCAGCACGGGAGACATAGTGAGACTCTGTCTCAAAAAAAAAAAAAAAAAAGAAAAAGAAAGACAAGAACAAACAACTCCATCCCCAATCCTTTGTAATGGACACAAGTCATTCCTCAATCCACCTCTTCCCCCTAAGGATTTCGGTGGCTTCTTGTACATACTTACCTGTGTATTTATTTGTTTGTATATTTATTTCTACTGCATCTTATCGTCTTTTCATTCCTTTTGGATATTGGTTTGCACTTGCCCTCCCGTCTTACGGTTTTATGAAACTCAGAGCCCTTTCCCACACATTATCTCATCTGATCTTCACAACAAAGCTTTACGGCCAGCAATGCAGAGGGTGTGGCTCTGGAGGATGCCTGTCTGGGTCAGGGGCCTGAGCTCAAGTCCCAGCACTGTCCGCTACTTGCTTCATGACCATGGGAGGTTACCTCATCTCTGCATCTCAGTTCCCTTATTGCTGGACATCTGCCGTACAGGACTGTGATAAGGACCAGACCACAGGAGGCCACATTTATGAGCAATTAGAAAGCACCACACAGACATTATAAGATGTGACTGTTTTTAAAAATGAGAAAACGTTTAAAGTTACAGAATTAAGACTTGAATAAAGACATCCCTGGAGCAGAGCGCACACCTCTGTGCAAGTCATTGGCGCTCAGCAAAGACTCCTTCACTGACCAAGTGGACCATTTACCTTTTGGAAGTGTACAAAGGCTTTCAAACGCCATGGTGTAACTTTAGTGCACGGGAAAAAGTTATTTACCAAACGGTTTCTTACTGCCCTAAAAAAGGATAAGGCGTGCAGTTTATAACCAAGTAGTCCAAGCACCACAGGGTGTGGCAGAGTACAGCCAAGGAGGACACAGAAAACAAACCGGTGCTTAGCACTCAGAACGTGCCTGGCACTCCTTTAAGCACCTTCCATGTTTAGCTTGCTTAATTAATCTTCACAACAACCCTAAAGAAAGTCTGACACTCATTTCACAGTTAAGGAAAATGAGGCACAGACAGGTTAAGTAACTGCCCAAGATCACACAGCTAGTCAGTTATCTGAAACCCCGGAGTCAGCATGGCTCCGTGATTCCTGCTTCAGCACAGACTGTGATGTCAACACTGTGCTAGTCTTTACGACCGTCCACCTGTGCCAGCTCAACATTAAACAGGGCCAAGAAAGCAGCTCCAGCTTTACCTGGAGCAATGTGTATGACAGTGAATAACTCCTTCAAATAAGAAATATGCCAAAAATAATCTCATATTGAGAGTTGTAAATTCTAATCTTGTAAATCAGGCTAATAAAGATATAACACTAAGCATAAATGTTGAAAATGAGTAACAAAAAAAGGTTATTCAAAGATCTGCTAAGAAAACCAGTAACGTTAAGAATAAAATCCTGCTCGCGTCTCAGCAACTCCAGAGCAGACAAGCTTTAATGCTGTCAGGAAATCCTGTGTGCTGGTGGCACAAAGACCCTCCCTGTGTGCAGCGCTACCCCACGGGGAACTGAGGGAAACAGTCCCTGAGCCTCAGCCAGGCGATAGGGCTGAAGAAGGGGCAGATCCTTACCTCTACCAGGACAGGTGCCCTTTAGCTATAAGTTTAAAGAACGCTCTATCAGCACTGCCCAGCTGAGTTCTGCCACCTCTGTAGCAGGCACAAAATGTGAGACAAAGAATCATTCTGCAAAACCTTCATTTGTATTAGTGCATCATATTAATTACTAACTATAATTAACTGCATCAATTACTGAATATTTTACTAGATAATTTAAAGTAGTACGTCATCAAATAGTATTTTAATATTATCCTATTTTATCCTCAGTGCCCATGTTTTATCAGAATGTCAGTTTTCCTTTAAAGCAATTTGAAACATTAATTCCTACTCTCACAAGTAACATTATATCCTGATGCCAAGAATTTGGAGAAAAAATACATTTCTAAATTTAATTTAAAAAGGTCCTTGTAGGAAAAAAAGAATGGATCAAGAGCATGCTTCGTGTCAGGCTCAGTCCAGCTGTGTCCCAAGACTTGACAGGCACCTCAACCCCTCAGTCCCCACGTGCCTCATGAAGGCACTCATCAGTGGACACTGCCACGCCTCCAGGGAAAACCATGATGATTCCTCTGTGGAAACTCAAGGAGCACATCATCAGGAAAAATAAGAGCATGTGCTCACAGACGGATAAAACGCTGGTTGCAAAGAAAACATGAGTCAGGCTTCCCACTGAGGAGGGCCACAGCATCCTCAGCTCCCACTGAGGAGGGCCACAGCATCCTCAGCTCCCTCTGGAGAACAGGAGCATCAGTGCTCACTGAGTGGGGCCACGGCACCCTCAGCTAACCTAAGGCCTGGGTGCTGAGCAGAAAGTGACGTGCAACTTCTCTGTGTAAGAGAATTCTGGATGGGCTCGTGCTCAAGTCTTCAGGGGCCTCCTATGTGGTAGCTGCAAGGGCATGGCACCACCAGCATGTGGAAGATGTTACTGCTCCACCCACCTTATTAGAGTAGGCCTGTGTGTGACAGCATCTGTGAGGGCTCAGTACACAGAGCCCTAAGAGCACGGACACCATTAGTAGCATTGATTTGTTTACCTGTCCTGGGCTCCTTTTCAAATTCTGTTCTACCTCGCTTCTGAAACAGTTTCAAAGATAACTCGCCAATCCTTTCATTTTCTGCATTAATAGCTCTTTGAATTTCTTGTATTTCCTTTTTTTGAGCTAGAGGAAGTTCTTCCAGTTTTTCTCTTGACTCAGGTTCATTACTGCTTTCATCATCATCACCATCACAAACCTCAAAGTCATCTTCATAGTCCTGCAAACAATAATAATCTTTTGGAACCCTTTAAGACAAACTGACTTTCAATTATCCCTCATACTGAACAAAACATGACACTTTATAACTTAAAACAGACAATGTCCTTATTACAGCTAAGAAAGATATTTATAGTTCCCTGATTTTAATGTTTTTGAAGGTAAATTTATATAAACTGCTACCTTTATTTCTCTAAAAATAAATCACACAATACAGAACCATATACAGAAGACCTATCAACTATCATCACGTGCAAACATTTGTGCTGAGAATGTGAAAGTGTATGTATTTTTATAGATACCTATGTATACATCTTTTTATGCACTGCACTTAAATATGAGTTAAATTATAAAATCATTTAATTACATCATATTGGTAAGTATTAGTAGAAGTATAGCAAGCATTTTACAGGTAACAGCTTGACCTAAATCAACCTAGCCAGATATTGAGTATTAGGATTAATAAAAAGAATAAAAAGGACATCAAATTACTATATATAAGCTGATTTTTAAGAATAAATGATTTTTAAGCTAAGGAAAGTTTTAACTTTTATACATACTTCAAAATCATCTTCACAACTGGCTGTATATGCATCAGCTCTAGCATTTTCTAAATCAGTTTCTTCCTTTTCAATTTCCTAGAGGTAAAAATCAAACACAAAACCAAAAAATTCAATCATAAAATTGAATATTGCAAATAGATTGGGAAAACATATATGTTTTCTGACATTCCTTTGATGTTGCTAATTTTAAACTCTAGGTATTTGTAAAACTAATATAATGTTAAATTCCTTTAAGAAATACCCTTGCTAACTTACAGGTAGGACCAAAAAGAGAAAACAGTAAACATCCTTTTTGGGAAACCTCTATAATTCTGGTGGCTAAAAATTTTTTAAGTGTTTTACAAATAAACTTCAAATGTGCAGCAATCCATTTCTTATCCATGAATATATTCCCCGCTGAATGGTGCTCAGCTTATCTACACCATTAAAGACAGTGTAGCTGTAGTGAGCACTGTGGCTCACACCTTTAATCCCAGCACTTTGGGAGGTCAAGGCAGGCAGATTACTTGAACTCAGGAGCTGAAGACCAGCGTGGGCAACATGGCGAAACCGCATCTCTACCAAAAATACAAAAAATTAGCTGGGCATGGTGGTGTGCACCTGTGTTCCCAGCTACTCCAGAGGCTGAGGTGAGAGGACTGCTTGAGCCTGGGAGGCAGACGTTGCAGTGAGCCAAGATCGCGCCACTGCACAATCAAGAAGATATTACAAAGCATACTAGAAAGCAGAAAATACAGTTTGAAGAGACAGAGCAAGCACCAGTTCCAGACATGGCAGGGATGTTGGAATTATCAGAACAGGAACTTAAAACAACTATGAGGACATCCTAAGAGCTCTAATAGACAAAGTTGATAGCAGGCAAGCAGAGAGATGGAAAGTCTAAGAAAGAACCAGAAAGGAAAGTTCGAGGTCAAAAACAACAAAACAACAGAAACAGAAGTGAAGAACAACTTTGATGGGCTCATTAGTAAACTGGACAGAGCTGAAGAAAAGTCTCTGTGCTTGATGATACCTCAATAGAAACCCCCAAAACTGAAAAGCAAAGAGAACAAAAAGCGGGAAGGAAAAAAAAAAAAAAAAAACAGAACAAAATATCCAAGAACTGTGGGACAACTGCAAAAGGTATTCACATGTATAATGGGGATGGCAGAAGAAGAGAGAAAGGAACAGAATACTTGATACAATAATGACTGAGAATTTCTCCAAACTGATGTCAGACACCAAACCACGCATCCAGGAAGCTCATAGAACACCAAGATCAATATCAAAACATCTACACCTAGGCATCTTATATTCAAACTACAGAAAAATCACAGATAAGGACAAAATCCTGAAAGAAGCCAGATGGGGAAAAAACACTTTATCTACTGAGGAACATAGATAAGAATTACAGGCTGGGCGCGGTGGCTCACACCTATAATCCCAGCACTTTGGGAGGCCGAGGCAGGTGGATCATCTGAGGTCAGGAGTTCAAGACCAGCCTGACTAACATGGTGAAACCCCATCTCTACTAAAAACATAAAAATTAGCTGGGCGTGGTGGCACTTGCCTGTAACCCCAGCTACTTGGGAGGCTGAAGCAGGAGAATCACTTGAACCTGGGAGGCAGAGGTTGCAGCGAGCTGAGATCGCACCATTGCACTCCAGCCTGGGCAATGACAGCAAAACTCTGTCTCAAAAAGAAAAAAAAAAAAAAAAGAATTACATTCAGTTTCTCAGATACCATGCAAGCAAGAAGACAGCATAGAGAAATGTTTAAAGTACTGAGAGAAAAATATTCAGCAGCCCAAAATTACACATATACTCTATAAAATTATGCTTCCAAAGTGAAGGAGAAATAAAGACTTTCAAACAAAATTGAGGGAATTTGTTGCCAGTAGACCTGTCTTGCAAGCAACATAAAAAGAAGTTCTTCAGAAAGAAGGTGTATTAGTCCGTTTTCACACTGCTGATAAAGACATAACCGAGACTGGGAAGAAAAAGAGGTTTCATTGGACTTACAGTTCCACATGGCTGGGGAGGCCTCAGAATCATGGCAGGAGGCAAAAGGCACTTCTTGAACGTGGTGGCAGGAAGAGAAAATGAGGAAGAGGCAAAAGCAGAAACCCCTGATAAACCCATCAGATCTCATGAGATGTATTCACTATCACGAGAATAGCATGGGAAAGACCAGGCCCCATGATTCAATTACCTCCCCCTGGGTCCCTCCCACAACATGTGGGAATTCTGGGAGATAAACTCAAGTTGAGATTTGGGTGGGGACACAGCCAAACCGTTATCAGAAGGAAAATAATATAGGTCAGAAACTTGGGTCTATATAAAAAAAAGAAAAGATGGAAGAAGAAATAAGTAAAGGGAAATAACTCTTCCTTTTCTTTTCCTTAATTGATCTAACAGATAACAGTTTGTTCAGAATAATAGTAGCAAAAATGTATTCAATTACGTATGCTTAGGTATTTATCCGTGTGTGTGTATGTGTGTTTGTGTACACATATGCATAGTTAGCCCTCCTTATCTGTGGGTTCCACATCCATGGATTCAACCAACCACAGACCAAAAATATTTGGAAAAATAAAAATAAAAAATAATACAAATTTTAAAATACAGTATAACAACTATTTACATAGCATTTACATTGTATTAGGTTTTATAAGCAATCTAGAGATGACTTAAAATACATGGGAGAACATGCATAGGTTATATGCAAATCCTATGCCATTTTACTTAAGGAACTTGAGCGTTTGCAGATTTTAGTATCCACAGGGGGTCCAGGAACCAATCCTGTTCCAATACCAAGGGATAACATGCTTATGTCTGCTTATACACAAGTAAAATGAATGACAGCAAGGATACAAGGAATGGGAGTGATACAGTCTTATTCAAAAGTGGACTTGTATTGGTTGTAAATGTATTTAAACCACTTTAAAAAGTTAAAAAAAAAAAACAACCTTTAACTGATATGCTAAGAAAGGAGAGAAAATAGAATCATAAGATGTTCTATTAAAACCACAGAAGGCAAAAAAAGAATGAAAGACAAAAACAGGAACAAATAACAAGGGCAACAAATAAAAAATAGTAACAAATATGGCAGATACTAATCCAATATATCAATAATTACTTTGAACATCAATGATCTAAATGTACCAATCACAAGACAGAGATTGTCAGAGAGGATCAAAAAACAAGATCCATCTACTTATTGTCTTCAGGAAACCCAAATGAAGAAAAATATACCATGCTCACACTAATCAAAAGAAAGCAAAAGTCATTATATTAATTTCTGACGCAGCACACTTCAAAGTAAAGAGAGTCAACATGAATAAAGAAGGGCATTACACAATGATAAAGATGCCAATTTTATGTCTTTAATGAAAGACATAACAATCCTTAATATGTGTGAGGGTCAAATTATTTAAGTCAAAAACTAATAGAAGTGCAAGAAGAAATAGATGAATCCACTATTACAGCTGGAGACTTCAACATCCCTCTATCAGAAATGGACAAATCCAACAGGCAGAACATGAGTAAGGATATAGCTGAACTCCACGGCACCATCAGTGAACCGGGTATAATGGGCAGCGTTAGACTGCTTCACCCAACAACAGCAGAATACACATTCTTATCAAGCTGGCATATAATTCACCATGATAGCCCATATTCTGGGCCATAAAACATACCTTAACAAATATTAAAGAATGGAAATTATACATCTGCTCTCAGGTCACAATGGAATCACACTAGAAATCAGTAACAGAAAAATAACTGGAAAATCCCACAATATATGAAGATTAAACAACATATTTCTAAATAACACAGAGGCTAAAAAACAAATCTCAAGAGAAATGTAAAAGCATTTTGAACTAAATAGAAATGAAAACTTATCAGAATTTGTGGAATGCAAACAAAAGCAGTGCTTAGAGGGCAATTTACAATGTTGAATGCATATATTAGAAAAGAAGAAAGATCTAAAATCAATCATCTAAGTTTCTAGCTTGGATTAACTAGAAAAATAAGAGCAAATTAAATCTGAAGTAAGCAGAAAAAAGAAATAATAATAATTAGAGCAGAAATCAAAATTAAAAATAGGAAATCAACAGAGAAAAATCAATGAAATCAAAAGCTGTCTTTTTTGAAAATACCAATAAATCAGTACACTTCTAGGCCAAGCTAACTAAGGAAAAAAAAGAAAGTGGATCCAAATTACTAGCGTCAGAAAGGTAAAAGAGGACATCACTGCAGATCCCATGACATTAAAAGGATAATCAAGTAATACCATGAACAGCTCTATGCCCATAAATTTGATAACTTAGTAAAATGGGCCAATTTCATCAAAGACACAGTTGCTAAAACTCACACTAGAAGAAACAGACAATTTGAATAGGCCTATACCTATTAAGACATCAAGTCAATAATTAATAACCTTCTAAAAAAGAAAACACAAGGCCCAGCTAGTGCTAGAAAGCACTAATACTGGTGAATTCTACCAAACATTTAATAAAGAAATTATATAATTCTTACCTGGGCACGGTAGCTCACACCTGTAATACCAGCACTTTGGGAGGCCAAGGCAGTAAGATCTGAGATGGGTGAATTACCTGAGGTCAAGAGTTTGAGACTAGCCTGGCCAACATGCTGAAACTCCACCTCTACTAAAAATACAAAAATTAGCTGGGCATGGCGGCAGGCACCTGTAATCCCAGCTACTCGGGAGGCTGAGGCAGGAGAACTGCTTGAACCCAGGAGGTGGAGGCTGCAGCGATCTGAGACCGTGCCACTGCACTTTAGCCTGGGAGACAGAGAGAGACTCTGTCTCAAAAAAAAAAAAAAAAGAAATTATACAATTCTTTACACTCTCTTCCAGGGCACAGAGGCAGAAAGAATACTTCCTAAATCATTCTATGAGGCCAGCATGATCCAGACAAAGATATTACAAGAAAAAAAAAAAAAACTACAGACCAATATCATTCACGAATACAGATGCAAAAATCTGCAACACAATTGTACCAAATCAAAGCCAACAATGTATACAAAGAATCACATAGGGCCAGGCACAGTGGCTCACACCTGTAATCCCAGCACTCTGGGAGGCCAAGGCAGTAAGATCACTTGAGCCCAGGAGTTCAAGACCAGCCTAGGTGAGATCTTAAGACCCTGTCTCTACAAAAAATTTAAAAACTAGCTGGGCATGGTGGCACATGCCTGTAGTCCCAGCTACTCAGGAGGCTAAGGTGGTTAAGATTGCTTGAGCATGACAGGTTGAGGCTACAATGAGCCATGATCACCCCACTGCACTCAAGTCTGAGCGACAGAGTTAACACCCTGCCTCAAAAAAACAAAAGATAAAAAATAAAAAGAATCATACACCACAACCAACTGGCATTTATCCCAGGTATGCAAGCCTGGTTCAACATTGAAGGATCAATTAATGTAATCCATCAAATCAACAGGCTAAAAGAGAAAAATCATAAGATCATATCAGTAAATGGAGAAAAAACATTTGACAAAATCCAACAACCATTAATGATAAAACTCTTAGTAAACTAGGAATAGAGAGAAATTTCCTCCACTTGATAAAGAACATCTACAAAAAAACATACAGCTAATATCATACCTAAGTGAGAAACTCAGTTTTCCCACTAAGATTGAAAACAAAGACTATATCATCTCACCACTCCGTGTCAGCATCATGCTGGAAGTTCTAACTAATGAAATAAGAAAAGGAAATAAAAAGTATACTGATTGGGAAGGAAGAAATTAAACTTTCTTCGCAGAAAATATGAAAGAATTGAACAAAAAAAACCTGACTGGAAATAATAAGCAATTACAGCAAGGTCACAGAACACAGAGTGAGTATACAAAAGTCAGTCGCTTTCCTATATACCAGCAAGGAACGAGTATAATCTGAAATTAAAAACAGATTATTACTTATATTAGCACCCTCAAAAATCAAACAGGTATTAATCTAACAAAATATGTACAAGATCTCTATGAGAAAAATTATAAAGCTCTGCTAAGCAAAAACAAAGAACTAAATAAATGGACAGATATTCCATGTTCACAAATGAGACTCAAATCTGTCAAGATGTCAGTTTTTCCCAACTTGACCTATAGATTCCATGCAATCGCAATAGAAATTTCAGAATTGTATGAATATTGGCAAACCGACTCTAAAGTCAGATGTAGAGGCAGAAGATCCAGAATAGTCAACACAACATTGAAGGAGAACAAAGTTGGAGAACTGACATGACCTGATGTCAAGACCCACTACAAAGCTATAGCAATCAAGACAGTGTGTACTGGCGAAAAGAGTGGACAAATAGATGAATGCAACAGAACAAAGAGCCCAGAAATAGACCCACATAAATACATCAACTGATCTTTGAAAAGGGAGCAATGGCAATACGGTACAATGAATGAATGATAGTCTCCACAAAAAATGGTGCTGGAACAAATAAACATTCACACTATGATCTAGACAGACCTTACACCCCTCAAGAAAACACACTCGAAACAGATCACAGACCTAAGTGTAAAATGCGAAACCATAAACTCTTAGGAAATAGCACAGGACAAATCTAGATGACTTTAGGTATGGAGATGACTTTTTAGATACAACACCAAAAGCATAATCCATGAAAGAAAAAATTGATAAGCTGGACTTCATAAAAATTAAAAACTTCTGTTCTGTAAGAGACAATGTCAACAGGAAGACAAGTCACAGACTGAGAGAAAATATTTGCAAAAGACAACTGACAAAGCAGTGTTATCCAAAACACACAGAGAACTCTTAAAACTCAACAATAAAAAAATGGGCCAAAGATCTTAACAGACACCCCACTCCACTAAACAAGATATACAGATGGCAAACAAACATACAAAAAGATGCTCCACATCACATGTCACCAGGAAAATGCAAATTAAAAGGACGGTGATCCTTTTATATCCAGAACACCAACAACACCGAATGCAGGTGAGGATGTGGAGGCACAGGAACTCACATTCATTGCTGGGGAAGGCAAAACCCTATGGCCACTGTGGAAGATGGCTTCGCAATTTATCAACAAAACTAAACATACTCTCATCATATGATCCAGCAATCACACTCCTTGGTAGTTACCCAGTAGAGCTGGAAACTTGTTCACACAAAAACCTGCACACAGATGTTTATAGCACATTTATTCATACTTGCCAAAACTTGGAAGCAACCAAGATGTCCTTCAGTTAGTGAGTGGATAGACTACAGTACATCCCTACAATGGATATTATTCAGCACTAGAAGAAATGAGTTATTAAAAGCCTTGAAGAGACACAGGGGGACCTTAAAATGCATATCACTAAATGAAAGAAGCCAATCTGGAAAAGGCTACAAACAGTATGATTCTAACTACAGACAATCTGCAACTTACAATGATTCAATGTATTATTATTTTTTTTTACTTTACAATGCTGAGAAAGCAAAACGCACTGAGTGGAAACTACTTTGGATTTTGTTTTTTTCCTGGACTAGTGACATGCAGTATGATATGCAGTAGGACATGTGGTAGGATATGCGCCATGATATATGGTGTGACATGCAGTACGATATGTGGTAGGATATGCACTATGATATACGGTATGATATGTAGTATGATACGTAGTGTGACATGCATTATGATGTACGATATGTGGTAGGATATGCGGTATGATATGCGGTAGGATATGCAGTAGGATATGCACTTTGCTATACGGTATAATATGTGGTATGATATGTGGTGTGACATGTGTTACAATATGTGGTATGATATGTGGTAGGATATGCACTATGATATACGGTATGATATGTGGTGTGACATGCATTACAATATGCAGTATGATATGCAGTAAGATGTGCAGTAGAATAAGCACTATGATAGATGGTATAATATGCGGTATGATATGTAGTGTGACATGTGTTACGATATGATATGTGGTACAATATGTGGTAGGATATGCACTATGACATACGGTATGATATACGGTATGATATGCGGTGTGACATGCATTACAATATGTGGTACGATATGCAGTAGGATATGCACTATGATATATGGTATGATATGCGGTGTGACATGCAGTACGATATGTGGTACGATATGCAGTAGGATATGCACTATGATATATGGTATGATATGCGGTGTGACATGCAGTACGATATGTGGTACAATACTGTTATGATGCTGGCAACAGCAGCAGCCACACCTCCCAGGCAGCCACGTGACCAAGAGGCTGAACAACCAATACTCTACAGTGTGCTGCAGTCAATAAATTATATGAGATATTAAACACCTTATTACAAAATAGGTTTTGTGTCAAATGATTTTGCCAACTGTAGGATAACGTAACTGTTTGGAGCACATTTAAGGTAGGCTGGGCTAAGCTTCAGTAGTTAGGCATATTAAACGCATTTTCAAATCACGATACTTTCAACTCACTATGGGTTTACTGGGATGTAACCCTGTCACAAGTTGAGGAGCAGCTGTATAAGACACTCTGGAAAGGGCAAAGCTATACAGACACAGACAAGATCAGTGATTACCATGAATAAGGGGGAAGGGAGGGATGAACAGCCGGAGCACAGGGGTTTTAGGGCAGTGAAACCACTCTGCATGATGCCCTGTGGTGGATCCACGTCATGACCCATTTGTCCAAACCCACAGAATGTTTAAGACCAAGAGTGAACCCTAACATAAATCTTGGACTTCGGATGATAATGACACATCAACGTAGGCTCATCAACTGTAACAAATGCACCACTCTGGTAGGGTACATTGATAATAGGGGAGGCTATTCATGTGTGGGGGCGAGGGGGTATATGGGAAATCTTTGTATCTTCCTCTCAATTTTTTTTTTTTTTTTTTGAGATGGAGTTTTGCTCTTGTTGCCCAGGCCAGAGTACAATGGCTCAATCTCAGCTCACTGCAACCTCCGCCTCCTGGGTTCAAGCAATTCTGCCTCAGCCTCCTGAGCAGCTGGGATTACAGGCACGCGCCACCACACCCAGCTAATTTTTGTATTTTTAGTAGCGATGGGGTTTCACCATGTTGGCCAGGCTGGTCTCGAACTCCTGGGGTGATCCACCCACCTCGGCCTCCCAAGGTGCTGGGATTACAGGGGTGAGCCATCACACCTGGCCCCTTCCTCTCAATTTTGATGGAAACTTAAAACTGCTCTAAAAAAAAAATAAAGTCTTAGCCAGGAGTAGTGTCTCATGCCTATGATCCCAACTACTCAAAAGGCTGAGGCAGGAGAATCGCTTGATCCCAAGAGTCTAAGGCTGCTCTGAGCTATGATCGTGCCACTGCACTCCAGCCTGGGCAACAGAGCGAGCCCCTGACTCAAAATAAATATAAAATAAAAAATAATAAAGTCTTATAAAAATAAATAAGGTCCTCTTGGCACATTATCATATAAAGTCATTGCACATTATCATATAAAGTCATGGTACATTATATTAAATAACATATACTACATTTATTGTATCAGTAAATACAACGCCTGCTGACTGACAAGAAGAAAACAGGAATTTTCAACGAAAACTAACACCATCACATTTCTTATTCTCGTACAACTCAGCAGACCCAGTGGCTTTTAGTCAAGTCCTATGTCTGGCCAGGATTTTGAAACTACAGTTCATTTACTCTGCAAACACACCTAGTGTGGGCCAGGCACTCAGCCAGGTGAGGAGACAGTGGAGTACGCAGCAGACACCGTCACTTCTGTGCAGAGCTAGAACCACACTGGGGCACGCACCCCTGAGAAGGAACAAGAAACCCCCATCACCAGGAGTTCACCTGCCCCGAGGAGAGCCCCAAGTGCTCTCCATCAAGCTCCGCTCCAGGTCCTTCAGAGGCCCCGTCCGCAATTCTTCCCTCACACGAGGCCGTGCTCTGCATCAAGCTCCGCGCTACGTCCTTCAGAGGCCCCGTCCGCAATTCTTCCCTTATATGAGGATACCTGCATTTCCTTGATCTATCCAGTTTTGCATATATATTCTGAAAATTATTTATAACTTTGTGTAATTCTCAGCAACCATGGCCTGGATCGTGTCTTTTGTGATTTCTCTATTAGGTGTCTTCAAATCTCCTCACTTTCTTCAACTTACACACAGAGCAACAATGGGAAGGCTGTCTGTTCATTCACCCTAAACCTCTTCCCTCCAATTTCTTTGCAAAATCCTCTCCTCTTCCAGGAAGAAAGAGGCTCAAGTACCTGACGGTGTGCACACAACCCAGTTACATTCCTTGACCCCCACAACCCAGACAGCTTTCAACATGACCGAGGACTTCAAACAAGGGCAAGTATGAATTTCATATGAAAATCTCATCTGTCCCTTCATGCTCATGTTCTGCTGTCTGAAAGGGACAATAATTGCACTAGCAAAATGCTGACAGGAAAGCAAGCAAATGTGAGTGGGTCTGTGCTGGGACAGGATTGCAAACTATAAGAAGACGTACTCTCCTTACCACGGTTTCCTCGCCTCCCGGCCTCTGGTCCAGCTTCCACCACACAGAAGAGCCTTCCTCGTGGCCATGCTAATGGAGAGAGAACAGCCCCATCAGCCAGGACACAGGTGGGACTCCAGGGCACACGCCACGCAGCTCCCCCCCACCCCACCACTGCGGAGCCCGCCAGCCCTCAGCAAACAGGTGCACAGACTACGAAACTAACGCTCTGGGATGCAGGTCCCAGCCTGGTGGCTGACAAACTGTGTGACTTAGAGCAAGTATCTTCAACCCTCTGTGCCTCGGCTTTCCCTTCTGAAAAATCAGAATTATGGCATCTGCTTCACAGTAGCAGTGAGAGGAGTGGATAAAAGGATACACATGAAGTCCAGATCCCTGCATCTGATGAAGAAAAAGCCTTGCAAATGTCACCTTTGTCAATGACACTAGGAAGATCTATGCACTTAGAAGTCACTACCCAGGCTGGGCACAGTGGTTCACGCCTCTAATACTAGCACTCTGGGAGGCCGAGGCGGGCGGATCACCTGAGGTCAGGAGTTCAAGACCAGCCTAGCCAACATGGTGAAATCCCGTCTCTACTAAAAATAAAAAAATTAGCCAGGCATGGTGGCGGGTGCCTATAATCCCAGTTACTTGGGAGGCTGAGGCAGGAAAATCTCTTGAACTCAGGAGGCAGAGGTTGCACTCCAGCCTGTGCGACAAGAGCGAAACTCAGTCTCAAAGAAAAAAAAAAAGAAGTCACTACCCAAAACTAGGCAGTGTCTAAAACTGGTGACAGTATAAAGTATTATTCATGAAGAAAATAGAAAAAGAACTTCCCATGTGTCCAGAAAACTATTCTGGCACATAGCAGGCACTCCATAAATGCTGAAGAATTGAACCAAGATAAATTCAGTGTTGCTGCTGTAAAATCAGGATCTAATCAGAGCCAAAACAAGCTGTTAGATACATTCACAATCAACTGAAATTTTTCTAGAAAAAAACACATCATATATTTTACTCCTCTGGAAAAGAAAAAAAAAGAATGTAAAATATCCCATTGGTTACCTCACTGATAATTTTTATACTGATTACAGGTTGCACGGATACTATTTTAGATTTATTGGATTATATAAGATGTTATGAAATTAATTTCATGTTTCTTCTGTATGTTTTTAATGTGACTATAAGAAAACTTAAAATTATAGGCCAGTTGTGGTGGCTCGCACCTGTAATCCCAGTACTTTAGGAGGCTGAGGCAAGAGGATCACTTGAGCCCAGAAGTTCGAGACCAGCCTGGGCAACAGAGCAAGACCCTACCTCTATTTTTTTTTTTTTTTTTTTTTTTTGAGAAGGAGTCTCACTCCGTGGCCCAGGTTGGAGTGCAGTGACACGATCTCGGCTCACTGCAACCTCCACCTCCCGGGTTCAAGCGATTTTCCTGCCTCAGCCTCCCAAGTAGCTTGGGATTACAGGAGGCCACCACCACACCCGGCTAATTTTTGTATTTTGAGTAGAGACGGGAGTTTCACCATGTTGGTCAGGCTGATCTCAAACTCCTGACCTCAGATGATCCCCCTGCCTCGGCCTCCCAAAGTGTTGGGGTTACAGGCCTGAGCTACCATGCCTGGCCTTTTTGTTAATTTTGTTGTTGTTGTTGTTTTTATATAGATGAGGACTTCCTATGTTGCCCAGGCTGGTCTCGAACATCTGGCCTATTTTTTTCAATAAAAATACAAAATAAAATTTAAAATTATAAATGTGGCTCACATTATAATTCTAGTTAACAATGCCAACCTGGAGCTTAGAGACAAAATTGGGAAACATGAAGAAAATAGGAAAAGAAATCTATACGTTTTCATCCAGTATTTCCACAATTCCACTTCAAGAAATGTATCCACAAAAAAAATGCGGTAGATCTATATCGTCCAAACTGGAGGGATTTCCACTATGAACTAGGAAAAACAGGAGGGGTGGCCAGACGTGGTGGCTCACACCTGTAATCCCAGCACTTTGGGAAGCCGAGACAGGTGGATCATGAGGTCAGGAGATCGAGACCACCCTGGCTAACATGGTGAATCCCTGTCTCCACTAAAAATACAAAAAATTAGCCAGGTGTGGTGACAGGCGCCTGTAGTCCCAGCTACTCAGGAGGCTGAGGCAGGAGAATGGCGTGAACCCGGGAGGCAGAGCTTGCAGTGAGCCAAGATCGCGCCACTGCGCTCCAGCCTGGGTGACAAAGCGAGACCCCATGTCAAAAAAAAAAAAAAAAAAGAAAAACAGGAGGGGTGTGTGTGTGTGTGTGTGTGTGTGTGTGTAAATGTTTAAAACTGGCTTCCAAACTCCTAAATATACATACCAATATATGATTATAAAAGATTATATGAGAAGAAATATTTGTAGGTATTTTTTTCTGTGGTAAATGTGTGGCTATAGCCAGATAATAAGCAATCCAACCACCACCACCAAAATTAAAGAAATAAAACATCCACGTCAAAACAACAGGTGCTGTATGACCTAATTTATGTAAAATTATGTTTGTGTACGGACATAGAATAAAGCAATTCATAAAAATACTGCACAAAGGCCAAGCGCAGTGGCTCACGCCTGTAATCCCAGCACTTTGGGAGGCCAAAGCAGGTGGATCACCTAAGGTCAGGAGTTCAAGATCAGCCTGGCCAACATGGTGAAACCCTGTCTCTACTAAAAATACAAAAATTAGCTGGGTGTGGTGGCGCATGCCTGTGATCCCAGCTATTCAGGAGGCTGAGGCACGAATCGCTTGAACCCAGGAGGCAGAGGTTGAGGTGAGCTGAGATCACGCCACTGCACTCCAGCCTGGGCAACAGAGTGAGACTCCATCTCAACGTATATATATATATATATGTATGTATGGCACAAAATTGTTAAATATGATTACCTCAGAATCATGGGTTTCAGATAACGATCAAAGAAGAAAAAATTATTCTCCAGAAATAATTCATAGAATCCAAAATATGCTTGCCACATTATCTGTAATAACAAAACAAAAAGGCTGGGTGCGGTGGCTCACGCCTGTAATCCCAGCACTTTGGGAGGCCGAGGTCGGCAGATCATGTGGTCAGGAGTTCCAGACCAGACTGGCCAATATGGTGAAACCCCATCTCTACTATAAATACAAAAATTAGCCGGGCATGGTGGCGCATGCCTATAGTCCCAGCTACTCAGGAGGCTGAGGCAGGAGAATCGCTTGAACCCGGGAGGCGGAGGTTGCAGTGAGCCGAGATCGTGCCACTGCACTCCAGCCTGGGCAACAGAGTGAGACCTGTCTCAAAAAAAAAAAAAAAAAAAAAAAAGGACAATGGTTTGATAATAACCCTAACTCCACAGTGTGCTATTTTAGAGTCACTAAGTAATCATTACAAAGCCTACTCTTATGATCCTAATGGAGACAGTGAAGATAATGAAGACTGTGGAGAAACGCTGATGTACTAATTGACAAGCTCAGCACAGGGTACAATTCTCCCTGTGCATAAATACATGTCACAAGGTAGCTTAACACATGGAAACAATTATGCAAGGAGAGGGATGATGATTGTGTGTTAGTAACAAGTGTCTATTAATAACATGTGCTTGGTAGAATTTGCCAGAGAAGCCATCAGAGCCTGAGCGACTTTGTGGGGAGATCTGTAACACAAACGCAATGTCTTGACTCACTATAGGTCTATTCAGGCTACTGCTTCCAGCAGTTTTAGTAACTGATAGTCTCTAGGAATTTGTCCTTTCATCTAAATTACCTAATTTGTTACCATAAAATATTGTCCTACCTGTTACTGAAAGTGGGGTGCTAAAGTTACTATTATTATTAATTGTCTCTTTCTCCCTTCAATTCTGTCAGTTTTTGCTGCTTGTGTTTTGGGACCCTCTTGTTAGGTAAATATCCATTTACAATTGTTTTATCGCCTTCTGCTGAACCAATTATTTGCTCATTCTGAATTGTCTCTCTCTAGTAACACTTTCTGTCTCAAAATCTGTTTTATCTGATACTAGTGTAGCCAATCCAGCCCTCTCATAGCTGCTGTCTGATAGATTCTCTTTGTCCACCTTTTTACTTTCAATCAATTTGCATCTTCTAACCTAAAGTGAGTCTCCAGTGTGCCTTCTGGGATCACCACTCGAATAAACCATCTGCAAATGAGCCCTGTCTCGGCCTCTGGTTTCAAGGGGAAGCCCAAAGTAAGATTATGGTTAATCTCAATGTACCATAAAATCAATGTATTCTCAGTGGAGACTGCCTTACCTTCCGTCTTGAATCTTTATCTTTTCCATGATTCCTTACTAAATTCTCAGCATGCCTGGAAAGCAAACATAATCAAAATCAAAACTTACTTTAAATGAGAGCTTTTAAAAAATAAAACATTTTCCATATCAGTGAAAGCTCTTAACAATATTTTGATATGATTAAGAACTACTACAACCAGGAGCGATGACTTGCACCTGTAATCCCAGCTATTTGGGAGATTGAGGCAGGAGGACCACTTGAGGCCAGGAGTTCGGGACCAGCCTGGGCAACAGAGTAGACCCCATCTCTACAAAAATAAAAAATTAGCCTGGCATGGTGGCACATGCCTGTAGTCTCAGCTACTTGGGAGGCTGAGGCAGGAGGTTTGCTTGAGCCCAGGAGTTTGAAGCTGCAGTGAGCCATGATTGTGCCACTGCACTACAGCCTGGGCGACAGAGAAAGACCCTTTCTCAAAAAATAATTTTTTTAAAAAACTGTTTCAGGTTAGCAAAGCATGTTTTATTAGAGCAATAAATGTTAAAGTCTTCCTAGCATTCTTACTATTTTAGCAATAATTCAAGACAGAAAATATCTTCCAGAGAAGAAATTATGTGTTTTAACAAACTTGTGAGTGCAAATCTACATCCTTTACAAGTTCTCGGCCGGGCGCAGTGGCTCACACCTGTAATCCCAGCACTTTGGGAGGCCAAGGTGGGCAGACTGCCTGAGGTCAGGAGTTCGAGACCAGTCTGGCCAACATGGAGAAACCCCATCTCTACTAAAAATACAAAAAAATTAGCCAGGCGTGGTGGCGTGTGCCTGTAATCCCAGCTACTCAGGAGGCTGAGGCAGGGGAATTTGCTTGAACCAGGGAGGTAGAGGTTACAGTGGGCCGAGATCATGCCACTGCACTTCAGCCTGGCGACAGAGCAAGACTCCATCACAAAACAAAAAATAAAAAGAGTTGTAGAAATTTTCTATAATTTTATTGGTCTATCTGAAATACTATTTTATATTAAATATAAAAGATATATATAAAATATAAATATGTTATATAATATGTAATATAAAATAAAAATATAAAATCTTTCTAAAAGAAAGATTTATCTTGAAATGTTTTATATTTTAATCACATTTCATGTTAGGACCTAAAATAAAGATTTGCAAAATATCAAACTGATTCTCAATTTTTAAACTTTCATTCATATCAATATACCATGCGGTTTAACAAAAATACAGAATTGAGCAAAAAAAGTCTTATTGTGCCTTCTAGTGGACATGCAGTATAAAATCCAGGAATTGACACCCTAGGTTTAAGTGTTAGCTTTGCCCAAACTTGTAAAAATTTGGGTAAGATATTTAACCTGGGTTTTCTAATCTTTGAAAAACGATTACAAAATATGATTGTCAGAAAGAACAAATTAAAGTCTAGGGCTTACATATGAGAGTTTAGGCCAGGCACAGTGGCTCACGCCTGTAATCCCAGCACTTTGGGAGGCCAAGGCAGGTGGATGACTTGAGGCCAGGAGTTCAAGACCAGCCTGGCCAACATGGTGAAACTCCATCTCTACCAAAAATACAAAAATTAGCTGGGTGTGGTGGTATGTGCCTGTAGTTCCAGCTACTTGGGAGGCTGAGGCAGAAGAATAGCTTGAACCTGGGAGGCGGAGGTTGCAGTGAGCCGAGATTGCGCCACTGCACTCCAGGCTCGGCAACAAAGTGAGACTCTGTCTCAAAAAAAAAAAAAAGAGTTTATACATAAACTCCAATTATGTATTGCAAAACCCACACGAGACAGGAATTATCATCACTGCTTTAGCGAAAAGCCACCCAACACTGCAACTAAGAGGTAGACAGGAAATTCCAACCAAGGCTGACCCCCACCCCCAGCTCTGGGGGTCTCTGCCAAGGCCTGAGGGCGGAATGTTATCCCGTGTGTTCACAAGTGATAAACAGTGGGCAGAGGGGGACTCGCCGGCACGTCCTGTTTTTAGTGGCTGTGAACCAGAATGGTTTGCTCAGGTGCGTAAAGGTGCAAAACTGCCCACCTGCGGATTTGCTTTAGCTTCAGGCAGGGAGGACTCCCTCTTGCACATTAAGTGACTCCCAAGTGAATTATTCTCCCCAAAGTGAGTACCAATTTTCTAATTTTGCATGAGCAAATGTTAAAAAGGACAAAAGTAGATCCTGAGGCAATAAATACAAACAATAATATTAAAATGAAAAAATTAAAATATAATTAATTTAAAAGGCCAAAGAAAGCTAATAATATATTAAGTTTCCAAGCTCCTCCAGTATTCCAAAAACCTACCAACCCATTTGGAGGGGCTAAGGGGTAAAATCTAGAGAAAATGAAGTATATCTATAACTGATTGCCATGGACTGGCCGTCATCGGAGCCAATAAGAAAATTCCCTGAAGCATTCCATGAGAGCGGCACACGTAAAGGTCGACCACAGGGCATGCAATCCTTACTGGCTGCTGGTCCCATCTCTTTTTGAGCTTGCACCTCGATTTCTGTGTTCACCATTCTATCAAACAAAAATATAATCCCATAACCATTTATTAGCATATCGGAATGAAGTAAGCATAATTAGTAAACCCCACAAAACAAGCACAGATTCAAAATTTAACAACAGCATGTACATCACAAGTACCTTTTAAAATAACTATTTTTACCAGTTATTTTTAGTAAATTAGATAATTAAATGTAAAGAAAATGGATAAAAGTATATATAAAAGGGTGATTATGCTGGGCACGGTGGCTCACGCCTGTGATCCCAGCACTTTGGGAGGCCAAGGCGGGCGCATCACCTGAGGTCGGGAGTTATAGACGAGCCTGACCAACACGGAGAAACCCCGTCTCTACTAAAAATACAAAAATTAGCCGGGCGTGGTGGCGGGCGCCTGTAGTCCCAGCTACTCGGGAGGCTGAGGCAGGAGAATGGCGTGAACCCGGGAGGCGGAGCTTGCAATGAGCAGAGATTGCGCCACTGCACTCCAGCCTGGGCGACAGAGCGAGACTCCATCTCAAAAAAAAAAAAAAAATTGTTTTTTAAAAGGATAAAGGTGTGGCAGATAGGATAACAACGAGATGAGGCCACTGGATTCTTCTATTAAAGAAGTCACTGGGCCGGGCGCGGTGGCTCACGCTTGTAATCCCAGCACTTTGGGAGGCCGAGGCGGGCGGATCACGAGGTCAGGAGATCGAGACCATCCTGGCTAACACGGTGAAACTCCGTCTCTACTAAAAATACAAAAAAATTAGCCGGGTGTGGTGGCGGGCGCCTGTAGTCCCAGCTACTCGGGAGGCTGAGGCAGGAGAATGGCGTGAACCCGGGAGGCGGAGCTTGCAGTGAGCCGAGATTGCGCCAATGCACTCCAGCCTGGGCAACAGAGCAAGACTCCGTCTCAAAAAAAAAAAAAAAAAAAAAAAGAAGTCACTGGTCAGGAAGCTTAGAACATTTTGTATATTTATTGTACTTACTCATACTCTATCTCAAATTGATAACTGGAGGAAGCTTACAATAAAAGTTATATCATTCTAATTAAAATCATGGATCAAAAATCATATAGAGGCCAGGCACCATGACTCACACCTGTAACACTTGGCCTTGGTAGGCCAAGGCAGGAGGATCACCTGAGGTCAGGAGCTCGAGGCCAGCCTGGCCAACATGGCGAAACTCTACTAAAAATACAAAAAAAAAAAAAATAATAATAAGCCAGATGCACACCTGTAATCCCAGCCACTCGGGAGGCTGAGGCAGGAGAATCACTTGAACCCAGGAGGCGGAGGCTGCAGTGAGCCAAGATCACACCACTGCTCTCTGGCCTGGGCGATACAGTGAGACTCAATCTCAAAAAAAAAAAAAAAAAGAAGAAGAAAAAATATCATATAGAGAAAGTGAGAGAGAATCACAGAGAACATCCATCCCCGGGAACAGTCCCAGTTTCTATCTGTTGTCCTGGCGTAATTATTAGCAGTGCACCTTGCACTTTACGGTAACCACAGGATAATTACATCAAGCAGTAGGTTCAGAGTACTCAGTTGAAGAATATCTAAAATTGATACTAATTTTGAGTATCAAAAGTACTCAAAAGTTTTGAATTTCTGAAAGTCAACGCAAAGGAAAAAATCTTTAATTATACAATGCTCGATCCCCATTCCTGATATTGTATCGTGTATCTGTTCATTTCTTTTCCTTTTTTTTTTTTTTTTGAGACAAAGGCTCACTCTGTCCTCCAGTCTGGAGTGCAGTGGCACGATCTCAGTTCACCGTAACCTCTTCCTCCCAGGTTCAAGCAATTCTCCTGCCTCAGCCTCCCAAGTAGCTGGGATTACAGGCACGTGCCACCATACTTGGCTAATTTTTGTGTATTTTTTAGTAGAGACAGGGTTTCACTATGTTAGCCAGGCTGGTCTCGAACTCCTGACCTCAAGTGATCCACCTGTCTCGGCCTCCCAAAGTGCTAGGATTATAGGTGTGAGCCACCATGCCTGGTCTCTTTTTTAAGACAAGGTCTTACTGTACCACGCAGGTTGGACTGCAGTGATATGATCACAGCTCACTGCAGGCTTGACCTCCTCGGCTCAAGTGATCCTCCCACCTCAGCTTCTGTAGTAGCTGGGACTACAGCTGTGTGCCACCATGCCTGGCTAAATTTTTTTTTTTGGTAGAGATGGGGTCTCACTATATTTCTCAGGCTGGTCTTGAACTCCTGGGCTCAACAGATCCTCCAACCTCAGCCTCCTGAGTAGCTAGGACTCCAGGTGTAAGCCACCACACCTATCTGAGATTTAGGTGGTTTTTTTTTGGTAGTTCTTTATCCTATGGCTTCTCCAACACAACATAAGCACCATAAGAACAGTAATTTTTGTTTTGTTCACAGCTGTATCCTCAGCACCTAGAACAGTGCCCAGCATACAAGCCACTCAGATAGGAACAGCTTGTCTTAAAAAGAAAATGTCAGTCGTCTGAATAATCTTTCTTCTGGGACTAATTTGAAGGCAGTGGTTTTACAAAGATACAGGATAATGTTCTTCATCGACCATTTTTCACATTCACCTTTAATAAAAGCCAAATCTATGTCCAGAAAGGCATTTCTGGGTGGAACTAAGCACATGTAACCTAAGTCACTTCCAGTAATTAAACATGATCTAGGGAATGGAGAATAGCCAAGTTCAATAAAAGGCAAGTAGCGGAGTCTAAGTTATGGGTACAAGAGTGTTCTTTGGAAAATTACGTCGACTTTGCTGTATGTTTGAAAATGTTCGTAACACAACGTTGGGAGAAAATGATGAAGTTTTGATCTAGGGAAAGAGATTTAGAAACAAAAAAAATGGCCGGGCGCGGTAGCTCATGCCTGTAATCCCAGCACTTTGGGAGGCCAAGGCGGGCGGATCATGAGGTCAGGAGATTGAGACCATCCTGGCTAACACGGTGAAACCCCGTCTCTACTAAATATACAAAAAATTAGCCGGGAGTGGTGGCACATGCCTGTAGTCCCAGCTACTC
Source organism: Homo sapiens (assembly GCF_000001405.40). NCBI lineage: Eukaryota > Metazoa > Chordata > Mammalia > Primates > Hominidae > Homo > Homo sapiens. The sequence goes on along the minus strand of NC_000007.14, from coordinate 158,881,578 downwards.
GGGAGGCTGAGGCAGGAGAATGGCGTGAACCTGGGAGGCCAAGGTTGCAGTGAGCCGAGATCGCACCACTGCACTCCAGCCTGGGCGACAGAGCGAGACTCTGTCTCAAAATAAATAAATAAATAAAAATAAATAAAAACAAAAAAAATGAGTATCTGTCCTCAAGGAGCTGCTTCTCAGTGACCGCCTCAACTAACCTTCCGTGTGGCTGACTAGAGGGGAGTCCAGGCTTTCCACACCGTAGACGCGGGTAGCAGAACCGGCACTGCCTCAAACCTGCTAAGAAACACGGCCAACGCCCTGATGCAAACAGAGGGCGTGGGCTGCGGAAGACAGTGGGGTCTCAGTGAGGAAAGGCCCCAGGGCAAAGGCGAGGGAGGTTAAAGGACTCTGACCCCATGCAGGACAGCGCCAAGAGCGGCTGAGATGGCCGGGAGCCAGGCAGCTTCTGCTCCTAACACGACTGCTTCTCGGCCTAAGTGCTCCCAGTTCTAACCCACTGGCATTCGCGTTTTACAGTAAACACTGCAGTGGCCACCAGCTCTACGTCCATTTCCTCAGCTGTGTCAGTTCAGATCAGGAGATCCGGGTCCTGCGCTTCTGCTGAGGCCTCCAGTCTCATCCCTGAAGGTGTGACTCTCCCCTAGCCTCAGATACCACCTGACTCTTGCAAAGATTTTGCTTCCATCTTAAAGGAAGCATCACCAAGAAATAGGTAAATAAGATCATATTAGCTTCGGATTCTGTAAAAACAGCAGCAAAAAGCACACTCATGAGAACAAAAGGTGCTAAAACACCTCTAGGAAAATCCTAAGTACAGGGATGAAACCACAGACCTGGGAGGGAAATTAGACCCTCTGCAATCAATGCTTTTACATTTTTGTTCTGTCTTGTTTTGCTTTTTTTGCAAACTTATACCAATTCTGGTTGAAACGTTTGCTAATTATTCACTTAATTTCCACTTTAAAACGTACCAGCTTCCTTTTCAATGTTAAATTTCAAAAAAAATTTTTTTTTGAGAGACAGAGTCTCACTCCGTCACCCAGGTTGGAGTGCAGTGGTGCGATCTCAGCTCACTGCAACCTATGCCTCCTGGGTTCCAGCAATTCTCCTTCCCAGATTCCAGCGATTCTCCTACCTCAGCCTCCCAGGTAGCTAGGACTATAGGCACCTACCACCATGCCCCACTAATTTTTGTATTTTTAGTAGAGACGGGGTTTCACCATGTTGGTCAGGCTGGTCTCGAACTCCTGACCTCAGGTGATCCACCCACCTCGGCCTCCCAAAGTGCTGGGATGACAGGCATGAGCCACCGCGCCTGGCCAAATTTCAAAGTTTTATGATAGATTTCCAAATATCTGTTAAAAGTACATTCACGATATAATCAAAATATGTGACAGCACATTCCTTAGGAGATCAGTAATCTGTCTATACTAACCACGTAATCAAGACTTGAGTTGCGTTTTTCCTAAATTACTACTACTAGGCCACAAATCTCAACCTTGTCTGGCGACACCGCCCGGTAAGCCTCCTCTGAAAGCGCCGGCCTCGGGGCGGCTGCTAAGGCAACGAAGCATCAGAAGGGGTACCTGGGATTCCCTTTTCCTGGGCTCATCTTTTGCCGATTTCTCTTTTCTATCCACGTTGCTTTGGTGCCTCTCATCATCAAAATGAAAACCTTCTTTGTGTCGCTTTTCTTTATGTCTTTCTTCCCCTTTGTCAGAGAATGAATTACTTTTCTCTTTGGAATATTTCTCTCTTTTTTCCCTTGTGCTGCTTTTTTCTCGGTGTTTGTTGTCTCGATCTGGCTCTCTGGGCTTCCTGTGTCTCCTCTCGCCTTCTTCTTTATAAAGCCAGTACTTGAGAGGGTTGTCCTTGCTGTCTCCGTACTGCAGCTGTAAAACACGACAAGCTGAGAAACACAGGAGCACATCAAATAGGAGTGCAGCCAGCCCTCCCTCTCTGTGGGTTCTGCAACGACGGATCCAACCAACCACGGATCAAAAACATTTGAAGAAAATCGTGTCTGTAGTAAACATGTACAGACTTTTTCCTTGTCATTACACCCTAAACAATAACAACTATTTGCATCTCATTTATATTGCATTAGGGATTTTAAGTAATATAGAGACGATTTAAAGCATCCCGGTGGAAGGGCGTAGGTTATATGCAGACACTACACCATTTTATATGGGGGACTTGAGTATTCATGGATTTTGGTATCTGAGGGGGTCCTGGAGCCCTTCTCCCATGGATACCAAGGGACGACTGTGCTGTCTTTATAAATGTTACAATAAAAGGAGGAAAACTTACAGAACTACCACTGCCCCCTTCACTCCTCAATTCCACTGTCAGATATATTCCTGAAAACTTAATCTGTTACCCTTGTGTAAGGAAAAACCCTATTCATGTCATGGTCCATGGTCAGACACTGCTGTCACCCCAACGCCACACAGTAACTCTGCAGCCCAGCCACCTCGCTCCCACAGAGAAAGCAATGCCTCCCCACATGGTGCCCGACACTCACGGTCGGCCCTCCTGGCCTCTCCACATGGCACCCAGCACTCACAGTCGGCCCTCCTGGCCTCCCCACATGGCACCCGGCACTCACAGTCAGTCCTCCTGGCCTCCCCTCCTCGCCTCCCCACATGGCACCCAGCACTCACAGTCGGCCCTCCTGGCCTCCCCACATGGTGCCCGGCACTCACAGTCGGCCCTCCTGGCCACCCCACATGGCGCCCGGCACTCACAGTCGGCCCTCCTGGCCTCCCCACATGGCACCTGGCACTCAGAGTCGGCCCTCCTGGCCTCCCCTCCTCGCCTCCCCACATGGCACCCGGCACTCACAGTCTGCCCTCCTCGCCTCCCCACATGGTGCCCAGCACTCACAGTCAACCCTCCTGGCCACCCCACATGGCACCTGGCACTCAGAGTCGGCCCTCCTGGCCTCCCCACATGGCACCCGGCATTCACAGTCGGCCCTCCTGGCCTCCCCTCCTCGCCTCCCCACATGGCGCCCGACACTCACAGTCGGCCCTCCTGGCATCCCCACATGGCGCCCGGCACTCACAGTCGGCCCTCCTGGCCCCTCCACATGGCACCCGGCACTCACTGTCGGCCCTCCTGGCCACCCCACATGGCGCCCGGCACTCACAGTCGGCCCTCCTGGCCTCCCCACATGGCACCCGGCATTCACAGTCGGCCCTCCTGGCCTCCCCTCCTCGCCTCCCCACATGGTGCCCGGCACTCACAGTCGGCCCTCCTGGCATCCCCACATGGTGCCCAGCACTCACAGTCGGCCCTCCTGGCCTCTCCACATGGCACCCAGCACTCACAGTCGGCCCTCCTGGCCTCCCCACACAGCACCCGGCACTCACAGTCGGCCCTCCTGGCTTCCCCTCCTCGCCTCCCCACATGATGCCCAGCACTCACAGTCAGCCCTCCTGGCCTCCCCTCCTCGCCTCCCCACATGATGCCCAGCACTCACTGTCGGCCCTCCTGGCCTCTCCACATGGCACCTGGCACTCACAGTCGGCCCTCCTGGCCCCTCCACATGGCACCCGGCACTCACAGTCAGCCCTCCTGGCCTCCACAGCCTCATCCCTCATGCTGGTGGCCCTCAGCCTAAGCTCCGCCAGCCCTGGGGTCCCTCCTGAGCAAGCTCTGACTTCTCTGAGAGATGCCTTCTCCGGTGAGTATGACAGCACAAGGCTGCCACATCTCTCATATGGACATGTCACATCACTCTTTCTCTCCTAATTAGTCCCACGCAGATGGAGAGTCTTGAAAATGGGACCAGAGTTTAACCATCTCTGTGACTAAAACACTCAAACCTGGGTGACAGAGCAAGACCCTGTCTCTAAAAAATAAAAAAAAGAGAGAAAAAAAATAAGCAAAAGTACACAAGTGGTAAATAACAAAAGACAGTAAACCTGCTTTTAAAAATGCCCAGAAATGCCATTTTCTTCTGAATCAAATGAGCAAAACTTTTAAACGAAGATGATGCCCAGCTCCTGCTTAGGACATAAGGAATTATGCTCTGATGATATAAATAATTACAACTTTTATGTAAAGCTAATGAGTTAAGTTTACATTTACTTTGATCCAGCAAGTTCATTTTCAGAAATTAATCATAAGGAAATAATTATGAACGAACCAAAAAGCATACCATCTGGATGTCTTTATAATTTAAAGAAAAAACACAAACACACAGAAACAACCTAAGTGTCCAGAACCGCAGGTGCCTGGAGAGCACCAACACACCCGCACCGCAAAACACCAATCCGGAACCGCAGGTGCCTGGAGAGCACCAACACACCCGCGCCGCGGAACACCAATCCGGAACCGCAGGTGCCTCGAGAGCACCAACACACCCGCACCGCGGAACACCAATCCGGAACCGCAGGTGCCTGGAGAGCACCAACACACCCGCACCGCGAAACACCAAGTTGCACGCTCACTGAAACACGGGGAGAGACAGGATCACTCAGGAAAAGGCTCAAAATGTGTTCCGTTTAAACAACTTATAAAACAGTAAAAATCTAAAGAAAACAATGTTATACATACACAAATATATAAACCTGGAAAAATACATACCTAAATGCTATCAATACTTACCTGTGGGTGAGGATTAGACAGTTTTTGTTTTCTTACTACTTATTTGTATCTTCTAAATTTTCTAATATCATCACATACTACCTTTGGAATCAGAAAAACGCACTTGACTATGAGGAGAAAGAAACTGACTATACACAGTGCTGGAGGCCTTTTCCAGGACTGAAATCCTGGCTTAGGACATTTTCTAAAAATGCTTCCAACAATAATGCTTAAAACATCCTTTACTTGGCAACATTTGGAAAACTTTTCCCCAGGCCTTGCTTCGTATACCTTTCTTTCTCGGTATCTTCTTTCTCTATCTTCATCTCCTCTTTCAGAGTCTTCATCTTTCTCTTCACTTCTTACTTTACTTACTACAAGAAGTAAAACATATTTTTAATACTCCCAAATGTTAGCACATCAAAAAACTCTTTTAACATCTTGCTATGGATGGTATTGCACATTTTATATTCGTTAATATGTATTTGAAAATATTCTTCAACTAAAACACATGCCTCCAACTCAAGAATGAAGAGTTCTAGTATCAAATTTAAAATGAAGAAGGAGATGAACATGGCAATCTAAGTGATATGGTTTGGATCTGTGTCCCCACCCAAATCTCACGCTGAAATGTAGTCCCCAATGCTGAAGGTGGGACCTGGTGGGAGGTGACTGGATCATGGGGGTGAATTTCCCCCTGGGTGCTGTTCTTGTGATACTGAGTGAGTTCTCACAAGATCTGGTTGTTTCAAAGCGTATGGCACCTCCCCACTCTCTCCCTTCCTCCTGCTCTGGCCCTGTAAGACGTGACTGCTTCCCTTCACCTTCTCCTAAGACTGTAAGTCTCCTGAGGCCTCTCCAGCCATGCTTCCTGTACAGCCCGCACAATGGTGAGTCAATTAAACCTCTTTTCTTTATAAATTCTCCAGCCCCAGGTGTTTCTTTACAGCAGTATGAGGACAGACTCGTACACTAAGGAACAGAGAGATTTCTTGCCTCACTCAGTTTGCTGCTGAAGCAACCAGGCAAATGTCTGAGTAACCCTTGGAAATTCAAGAGGGCACCAGACCAAACTCATACAGCCTTCAGGGTTTCTGCATATCACGCAGAAGCAGGGCTTAGTCTGAACAGGAGAACCAGCCCAGTCGGCCAACACTTTAGCCAAATGTGAGCTCCAGGGAAATGCCTGCCCTCCTGGATGCACTGAGGACCCAGAGCAGCCCCCAAACCTCCTGGCACCCCCACTGCTGAGGGGACCAAGGAAGCCAGAGGCCCCTGAATCAACAAGGAAGCCAGGTGCAGCTGACTCCCCAGGGCACCAGACTACGGCATCCATCCTGGGCTGGGGAGGCTGAAGCACCAAGGCCCAGTATGACCTGCAAGAGAGACCGGGGGCAAACAGAGCCAGGCAGGTACCGATGACACCAAAGCATCATCCAACAAGGAAAGCTGGACTTTCACTTCTGAATCTGCACACAAAAAAGGCATCAGATGTAAAATTCAGAGAGTGGACACTTTAAAAGATCAGGGCAAAGTTAAACTTTCAAAGATCACTGAGGCAAAGTGCATTCATTCAAAAAGCATTTACCAGGCTGGGCACGGTAGCTCACACTTGTAATCCCAGCACTTTGGGAGGCCGAGGCAGGTGGATCACGAAGTCAGGAGTTCAAGATTAGCCTGGCCAACATGGTGAAACCCCACCTTTACTAAAAATACAAAAATTAGCCGGGCGTCGTGGCGTGCGCCTGTAATCCCAGGTACTCAGGAGGCTAAGGAAGAGAATTGCTTGAACCCAGAAGACAGAGAATGCAGTGAGCCAAGACTGCAACACTGCACTCCAGCCTGGACAATAGAGCGAGACTCCTTCTCAGAAAAAAAAAAAAAAAAAAAAGGCATTTACCAAGCACTGAGCACTCTTCTAGGAGTCTGGGTTACAGAGGGAGGGCCCCAGAACAGGTAGATTTTCAAGGCTGAAACCCCAGGACTCTCCAAGAGACTGGAAGAGAAAGCAGGGCATCAGGATATATCCCAGGTCTTGTGACCTCAGGACGCGAGGATGCAGGTGCTATTAACTGAGACAGGCAAGCCTGCAGGACAGCCAGTGTGGAGGGGCTACCGGAAGCTTCATGTGGGGTACACTGCGTTTGTATTACCCATTAGACTTCAAAGCACAGGGGATACACAAGCCTGGAATTCAGGGATGATGCCCAGCTGGGGGTAAAAACTTGGAAATAAGGACACAGACAAACAGTATTTAAAACCATGAGACTAGATCCAGCCAGCAAGGGCAAGGGGTTGCTGGAGAGGAGGCCTGGGGACCCAGCCCTGGATAAAGGCCACACTGCACAGATGGGCTTTGTGGAAAGAAAGGAGATGAGAAGAGATGTACAGAGGAAAGAACTAGAGAGTCTAGTCTACGATCAGTTTTCAAAAGTCTTTCCAGTACAATTCCTTTCAACACCACACTGAAAAAATGAGCAGGCAGCCAAAAAAGGGTGATCTGAGAACAAAAGATTTGATTGCAAATAAATACCAAAAACATCAAAAACAATAATTTTGAAAAGAGCATTAAATAGTAGGACAGCTACTGTTAAAATTAATTAGGCCAATAGCAGGGCGTGGTGACACGTGCCTATAACCCCAGCTACTCAGGGGGCTGAGGCATGAGGATCACTTGAACCTGGGAAGCGGAGGCTGCAGTGAGCCAAGATCACACCACTGCACTCCAGCCTGGGGAACAGAGTGAGAGTCCATCTCAAAAAAAAAAAAAAAATTAATTAGGCCAAGTGCAGTAGCTCCTACTTATAATCCTAGCACTTTGGGAGGTCAAGATAAATGGACTGCTAGAGACCAGTTCAAGACCAGCCTGGGCAACATGTGGAGCCCCATCTCTACAAACAATTTTTTTTAATTATCCAGGTGCTGGCCGGGCGCTGTGGCTGACGCCTATAATCCTAGTACTCTGGGAGGTCAAGGTGGGTGGATTGTCTGAGCTCAGGAGTTCAAGACTAGCCTGGCCAACATGGTGAAACCCCCGTCGCTGCTAAAAATACAAAAAATTAGCCAGGTGTGGTGGCGTGTGCTTATAGTCCCAGCTACTCGGGAGGCTGAGGCACGGGAATCACTTGAACCAGGGAGGCGGAGGCTGCAGTGGGCCGAGATCGCGCCTCTTCACTCCAGCCTGGGCAACAGAGTGAGACTCTATCTCCAAAAAGAATAATAAATTACCCAGGTGCAGTGGTGCGAGCCTGGAGACTCTGCTACTCAGTTCAAGGCTGTGGTGGGCTGTGATCACACCACTGCACTACAACCTGGGCGACAGGGCAAGACCCTGACTCTACTTTATTTCTTTAAGTAATAAATCAACAAATAAAATATATTTTTAAAGAAAACAAAATTAGTGGTAACCCAACTAACCCATCCATTCCACCTCATGTATATTCCACCCCAACAGAAACGCACATATATGAACACCAAAAAATACACATGATAACATTCTTAGCAGCCTTATTCCTAATAGTCTAAATCTTCAAACGACTCAAATGGCCACCAGCAGTGAAGGGGATAAACAGATCACCGTGTCTATAAGAGACATCTAATGGTGGCAATGAGTAAAGGCCCTTCGTTTCCATCCTTTTCACAGCCAGGCCTTCTAACCCTTCTGCTGATTCTAAGAGTGACTACCTGTTCTTCTAACAGATTCCTTCTGCATTTATATGCGCTAGTTTACATTTTTGTAAGAAGCATATACTACCTATATAACCAAAAAATACTGAAGAAATTTCCATTTGGGGAGGAAAAAAAGTATGTACCTTTACCTTACAGTTCCTAGGAATTTAGCTAAATAAAATAAAACACACTTTTAGAAAATATTTTTTATCAAAGAGGTTTATTTTTGTTTATTTACGATGAGGATTCAGATTTACGGAGATAATAAGCCTTATTGAGATAATAAGTCTAAAATATGGTTGTGTTTTTTGGGTTTTTTTTTTTAGACAGAGTCTCGCTCTGTCACCCAGGCTGGAGTGTAGTGGCGTGATCTCAGCTCATTGCAACCTCCTCCTCCCGGGTTCAAGTGATTCTCATGCCTCAGCCTCCCAAGCAGCTGTGCCACCACATCCAGCTAATTTTTGCTTTTCTTTTTTTTCAGTAGAGATGGGGTTTCGCCATGTTGGCCAGACTGGTCTTGAACTCCTGGCCTCAAGTGATCTGCCCACCTCGGCCTCCCAAAGTGCTAGGATTACAGGCATGAGGCACTGTGCCTGGCCCTAAAATATGTTTTAATAGTAAAACTCTAGCTAATAATGAGAAAATTGTTATTCCTTTCATTGGCTGAATGGTTTTTTTTTTCTTTTAGAGACAGAGTCTCGCTCTGTCTGGAGTACAGTGGCACAATCTCAGCTCACTATAACCTCCACCTCCCTGGTTCAAGCAATTCCCCTGCCTCAGCCTACTGAGTAGCTGGGATTACAGGCACACGCCACCATGCCTGGCTTAATTTTTTGTATTTTTAGTAGAGACAGGGTCTCACCATGTTGGCCAGACTGGTTTCGAACTCCTGACCTCAGGTGATCCACCCACCTTGGCCTCCCAAAGTGCTGGGATTACAGGCGTGAGCCACCGCGCCCAGCTGGCTAAATGGTTTTTAGAGCTTTTGTTTTTCTTTTGAGACAGGGTCTCACTCTGTTGCCCAGGCTGCAGTGCAGTGGCACAATCATAGCTTATTGCAGCCTCGACCTCCTGGGCTCAAGGGATCCTCCCACCTCGGCCTACCAAATAGCTAGAACTACAGGCAAGCGCCACCACACACAGCTAATTTTTTTATTTTTTGTAGTGATGGAGTCTCCCTGTGTTCCCCAAGCTGGTCTCAAAATCCTGGGCTGGAGTGATCCTCCCACCTCAGCCTCCCAAAGTGCTGGGATTACAGGTATGACCCACCACACCTGGCCTGAACAAGTTTTTAAAATACCAAAAGAAAAACAATGATAAAAAGTACACACACACACACCCCGCAACAGAGAGAACAGGAACCTCTAACTTCAAAGATAAAACATTTGTGAAAACTATGAGAGAAAACAAAAATAACAAATGAACATTTCAAAAGAGGAAAATGTCCCAAACAGCAAGAACTTTTAAAAGAAATAGAGCCAGCTGGGCACAGTGGCATGTCTGTAATGCCAGTCCTTTGGGAGGCTGCGGTGGGAGGATCCCTTGAGCCCAGGAAGTTGAGGCTGCCGTGAGCTGTGATGGCACCACTGCTCTCTAGCCTGGGGGCAGAGCAAGACCCTGTCCAGAAAAAAAAGGAAAGGGGAAGGAGGGAAGCGGGGGAGAGAGGGAGGGGAGGCAGCGAGCTATCAACCTGTCACCAGCAGCGACGCGGCACCTCGGGTGGAACCACAGGAAGGCAAGCGGGGACCCACCTGAGCGGCCTTTCCTCTCCGCCCGCTCCAGGAGCTGCCGGTCGCGTGTCTCCTGGCCCAGCAGGTTGTGGTGGGCCACGGTCTGCCGGAGCTCTTCCTTCCGGGCCCTTCTGTCTTTTTCTTTTTCCCTGTCCTTTCCTCTGCTGTGAGACTTTTCTGCCTCTCGATGTTTCTCCTTCAGCTTTTCTTTCTCCCGGTCTTTTGCGTCTCTTCTCCTCTCCCTCTGTCTGTCTCTGTCCCTCTCCCCACGAGGACTCTCCTTAGCGGTGTGGACTTCGGCCACCCTGTCTCTGCTCCTGGCATCCTGGTCGGGATCCCTGCACCTCGGCTCCTTATGTTCAGGAAGGTCCATCTCAGACTCCTTACGCAGCTTCTTCTCTCTGTGCTTTCTTTCTTCCTTGGAACCACCTGACTGTATGGCCTGAAACAAGAGAACAAAGGGTCCTCCGTGACCAGGAAGGCAGATTTCCATTAGACTTTTAATACCTGAATGTGAGAAGCACACACAGCTGAAGGGCCTTAAAACATATTTGCATTCAACTGCTTTCCAATCCCAGTTTCCAATCCCAGACGGGCCAAAGCCTGCATGGATGTTCTTAGAACACTAAAGGACATGGAGTCAAGCTTAGATTTCTACAACTGCCCACCAGCGCCCCAATATCATGGACATTCACACTGATCGGCAAATCAAATCTAAAATACTACGTGTATTAGAGGGTGAAAAATTACCCATTGGGTACAATGTTCACTATTCGGGTGACAGGTACTATTCGGGTGTCAGGAGCACTAACGGCCCAGACTTCACCACTCCACAAGATATGCATGTAAGAAACCTGCACCTGTACCCCCAAAATATGGAAAATAAAGTAAAATTCAAAAAAAATAAGTAGGACCAGGCATGGTATCTCACACCTATTATCCCAGCACTTTGGGAGGCTAAGGCAGGAGGATCACCTGAGGCCAGGAGTTCAAGACTAGCCCAAGCAACATAGCAAGATCCCCATCTCTCCCGCAAAAAATTAAAAAATTAAAAAATTAAAAAATTAGCAAGCCTGGTGGTTCATGCCTGTAGTCCTAGCTACTCAAGAGACTGAGGTGGGAGGACAGCTCAGGCCCAGAAGGTCAAGGCTGCAGTGGGCTATGATTTCGCCACTGCACTCCGGCCTAGGCAAAACGGTAAGACCCTGTCTCTAAAAAAAAGAGTAAAATTAATTAACTAAAAATAAATAAATAAAATACTACATGTGTTAAAAGAGAGATACTGAAGCTGTGTTTTAAAGTCGCTAAGACACAAACCGCCTGGGCCCCATACAAACAAGGACCCTCGTTCTAAAACTCTCAGGACTCTCTCTCAATCCCAAAGCCCCTCTCCCCACCCACCGCTGCGGCCCCTGAAGTGAGCACTCCCTGCCCTAAAGCAGTGCGGAGGCCCCTGAGCCATGGCAGAGCCCCACGAGCAGTGGGAGTGTCCAGCTGGCTTAACCAACGTTCCAGAGGGATTGTTAGCCGTACACCTTCACCTCTGAGTTCAAAGTACTTCTGAAATGAGGCACACATAACCAAAGTTATACAGTGTTGTGTACCAGGTAAAGCAGGTCCAAGAAAACCACACGAGTCCTGCACAGATCCCAATCCAAATCTTTACAATAATTACCCAGAGATGTTTTCTGAGGTCATCTGCTTTCCAGGTATCATCTTTGGTTCTTCTCTAAATAGAAAAGTATAAAGTTAGAATGTTTAAAATAATTTATTTTCAGTGTTGTAGTGAGCTGCTTTTTCATTATGCCATTTAAATCAATGGCAGTTAATTCTTGACATGCCAGAAAATACTTCTCTACCTCCTGGAATAAAAGGTAACAGAAATACAGATTTTTAAAAATTATTCACTAGTCTAAAATGACACATTATTATAAAATGTGTTCCTTTGGCTACTTCAAAACTTAAATATTATAAAATAAAAGTGAAAACAAGTTATAACAGCAGTTGAACAACAGAGGAAGGACAAATATTCTGTGGGTTTAAAATATCTTGTGTCAGACTGTATTTTCCAAAAACAGCCACAACAGACTCACGTCCCAAATGCTGTGCACACAGAGGGAGTCTGTGCTCCTTCTGCGGCCGCTGGGCTCAACCCAGGACAGAAGGTATCATGGGCCTCCCAGGACAATGGGTTTCTGCCTGGTCCTCCTGGGCTGCAGCTCCAGATACTTCCCTGTGAGGAAGAGAAGCAGCCCTGGGGAGAGGCCCCTGCAGATGCCACAGCCCAGAGGGTCCCTCACAGCAGATGCCACAGCCACGGGCCCAGAGGGTCCCTCACAGCAGATGCCACAGCCACGGGCCCAGAGGGGTCCCTCACAGCAGATGCCACAGCCACGGGCCCAGAGGGGTCCCTCACAGCCAGCACCAGGGCAGGTGCGTGAGAGGCACGGCTCCCGCAGCCCCTCATGAGTCACCACCTCCTGAACCTCAAGTCTCCCCAGCCGAGGCCCCAGGTACCAGCAACAGAACTAAGCCTGCTGCTGTGAGCTCTCCTGATCCACAGAGTATGTGAGAAAATTAGAAGGCTGCTGTTGTCTCACACCACAGCCTCTTACACAGCAACAGCAGCTGGGATGTATGACAGACAGAAATGAGTTTAGCATCTGGTGCATACCAGATGCTATCCTGTTCAAGCACCAATATTTAAATCTCATAACCCTACTAAGAAGGCTATCAGCTCAGTTTTTCTAATGAGGACAGTGAGGCATCACAAGGCTCAGCAGCTTTCAGCTCTAGAGTCCTGCCAAGGAACAAATCAGGAACAGAAACGACACCTGTGGACTGAATGCTCAAGGATCGGCAGAGAAAGCCTGCCTGTCCCTGAGGACACCCTATCACACCCGTCTGCTACACTGGGCAACTGGTGGGCCCACAAGCTCACCCGTGTCTCTGGCCCTCCAGGGCCCTGTACTTGTATTCAGCAAATACACACCAAGCTCCTCGCACACACCGAGCACTGCTGCAGAGCTGGGGCTGCGCAGATAAAACCCAAGAAAGGTTCCAGGCCCAAAAACACCGTCCAGCTCCTCTGATGTTTGTTGTTTCTACTGCGAAAGTGTTTGTTCCTCGTTGGATAATCCACCTTTCAAGTGTGATGACATCTCTCCAGCTAAGCCCTCACCTTCCGGAAAGGAAGGCCTATCTTAGTCCTCTGTGTCACCCAGCACTGCTTAGCATGTCGCAGCGCCTCACGACCACCAGCCATTAGAGAATCCACACTGTGCGTGCCGGGAAAGGCGGCATCCGGACAGCCAGCTCACCAGGTATCCAACTGTTCTAAGCATCTGAGGGGACTATTAAAATAACAAGGTGCCGTGGTCTTAAACCATTTCCACTGACTCTTCAACAACCCTTCCTTTACAAGTCAAGCTGATTCCCCTTCCTCGAACGTGGGCCAGATTCTATGTCACACTCTTCTTCATCATCGTCTTTTTGTTTTTTTGACAGGGTCTGGTTCTGTCACCCAGGCTGGAGTGCAGTGGCGCAACCTCGGCTCAAGTCATCCTCCCACCTCAGCCTCCTGAGTAGCTGGGATGACACCTGGCTAATATTTGTATTTTGTAGAGATGGAGTTCCGCCATGTTGCCCAAACTCCTCAGCTCAAGCCGCCCGCCCTGCCACACTTCTGATGAGGAGGACGGGGTGGAGGCCCAGCTGTGCGCCTTCCTGCTCAGGGTCCCTTCCAGAGCTTCCACCTGGCTGTGGTGCCCGCTTGCTCTCACCGCGCACCCTGGGAGACGCCATAGCACAAGGATGCCCAAGCACTCCCGGGGAGGCCCAGGAGAGGCCGGCACCAGCCCACACGTCAGAAGGGCCCCTCAGCCCAACGCAACCTTCAGAGAGCGTGAGGACTGCACCCTAACGTCCCCCCACGCCACCCCCAAACCCTAACCTACAGGAACCATGAGGACAGTAAAGGTTGACTGTGCTCTAAGGCAAGGTTGGGACTCCCCTTCTGCACCCTCGCCGCCACCTGGAGCGCCTCCTGTCACACTGCACCACTGCCTCCTGGCAACCCTCGCGATAGTGATTCCTACAAGATCCGCGCTGGTCTCCCCGAGGGGAGCATGAGCTTTGCCAGTGCAGCCACAGCTCCTTCTTCTGTGCCGCTCCTGCTCCACAGCTGCACTGAGGCCTCAGCAGAACCTCAGTGCAGAACACGCAGGTGCTTATCACCATGCCACAGTAACACACTCCAACAACACAGGGTACAGCCCTACAACCCCGGTACAACAGAGCTTCATGCTTAACCTAACCGCGTATCACCACGCCATAGTAACACACTCCAACAACACAGGGTACAACCCCACAACCCTACAACCCCACAACCCTGGTACAACAGAGCTTAATGATAAACCTAACCTCAGCTAAGCAAACTCAATCAAGGATGATTTCCTGCAGAGAATATACCATAATTATTCAATTTTTCCCTTTGAGAAACACTTCCTTAAAGGTATAAATAAAGGAAGCATTTGGGGGTTTGTTTCAAAAAAAAAAAAAAAAAACAGATTTAGTCCAAATGAAAAATGGAAACTTTTCATGGACAAGCCACTAAAACTCTTCCTGGAATGTGAAAATTAGGGCAAACAAAAAAAGCTGTAATACCTCATAAATATATTAAACAATTTTTTTTTTTTTTGAGACGGAGCCTTGCTCTGTCGCCCAGGCTGGAGTGCAGTGGTGCGATCTCAGCTCACTGCAACCTCCACTTCCTAGGTTCAAGCAATTCTCGTGGCTCAGCCTCCTGAGTAGCTGGGATTACAGGCGCCCGCCACCACGCCCGGCTAAGTTTCGTAATTTTAGTAGAGATGGGGTTACCCCATGTTGGTCAGGCTGGTCTCGAACTCCCAACCTCAGGTGAGCCCCCCACCTCGGCCTCCCAAAGTGCTGGAATTGCAGTTGTGAGCCACCACGCCCGGCCAACTATTTGTTTAAAGTTAACTCCTACAGAGAGGTTTAATATAGGACCTGCTATAAAAAAAGGGCTGAATGGAACCCAGGACACGAGTGACCAGAGAGGGGACGCCCAGGATACTCGGGGACAGTCCAACCAGGAGACCCAGGAGACCAGGGTACCACAGAGAGGGGACGCCCAGGACACCAAGGGGCAGTCCAACCAGGAAACGTGGGCACCACAGAGAGGGGACACCCAGGACACTCAGGGACAGTCCAACCAGGAGACATGGGCACCACAAAGAAGGGATGCCCAGGACACCAATGGACAGTCCAACCAGGAGACATGGGCACCACAGAGAGGGGACACCTAGAACATTAGGGGACAGTTCAACCAGGAGACGTGGGCGCTGCACACAGGGGACGCTGAGGACATTCAGGGGACACTGGGAAGGCACAAGGCCACTAGCTCAGAATGTGAAAAGTAAGTATGTCACAAAACCCATCCAGTGGGGTTTCTTAATGGTTAACATTACTGATACTGACAAAGTTAAAAACCCTGAAGACAAGAGGTCTCTGACAGAGATCACAGGATTTTTCTTCGGCCTCTCTACTTTTCAGTATGAAAAGTAACAGCCATTTTCTTAAATGCACAGAATACTGACTACTTTGGAGCGCTTAAAACTCAGCTAATATGGACTGTTTACCCTCAAGTTTTCTATCCATGCTGTCTCCCTCTAGAGTTTCAAACTGTTCAACAGTGATTTACGACTTCCCTGCCCCGGTGCTGTCGGTCCCCACTTGCCACATGTAAACCACATGCTTCTGCCAAGGCCTTTTAAAGACCAACTTGACCTGCCCTCAGACTCTGCCCTATGGAGCAGCCCAGCAATCCACGCTTAAAATCAACTCTCCAAGTATGGAACCAAAGGGCAAAGTTCCCCAGCACTCCCAGGAGTGGAACAAACCCCAGCCTGGGGACTGGGGTGAGGAGACTCAGGAGAGCTAAGCAGCAAAACCATCAGCATGATTCAGCCCACGCACTAGTGGATGAGAACTGGAGCCTGCGGTCTTCAGCATCTGCAAGCACCTGTCCTGGGCCAGCATCCTTCATGCACATGGCAAGCAAACAGGAGATGAGCGGCTGCCCAGCACCAGCTCCCCAGGGCCTCTGTCCCTCGATTTATGCTCGATTTACATCAACTAAATCATCTAGAACCTTTTCATAACAAAATTCTATTGAGAACTGTACAGTAAGAACCCTGAACAATGTTTACATCCCTTTGATTTGCCTCCCGAATAAAACAGATGAAACTGATTTAACTCCCCTTCCCCTCAATGCAGGGCTTCAAGGGAATTCTTTTCCCCACTCTCATCTCATCCTGAAATCCAAGGAGAAGTAAACCTGGGCTGAAATCACTTCCAAGGTGGTATCACCTCCAAGGTGCACCATCAGAGGTGGTGAAGCCAAAACCTCACTTCAGGGAGGACACTCACAGCCCAGATGGAAAGCAAACCCCACCCCTGTGCCATCTTGTCCGACCCCCACTACGAGTGGGTGTGAGGGCTTCCGCGCTCTGTAAGCCAAACAGCAGAAGCCCCTGGACCTGACGCTCATTGTTCCTGCCACATAACCTCCGACAGCTGGGCAGACTCCAGCGAGAAGGTGCCACTGGCATCTGCAGCCACCTGTGGGCAGTGGGCTTCTCCCCTTGCTTTCTAACCCAGCCTCCTCTTTTAGAAAACACTCATCAGAGGTTAAAGTTAAATACTGATTTGAACTAGTTAATTGAACATTAAGAAATGTTTAAAAGAAGTTATTTTGAGCCAGGCATGGTGGCTCACACCTGTAATCCTAACACTTTGCTAGGCTGAGGTAGGAAGATTACTTGAGCCCAGGAGTTCAAGACCAGCCAGGGCAACACAGCAAGACCCCATCTCCATCAAAAAAAAAAATCAGCCAAGCATGGTGATTCAACCGCAGTCCCAGCTACTCAGGAGGCTAAGACAGGAGGCTCACTTGAGCCCAGGAGGTCGAGGCTGCAGTGAGCTGTGATAACTGCCACTGCACTCCAGCCCAGGCAACACAGCGAAACCCCATCTCTATTAAAAAATAAACAGAGGAAAGCGTCACCAGATACTACTATTTCTGCTTATAACATGTTTCTAAATCCACTCTTCCTTCCAGGGACACTGCCATAAATCCATTCTGGACCTTCAGGATGACCACTAGCTCTGTGCAAAGCAGCAAAGGCACTCTCCAGCCTGAGTCCCCACATGACAGAGACACCGCGGCCCAACCCTGTGACATTCATCTACATGGACCCAGTGGTATAGCGCTGACGTCCACATCGTCATCCTGTTCCCTGCATGACACTGAGAAAGAAAAGAAACTAATCTGAGGAATGTGAGCTCCTTTAAATGTTTAGGCCCAGAGCCACTGAAATGTGACAGTGGTCACGTCTCATTCCCCGCCACACCCAGAGCTAAGAACGTCTGCTCCCCCCCCCACACCCGGAGCTAAGGACGTCCCTCTCCCCCCACACCACACACACACACCGGGAGCTAAGGACTTCCCGCTCCCCACCCCGCCACACCCAGAGCTAAGGACGTCCCGCTCTCCCCCACATCCGCAGCTAAGGACGTCCTGCTCCCCGCAACACCAGGAGCTAAGGACGTCCCGCTCCCCACCCCCACACACGGAGCTAAGGACGTCCCGCTCCCCACCCCCACACACGGAGCTAAGGACGTCCCGCTCCCCCCTCCAACACCCTCCAACACCCGGAGCTAAGGACGTCCGGCTCCCCACCAAACACCCAGAGCTAAGGACGTCCCGCTCCCCCCCGCCCCCACACCGGGAGCTAAGGACGTCCCCCTTCCCCCCACACACCCGGAGCTAAGGACGTCCCGCTCACCGCCCCCCCCACACACACCAGGAGCTAAGGACGTCCCGCTCTCCCCACACCCCCCCCCAGCTAAGGACGTCCCGCTCACCGCCCCCCCCAAACACACCCGGAGCTAAGGACGTCCGGCTCACCGCCCCCCTCACACACACCTGGAGCTAAGGAAGTCCCGCTCCTCCCACACCCAGAGCTAAGTAAGCAGCCTGCTTTATGACCTCTTGACTCAGCATCACCACCAACAGCCATATTATTATTATTTAAAGAGTCTCATTCTGTCACCCAGGCTAGAGTTCAGTGGTGCCCAGAGGTGAAGCCTCCTGGGCTTCTGGGTGGGTGGGGACTTGGAGAACTTTTCTGTCCAGCTAAAGGACTGTAAACACACCAATCAGGACTCTGTCTTGCTGAAGGTTTGTAAACGCACCAATCAGCACTCTGTAAAAACGGACCAATCAGCGCTCTGCGTCTAGCTAAAGGTTTGTAAACGCACCAATCGGCACTCTGTAAAAATGCACTAATCAGCACTCTGTGTCTAGCTAAAGGTTTGTAAACGCACCACGATGTGGGCAGGGCCAAATAAGGGAATAAAAGCTGGCCCCCCTCCCCCCACCCCCAGCCAGCAGTGGCAACCTGCTTGGGTCCCCTTCCACACTGTGGAAGCTTTGTGCTTTGTTCTTCACAATAAATCTTGCTGCTGCTCACTCTTTGGGTCCACGCTACCTTTATGAGCTGTAACACTCACTGCAAAGGTCTGGGGCTTCACTCCTGAAGTCAGCGAGACCATGAACCCACCGGGAGGAACAAACAACTCCAGATGCGCCATCTTTAAGAGCTGTAACGCTCACTGCGAAGGTCTGTCGCTTCACTCCTGAAGTCAGCAAGACCACAAACCCACCAGAAGGAAGAAACTCCAGACACATCTGAACATGTGAAGGAACAAACTCCGGACACACCATCTTTAAGAATTGTAACACTCGCCGCGAGGGTCTGTGGCTTCATTCTTGAAGTCAGCGAGACCAAGAACCCACCAGAAGGAACCAACTCCGGACACAGTGCTATCATAGCTCACTACAGCCTTGACCTCCTGTGCTCAAGAAATCCTCCCACCTCAGCCTCCTGAGTAGCTGGGGCTACAGAAATGCACCACCATGCCCAGGCTTTTTTTTTTTTTTTTTTTTAAGAGATAGGGTCTTGCTATGTTGCCCAGGCTGGCCTCGAACTCCCATCCTCAAACAATCCTCCCTCCCAAAGTGCCAGGATTACAAGCATGAGCCACCACACCTGGCCAATAGCCATAAATTAACCTACCAATGTCATACACTGGACACCAGAATTCGTAACCTGCAGTTCAGTGATGTATAACCAATCAATAATCAATGTTATTTCTGTAAACCAGTACTTGACAAAGTATTTTGTAATCGTCCCCTGATTCGTCCTTTTCTCTTTAAACACTCAAGCCTCTCCTTTGTTCTCTGGAGCGCCTCCCAGTGTTTCCCAGGCTGTGGCCCTGATAGTCTCTATAATTAATTTTGCCTGGATTTTCTTTAGGTTGACGACACCAACATTAATTCTCAGAATTACAGAGTGGAATGAGCAGGAGCACTAACGGCCAGAGTGGTGTGCTTCACTAACCCTGCATGGCAACACACCAAACTAGGGCGCACGCTAAGAGACCCAGAGGGCAAGGCTGGCTCCCGCCTTTAGGACTGGGACATAATTTATCCTTTGCTGTCCTCATTTTTTTTCCAAAATTCCTTACACTAGAATTTTTAAGTTATCAAATTACTTAGGGCCAAATTATGAAATGCAGCCTATCCAGGTCTTCATTCTATTACTTGACTGTGTAACTGACGCTCCCTGGTAGGAAAAGTGCTCTGAAGAAAACGGTAACGAAGAAAACTAGGATGATCAGTTTCCATCACTGAATCCAAGGTTATTCCCTACAGTCACCGTAATTCACTCACCTAGGCCCTGGCTGGTGACCACACAGGCTGCTTCTAACACTCTGTACTCCATGTGACAAACGTGGCTGCAGGGAGCACCTGTGTTTTCGGTATGCATGTATTTGCAGATGAGAGTCCTATCTGTGAGCTGCTACGTCAAAGCTACGTCAAAGCGGCAGATGCCTAAAATGCTGCTGCGCTGAGTCTATTTTGTAGACAGAGCTGACCTCAGGCTGATTCCTTTCTAGACTTGGCTGACAGATGAGAAGTGTGGGGAGGGGGATGCCAGACTTTCGAGTGGTGAAATAGATTTCATTCAGTAACTGCAGGCGGGACGGGAAACAGCTGAGCTCCATTTCTGTTTGCACTGAGGTGAGGGAGTGTTTTAGGGGAGAACCCGGGCTAGGGGAGCTCAAGTGAAAAATTACAAAGGCTGGTCAGTGTGAGATTAAGCTCGCTGTGTCTGCTAGCTGATAATTACAGTAGTTAGGATTCTACCTTCCCAGAGAGACCAGAACAGAGGCCATCCTGTCCTTTCTGATATCTTTTCAAAGACACTCCTGAATTGCAGATTTAGAGACATCTCAAAAGGACAGAGAAGGATTCATAATTTAAGCCCTTTTAAACTCTCTTCAGAAAGGATGTCAGGGACCTATCCCCAGGTGTTGGCTAAAACAAACAGTAAATTATTCTGACAGCCCTGAGCTCTTTCAGACAACACTGAGCTGGGTTGTCCCAGAGGTGGCCTTACACCGCGAGGAGCAGTGTTAAACTTTCGTCAAGAATCAGCACAGGGCTTTGAATGGAGAGTTCATGCCAGAGTTTCTGCAGTTCTCTGGAGGAACCCCACAAGCGGATTGGTGAGGACCAACCTTGGAGACCCCACTGTAGCTACTCTAAAACATTCAGCCTTTCTAAAAACAGAATGAAACGGCATTGCACTGTACCTAAACAGTTCACATCACTAGTACATATCTCACATGAAAATAAAAAGGGTAGAAATTTATTTTAAACTAAGAATAACCTAAAAAACATGTCTACATTTTTCAAGCTATGATTAATAAATTTCATAACAATAAACTCACACATTACCTATCAATTGTTTGGTATGTAACAAAAAAACTTAGAAATTTCTAAAATTTTCATTGACCATAAAAATTAATAGTCATACACATTGTAAACAAGATAAATTAAAGAGTTTTGAAAGAGCTAATATTAAAGAAAATTGTCACCATGCAGGCAGGTGTAAAGCCTGCAAAGGTACCATTAAGTTTTTTCCAATAGCTACGACATACTGAAACTTGGTATGATCTCAGTACAAATAAAGAACATAAAACTATTTATATTCATCAGATTAATTATGTGAGCAACTAAGTACAATGAAACAAACTGAAAGAAATGCTTGGTGTATACTAAAAGCTATAATACCAGCGGGGTGAGATGGCTCACGCCTGTAATCCCAGCACTTTGGGAGACTGAGGCTGGTGAATCACCTGAGGTCAGGAGTTCCAGACCAGCCTGGCCAACATGGTGAAACCGTGTCTCTACTAAAAATATAAAAAAAATTAGCCCAGCATAGTGGTGCATGCCTGTAATCTCAGCTACTTGCGAGGCTGAGGCAGGAGAACTGCTTGAACCCGGGAGGCAGAGAATGGAGTGAGCTGAGATCATACCACTGCACTCCAGCCTAGGGGACAAGAGTGAGACTTCGTCTCCAAAAAAAAAAAAAAACTCTAATACCAAAATAATCCAATACAATTTTATTCCAGTAATCTCATGAAAACTTTATCCTTCCCCTTACCTTATGAAATAGACTATACTAATTAATTCTATATCACAGCCTAATAGTTACATAATTAGATTCTAATGACCCATGGGTTAACTTCCTAAAAAGTTAAAGACCGACTTGCAATTGAGAACCTGTTACAGGAATTCATTAGTTGCCAGGAAATATCCAGCTCTGAGATCTGTTGCTTTTGCTACTTTAAAAATGTTTATTTACTGGCCTGGCACAGTGGCTCATGCCTATAATCCCAGCACTTTGGGAGGCCGAGGTGGGCGGATCAAGACCAGCCTGGACAACACGATGAAATCCCGTCTCTGCTAAAAATACAAAAATTAGCTGGGCGTGATGACACACATCTGTAATCCCAGCTACTCAGGAGCCTGAGACAGGAGGACCGCTTTAACCTGGGAGGTGGCGGTTGCAGTGAGCTGAGATCACGCCATTGCACTCCAGCCTGGGCGACAGAGCGAGACTCTGTCTCAAAAAAAATGAATTTTATGTATTAAATATGTATCAGAATAAAACCCCAAGGGACAGTCAAATGTCAAAAATAACGAATGAAAAAAGATCTATAACAAACTACATCCATATTCAAAACATCACAGATAAAGATCCTAAATCTTCTGGAGAGAAAGAAAATGTTACTCACAAAGATATCTCATCAGCCAAACACACTGCTAGAAGACAAAAGTAAACCATCTTCAAAGTTCTGGGAAATTATTTTGCTCCTAGAATTCTATGCTAAGCCAAACTCTTAAACAATCTATCAGTATAATAAGGATATTCTTAGGGCATACAGTTTTCTTCCCACATATACTCTTGTCTAAAAAGGTATGCGACAGGCCAGGCATGGTAGCTCGCACCTGTAGTCCCAGCACTTTGGGAAGCCAAGGCAAGAGCGTTGCTTGAGCCTGGGAGGTTTAGGCTGCAGTGAGCTGTGAGCGTGTCACTGCACTCCAACTTGGGTGAAAGAGCAAGACTCTGAAGAAAGGAAAGGAGAGGAAAGGAAAGGGGGGGAGGGGAGGAAAGGGGAGGGGAGGAAAGGGGAGGGGAGGGGAGGAAAGGAAAGGGGAGGGGGGAGGGGAGAGGGGAGGGGAGAGGAGGAGAAGGGAGGGGAAAGGGGAGGGCAGGGGAAAGGGGAGGGGAGAGGAAGGGAGGGGAAAGGGGAGGGGGGAGGGGAGAGGAAAGTGGGGGGAGGGGATACTCCACTGGAAAAAGCATGGAGATTTCAAAAAAGAGGGAGACACTTGATCCAAGAAACAGTAGGCCTAACCCAGAAGCACAATGAGAAAGAATTCCCAGATCATAGCTCTGTGCATGTCTAGAAAACAATTTGTCCTGATGAGAACATAAAGTCAGTGAGCTCTGGGAAGAATTTAAGAGAATTTCATTAAACAGGTAATATGACACTAATAAGCTAGAAGACATCATAAGGTTTAAAAATTTAAAACAGCTTATGTTCTTTTTTGCCAAAACTAAAAAAACAGGGCAAATAGGGCCATTTATGAAAGACATGGTCCAAATGATAAGCAAACTTCATTGTGGTACATTAACTGAATGTAACAAAAGATGACCCCTTTGACCCTGACACCAGAAACATTGTTCCCTGAGTAGAGTGAGCTTAGAATACAGGACTCCATTGTATCTATTGGTCCAATCTGACTATTTGGTTCTGCAATGAAAACGTATATAACCATGATGTTATAGTGTTTATTGGTTTTCATTTTTAAAATCAACCTATAAACAAATCACGGACAATGTAAGTTACAGAGTAACTTAAAGAAATGTAAAGAGAATAGCATAGAAGATGACAGGGTCAGGAAATTAGTGGGTTTAGGGAGAAATGGGGAGTGCAGGGCAGTAGCTTCTTAATCTTAACTAGGGGAAAGTTAAAAAATACTATCTAAGGTTGGCCTAGCGCGGTGGCTCACGCCTGTAATCCCAGCACTTTGGGAGGCCAAGGCGGGCGGATCACCGGAGGTCAGGAGTTCGAGACCAGCCTGACCAACATGGAGAAACCCCATCCCTACTAAAAATACAAAAATTAGCCAGGCATAGTGGCACCTGCCTGTAATCCCAGCTACTCGGGAGGCTGAGGCAGGAGAATCGCTGGAACCCAGGAGTTGGAGGTTGCGGTGAGTAGAGATCGTGCCACTGTACTCCAGCCTGGGCGACAAGGGGAATTATCTTTAAAAAAAAAAAAAAAAAAAGGCCGGGTGCAGTGGCTCACGAAGTCAGGAGATCAAGACCATCCTGGCCAACACGGTGAAACCTCATCTCTACTAAAAATACAAAAATCAGCTGGGCTTGGTGGCGGACATCTGTAATCCCACCTACTCGGGAGACTGAGGCAGGAGAATCTCTTGAACCCTGGAGTCGGAGGTTGCAGTAAGCCAAGTTCGTGCCATTGCATTCCAGCCTGGTGACAGAGTGAGACTCCATCTCAAAAAAAAAAAAAAAACAAAAACCTAAGGTTTATATAACATAAAATACAAATTAAGGAGTATTATTCAACACATAAAGGTAAGTGATGGGGAAAAAATAATAGGAGTGAAGGTAGAAGAAAATGTATGCAAATTAAATTCCTCATCTTTCAGTGGGGAATCAATAGATAAGAATAATACAGTAATATCTAACATTTATTGAGTGTTAATGAAAGCAGGCACTGGTCTATGCACTTTTACACATAATATCTCACTTAACCTTCTTAAACACCCTATAATGTTGCTATTATTATTGTGCCCATTGAATGAATTAGGAAACAAGACATGTTAAGTGAGTTTGCCAAGGTCATACAAGTAAATACAAAATCCTGAATTCAAACTCAAGCACCCAGGCTGCACTCTCTCAACCTCTTAAACTGTGACAAGTCATATTTAAACTTAAGTCAGCTAAAATTTAATAAACTTTTAAATATGTCTCCTCAGCCACCCCGGCCCCGCAGCAGGGGCCGAGGCCGCCTCCAGGCCGGGCGCGAGGAGACGGGCCGCGGCGGCGACCCCAGGCCTGAGGCTGCACAGACCGCCTCTCCCGACCGCCGGGAGCCCGGCGTCCTGCCATCCCTCGCGCCGACGGCCAGCCGCGCCTCCGTTTCCCTTCCTGCCTCGGAGGCACCGCGGCTCCTCCGGGAAGCCCCGGCCCGGCCGAGAGAACCGCTGCGCAAAGGGAGGGCGGCGGCGGCGCTGCTAGCGGCGCCCGAAGGAGTCCGCGAAGCTCGACCACCCCTCGCCCAGACCCAGCGCCGCACCGACCTTCCCGGGCTCCATCGCTTCCCGCAGGCCCGGGCGGCCGCGGTGTCCTCGGCCCCGGCCAGGCGCGGTCCACCCCGAAGAGGCCACCTGTGCCCCGCACCCTTCGGGAGGCGCGTCCCAGCGCCTAGCAACCGACAAGCAGGAGCAGCAGAGGGCCCAGAAGCACTGCCCAGCGTGCCCTGCGGCCTCTCCCAGTGCGCCTGCGCATCCCCGGCATTTTTAGCACCTGGCAGGCAGGAGCAGGGGAAGGCCGAGTGGTCGCTGCTCGGCGTGCCCGCGGCCCCTCCCAATGCGCCTGCGCTTCCCCGGCTCCTAGCAACCGCCAGGCAGGAGCAGCAGAGGACCGAGCGGTCGTTGGTCTCCCCAAGGGGTAGGTGCAGTACCCTGACTTGGGGTGCAGGGGCTCTTGACTCGCCCCAACCCGCCCCGGGTTCCCACGGGACCGGACTGACAGTCGGGGAAGATAGAAAGGGAGAGCAGATATTGAAAAGAGCTTTACGTTTGAGGCCGAGCGCGGTGGCTCACCCCTGTAATCCCAGCACTTTGGGAGGCGGAGGCGGGTGGATCATGAGGTCAGGAGATCGAGACCATCCTGGCTAACACGGTGAAACCCCGTCTCTACTAAAAATACAAAAAAAAAAAATAGCTGGGCGCAGTAGCAGGCGCCTGTAGTCCCAGCTACTCGGGAGGCTGAGGCAGAAGGATGGCGTGAACCTGGGAGACGGAGCTTGCAGTGAGCGGAGATCACGCCACTGCACTCCAACCTGGGCGACAGAGCGAGACTCTGTCTCAAAAAAAAAAAAAAAAAAAAGAAAAGAGCTTTACATTTGAATAAGGCTTTGCACTTAACAAATTATATTCCCATATGTCGTCTTTTGATAAAAACAAGCAGTAAGGTAGGCAGGAATCAACGTTGAGAGACTGTTTTTATACAACACGTAAGGGAAAATCAAAAACTCTCAGGACCTCCGAACTCCTTCAGCCAAAGGGAAAGTTAGGGCTGAAAGCCTGAAACCGCCTTTTCAAAATTATGACTGAGGCAGTAAAAGAGGTGTAACTTAACCCACAGCATCTTGCTTCTGACCTCCAAGCTGTGCTTGTTCCTTCCTGGCAGTAGGCTGAACTAACTTTGGGAGAAACTTAGTTTATATTTTATAATTTAAACACAGACGGTAACAGCCCTTTCCCAAAGCAGGCCTTCTTGCCTGGGGACTTGATTGCCTTTGTAGGACTGATGTTAGCCACAAGATTAGAAATTACGTTTTAGGAGTAGTTTCTAATATGCAGCTGGAGGCTACAATATTCTGACCCTCCCTAAACTGCTCCTAAGATCAGTGCTTGAGATATTTTGCAGAACCTGCACTTGATGGATCAGCTGGCACCACCCAGATCAATAAACTGGCTCATCAGATCTTGTGGCCCCTCACCCAGGAACTGATAAGGGCAAGAAGACCGCTTTGACTCCCTATGATTTCATCTCTGACCAATCAGCACTCCTGGCTCACTGGCTTCCCCCCACCCAAGTTATCCTTGAAAACTCTGATCCCTGAATGCTTCAATGCTCAAGGAGATGGATTTGAGTAATAATAAAACTCTAGTCTCCTGCACAGCCAGCTCTGTGTAAATTACTCTTTCTCTATTGCAATTCCCCCATCTCGATAGGCTCTGTCTAGGCAGCGGGCAAGGTGAACCCCTTGGGTGGTTGCAAGCCGAGTCGCCCAACACCCTCTTCCAAATGCACAGCTGTTGCTTTGCAGGCTGCAAGGCTCCTGCCAGCCAGGCCCCCGTGAAGGCAGGGCCGGGCACCTTGGCCCCCACCAGTCTCCCAGGTGTAAATGTTTTGCCAGCCTGGAGACCTTTCAAGATGTGTGTCCTCACTTAAACAAAGACACGCCAATTGTAACTTTAGATCTGCAACTTAAGTCTGAAACTACCTCTGCAAGAATTAGAACTGAGAAAATTATGACAGTGAAAGAGATCTAACCTGACTCCATCTTGCTTCTAACCTCCAAGCTGTCCTTGTCCATTCCTGGTCGTAGAATAGTTTAACTTTGAAAGAAAGATAACAGCCCTTTCCCAAAACAAACCCCCTTCTCTTTTTTTATTATTATTATACTTTAAGTTCTGGGGTACATGTGCAGAACGTGCAGGTTTGTTACATAGGTATACACATGCCACGGTGGTTTGCGACACCCATCAACCCGTCATCTACATTAGGTATTTCTCCTAATGCTATCCCCCAGCCCCCCCCGACAGACCCCCACGTGTGATGTTCCTCTCCCTGTGTCCATGTGTTCTCATTGTTCAACTCCCACTTATGAGTGAGAACATGCGGTGTTTGGTTTTCTGTTCTTGTGATAGTTTGCTGAGAATGATGCAAACCCTCTTCTTGCTGGGGACTAGATGGCCTTTGGAGGACTAACAAATTAGCCATGAGATTAGAAATTATGGTTTAGGAGTCATGCAGCTAAAGGCCACAAGATTCTAAACCTCCTCAATTACTCCTAGGGATAATATCACTATTGTAAAACCTAAGATTGGTGCTTGAGACATTTTTCAGTCCCTTCACTCAATGGGTCGGCTGGTGCAACCCAGATGGATAAACTGGCTCATCTGGTCTTGTGACCCCCACTTAGGAACTGACTCAGCGCAAGAAGACAGCTTGGATTCCCTGATTTCATCTCCAATCCTACCAATCAGCACTCCCCACTTCTCAACGCCCCCCCACCCACTAAATTATCCTTCAAACTCCAATCCTCAAATTTTGGGGGACACTGATTTGAGCAATAATAAAACTCCACTGGGCATGGTGGCTCATGCCTGTAATCCCAGCACTTTGGGAGGCTGAGGCAGGCAGATCACCTGAGGTCGGGAGTTTGAGACCAGCCTGACCAACATGGAGAAAGCCCGTCTCTACTAAAAATACAAAATTAGCTGGGTGTGGTGGTACATGCCTGTAATCCCAGCTACTTGGGGGCTGAGGCAGGAGACTCTCTTGAACCCAGGAGTGGGAGGTTGCAGTGAGCCAAGATCGCGCCACTGCACTCCAGCCTGGGCAACAAGAGCAAAACTCCATCTAAAAAAAAAAAAAAAAACCTCTGGTCTCCCATACAGCCGGCTCTGCGTGAATTAAATTCTTTCTCTATTGCAATTTCCTATCTAGATAAATCATCTCTGTCTGAGCAGCCGGCAAGGAGAACCTGTTGGGCGGTTACAAGTCCAGCTCATAAAAACTAAGGTCTAAAACGAAAGACTGTTCAACTTCACACTGATAATGACCAAGAAAACCTTGGTCACCCCATGCAGATGAGGCCTCCAGGTAGCAGGCTTCAGAGAGAATCGACTGTAAATGCTTCTTACCAGACTTAAAGAAGCCTGTTCCATCCGTGATTCCAAAAGGGAGGAGGGTATCATGAGGCATGTCCATCTCCCTCTTCCCATCATGTCCTGAACTACTTCTTCAGGTTAAGTTTGGAATGCCCTTGGCCAAGGAGGAGTGGTCCATTCAGATGGTTGGGGGTCTTACAATTTTATTTTTGGTTTACATCCTCCCCTTGTGGCCAACATTTGTCAGAGGCAACACCAGTGGCCACCAAGCTTTTGTTTTGTTCCATAGCATTGCCAGGGTGACATGGCTGCCTGCCCTGGATCTGTCCTGTCTCTCAGCGGGACACCCTATGGCCAAGAGACTTAGAGTCAAAAGACTTGTAGCCAATTAAAATGTTCTAGGCCAAATGGGAATGGACACAGACAAGCATTCATTAACCCTTAAAAATTTAAGTAAAAAGCCAACAAACAAAAAGCCAAGGGCGAGGTTACAAACCTGACTGAGCTACTGTAATCTTGGTTTTAGTTACAGACTTATAGCAATTAGCTATACAGAACATAAGCATTGTTAAAACCTTTTAAGCTAAGGATTTTTAGAGACTTTTGTTGTGCTGCAATGCTTTTTATTGTCCTTTAGTAATTTGTCCTAAAATGGCTAATAAAATTTTTTATTTTTATTTTTTTGAGACGAAGTCTCGCTCTTGTCCCCCAGGCTAGAATGCAATGGCGCGATCTCAGCTCACTGCAACCTCCGCCTCCAGGGTTCAAGCAATTCTCCTGCCTCAGCCTCCTGACTGGCTGGGACTGCAGGCACCTCCCACCACGCCTGGCTAATTTTTGTATTTTTGGTAGACACGGGGTTTCACCATGTTGGCCAGGCTGGTCTCGAACTCCTGACCTTGTGATCTGCCCACCTTGGCCTCCCAAAGTGCTAGGATTACAGGCGTGAGCCACCATGCCCAGCCGGTCTGAACTAATTCTCTCCCTCAAAACCAGCGCTTACAGGCCGGGCGCGGTGGCTCATGCCTGTAATCCCAACACTTTGAGAGGCCAAGGCGGGCGGATCACAGGGTCAGGAATTCAAGACTAGCCTGGCCAACATGGTAAAACCCCGTCTCTACCAAAAATACAAACATTAGCCAGGCATGGTGGCAGGCACCTGCAATCCCAGCTACTCAGGAGGCTGAGGCAGGAGAATCGCTTGAAACCAGGAGGCAGAGGTTGCAGTGAGCCAAAATCACACCACTGCACTCCAGACAACAAGAGCAAAACTCCATCTAAGAAAAAAAAAAACAGCCCTTAGAATCTCAGGCGCCCAGCTCTTCTGCTATGGTCCCTGGCCCTAGAGGGAGGGTGCCTGTGTAGGGTTAGCAGGGCACTGGCCATGAAAACAGATCAGGCACAGTGGAATGCCCGAGTGCCAATGCCACATCTTTTTAGAATTCCGTGATTCTGGTTTCCTTGGAAGTAAAACAAGAAGAGATAAATAACATTAATAATTTGATAATCAGAATAGTATTTGTGTGTCAGAACAGAAGAAAGAACCTATTCTGCTGGGGCACCAACTATAAATATGAATCAAAATTGTAGCCTGGTGCTCTTTAGAGGATTCTTGCAGCCCAGAGATGATTCATGATTCAATCTGCACTCAAAAACAGAAGTCAGGACAGTCATCAGTAACAAGTGTTACACTTTTCCTTTGACTCAGTTTCTCTCTAGCCCTCCTTTTCTAATAAAGAGACATTATAATAAGATCAACTTGTGTGGAAAATACGTTTTAGTCTTATTATAGTTGGCCTGATGATTTGCATAAAGTGCAGCAAGAACCAATTGACTATATACACTCTTCTTAAGTTGGCTTTGCTAGAACTTTACCTAAAAATATGTTATTCTTTTTTTTTGAGACAGAGTTTTGCTCTTGTCACCCAGGCTGGACTACAATGGTGCAATTTCAGCTCACTGCAACCTCCGCCTCCTAGGTTCAAGCAATTCTCCTTCTTGCTGGGATTACAGGCACCAGCCACCACCACACCCAGCTAATTTTTGTACTTTTTGTAGAGATGGGGTTTCGTCATGTTGCCCAGGCTGGTCTTGAACTCCTGAGCTCAAGCAGTTCATCTGCCTGGGCCTCCCAAAGTGCTGTGATTACAGGCATGAACCACTGCGCCCAGCCAAAAATATGTTATTCTAATCAAAGCCCTGATAAAATAACCAGTGTCTCCAATTATCCTGTTTCAAAAGAAAAGACTCTTACTAAATGTATGTGAATAACTATATTATCATAAAATCACAAATAATTTGCAAATTTAGTCAAACTCAGAAAGGTAAATTTGCTCACAAAACCCAATTGCTCTAAACTATAAATAACTCAAAAGAAAAAGATTTCCTTGACTCTTCTTTAACTAGAGCAGCAGACTGCCAAACTAGATGTCATTTGTTCCTCTTGAAACTGTCATTCACGACCAAGCAGCTCGTTAGATGAGAGCTATTTCTCAGGCTCCGTAGACTCCAGCAGCTCCTCATAAAGTTAGAGTCCTGGGGAAAAAGAGGTTCCCTACTTAAAAGCATCTCCTCCTTGCTGCCCCAGGCAACAAGATCCTATGTAAACTATTTTTATTTTATTATGGAACTCTTTTTTTGGCACCATATTCCTATTAGCATAGGGATAGCTTCAGTTAACATTCCAAAGCAAGCGGAAATTCTCTGGTCCAAAGTCCCAGTAGTCATCATTGGGAAGGCCCACAGGTTTCTGCCATAAGCCCCAGTAAATGCTCCACAGAGGGCTATGAAGTGGAGGATTTGTCCCGAGCAACATTCCAGCTTCTACCCTACATTCTGTGGGCTCAGGCAGTCTTACTAGTTCCCATTTAACATTTACAATTGATAGCACTGGCTAATGCCACCACACCAGCTGCAGCAGGGAGGCCTGGCTGGGGCTGCACACTGCGTGGAGCTGGTTGGAGCCACATCCCTTCTGAGTTGGGACGGGAGCTCCCTGGGTGTTCCTGCAGCCTTCCAAACTGTGGCTGTGGATCTTTGCCTCCCTGTGCTTTTGCCTGGGAGTGGCCAGAAACAGGCAGGATCTGCCCTGCTAGGTGCAGCTGCAGCAGCTGGACGTGCAACTGTAGACCTGGGCCTCCCACTTCCTGGAGCAGGCAGGAGCTGGGAACAAGAGCCCTGGGCCCTTCCTAGTTGGTGGGGCGGGAGCTCCCAGGTGCAGCTGTGGCCACTCTCCCAGGTGCAGGACCCAGGTGTCTCTGTAGCCTGCACCTTCAGGGGCCCCAGAAAGGATCTCCCCTCCCCACTCCCCAGCTCTGCAGGCTCAGGGGTGTCTACTCCCACTGCCTGGCCTCTCTCTGCTCCTAGCGCCTGCTCCAATCTCTGAGCAGGGGTTGGGGCCATGAATGGCAGTGGGAGGCAGATTGATTCCTGGGCAAAAGGGCCAGGCCCCCAGTAAGGCCCCACCTCTAGGCCAGGGAGGGCCTGAAGGCTGGAGGCCAGGCTGCAGTCCTACAGACCAGAGTGGGGGCTCATGATGCCTCTTTTGGGCTGCCCTTGGCCACCCATGGACCAATCAGGATGCACTTCCTCCCCTCTGAGGTCCATAAAAGCCCTGGGCTCAGCCAGAGCAGGGCAGAGGACAGCCAGAGGAGAAAGAGGAGTACCCTCTCTGTTGAGAGCTGCAGAGAGACAACCTGACAGCAGAGAGGAGCCACCCTCTCCAGAGCCTCCTCTCCGCTGAGAGCTGCAGACATCAGGACGACCAGCTGCAGAGCGGAGCTGCCTTCTCCAGGGCCTCCTCGCTGTGAGAACTAAAGACTCCACAAATGACCTGCCTACAGAGAGGAGCTATCCACTGTGGGTCTCCTCCAAGCTGTTGTAACACTCAATAACGCTCATGTTAGTGTTGTTCACCCTTCACTTGTCTGTGTACCTCATTCTTCCCAGATGCAGGAAAAGATCTTGAGCAAAGGCACAGCAACCACAGAGGTTTCCAGCCAGAAAATGAAACCCCCAAAGATCCTGTAACACAATTAACGTTTCTCAAAGGGCAGACTGACATGCCTTCAGTTTGATAGTTCTAGATAGGGAAAACATTCCTCAGTCAGATACAATATCTATTTTCATATGACATTTAGGTAAGAGTCACAACTACATTTCATAAAACTTATTTAAACATCTCAAATTTCATAGTCCTATCAATCTGTACATGTTTATGTTCCCATCCCAGGAACTTTTCTTCTCTACCCACAGACCATTTTACCTTTTCTAGTAAAAAGGGATTTGGGTTCCCAACAGGGAGCTGAGCCAAGGGACTCAGGCCTTTTGTCAATCTTTATCTTAATGTGCCTCAATGTAAGCTTTCTCATTATAACCTTTGCCTTTTGATTTCTCTTAAAATTTCTCCAATCTGGGGCAAATACAGAAGACTTGTGTGGGCCCCTTTAATGCTGGGGGAACAGCAGGGGTTCCCTTTGGTCCACCCAATTTTTTTTTTTTTGAAACGGAGTCTCACTCTGTTGCCCAGGCTGGAGTGCAGTGGCGCAATCTCAGCTTACTGCAAGCTCTGCCTCGCGATTCACGCCATTCTCCTGCCTCAGCCTCCCAAGTAGCTGGGACTACAGGCGCCTGCCACCATGCCTGGCTAATTTTTTGTATTTTTAGTAGAGATGGGGTTTCACCGTGTTAGCCAGAATGGTCTCGCTCTCCTGACCTCGTGATCCGCCCGCCTCGGCCTCCCAAAGTGCTGGGATTACAGGCGTGAGTCACCGCGCCCGGCCTGGTCCACCCAATTTTTGATGGTGTTGTAAAGACCTTTGTTTAACCCCATCAGTTTTCATTTTATTTTACTTCATTTCTTAAAAACCATCTAAAGATTCCCACCACCCTTCTGGGGCGAGTCCTTTAACTCCCTTTTGCCTTTGCCATTTTGCTTTTTTGGTAATTGCCCTAATGTTTAATTAAGCATCAGTAAGACTCATGGGGGACAGAAAATTTGATGAGACTTCTCAAACAGTAATATCACGCAAGGTGCCCATGTAAAATGGGCCCTTTTACCCTCAATATTTACCATGACCTGGATAATAGACATATTCAGGGGGAGAATATCCCAGTCATCATAAATCCAGTCCCACATGGTTTACATATAAAGCATATCAGCTGCTTCATCTGGGGTGCTCCACTCAGCATTTTATAGGGAGAGTTGAGCAGTTCCCTTCTCAGGGCAAACAGACCTTATAGTGGCAATTATCCAGTCCACTAGGCTGCTCATTCTCTTGGGAATAACCTCTTGTGCAATTGGATCACATATATCCCTCAGGGATTGTTTAATAGTGAGCTGTGGGTCCTACATCAACCCAATCATGCTCTTTCATTCTGTAGCATTTGAAGATACTGTCCATATCTGTCTTTAAAACTAAAGATACTGTCCATTGGATACTGTCCAATAAAGTAGTTATTTTTACAATCTATTATAATATAGGTTTCTCAAGAAGCTGATGACACCAATCTAAAAATGGAACAATTCCTTTACATCATACCCTCTAGTTTTAATAGTTACTTGATTTTTGCCTTTCCCCCACACTGACTGTCTTCTTAGTAACCACAGGTCTCAGAAGTCACTTTTTTGCCTTGGCTTAATTTTTCCTTTTGTGGGTAGCTCTGAGGCTAGTGACTGAGCTGAGACAGATCCACATTGGAGCATGGCCCAGTGTTAAGGCCCAATCCAGCACTCTTTTACTTTCATTTTAGCTATTACAGAAAACAATAACCAAGGGATGAATATTTTGCTTTTTATTATTTTAAATTTCCCTTATGCATTCAGTGAGCTAACTGCCTGGGAGTATGAGTATGATCTGTCTCAGAATCCCACTGGTAGCTTTTACCTTCAGGAACAGAATGTAGCCCAGCTGCAGCTCCTTAAGAAGGGTGACGACATGGCCACCCAGGAGGCAAAGATTTCTCATTCTGTGCCTTTTTTTTCTGTATCCATTTAGTTTAATCTATATAATTTTTTCTTTATTTTAAAGGAAATGCTAAAGAGTTTAAGGTTTAAGAGTCACTATTTAAAGTGACTTTTAAATAGTCTCTAAACTAGAAAAAAATGCATTTTCTTTAGCAAAAACCACATCCTTGTGTTTGTATAAACCACCAGAAACACCATTTACTCTCCTACTTTTTTAATTCTTAGTAACCCAAATTCCAAGTGAAAAAAACTGAGGTTACTTAATTTAACATTACATGACTTTAAGATTTAAGACAGAATTTTGAGATTAAATTTACCAAATTAATCTTACGAAATATTACTAAAGTGATGTGAACCAAAAGGCATCAGAGCTAGCTTTTATGAGTCTGATAAGCACTAACTTTTCTTTAAGTCAATTAAAGTCTGATAAGCACTTACTTTTCTTTAAGTCAATTAATAAGAACTCTTTCACATAGTTTGGTAGTGAACTATCACTTCCACATGACACATAGAAACATACAGATATTACAGACATACAGACAAAGGAAGATCCAAAAGATTTTTTCATTTTCCTGTTTTCAAATATTCTCTCCTTTACCTTAGATTATTAATTTTTAAAAAGCCAACAAAAGGTAAAGTAGCCAACAAAAGGAGAAGGAGAGAGTTACCATCCCAGGCCTTCTCAAAAGAGCTGAAGCAGCAGGGTACAGTAGAAGTTGTACTTCTGAGCTATCAATCTGAAGAATATTTCAAAAAGAAACAGATTATAGAATTTAAAAATTAAGGACTTCTTGCATTAAGAGTAATTCAATATTTTCAAAAAATCTTGTTCTAACCAATTCTTTAGTTTTGTATTATGTATTTTAATGAGTCCAATTTCTGTAAAGACTATTATAATTTATTTTTAATTACAGCCAATTTAATTAACTTTAAAAAATTCCTTTTTTTACTAACAGTATTACTACTTACATAGACAATTCCCAACATGCTTGAACTTTATGGTTTGTCTTAAATATCCCTCTTTCTTGAACAACCATTTTATTTTAGGACAAAAATTCACCATATAAGATTCTCTTTCATAAAAAATTTCTTTTATCTTCTTACCAAAAAAAATCATCTTTATATCTATAACTTTCTTTACAACTCTCTTATTTCTTGGTTCCTTTTACCTTGTTTTATTTTATTTATTTATTTGTTTTTGAAATGGAGTTTTGCTCTGCTGCCCAGGCTGGAGTGCAGTGGTGCAATCTCAGCTCACTACAACTTCTGCTTCCCAGGTTCAAGCGATTCTCCTGCCTCAGCCTCCCAAGTAGCTGGGACTACAGGTGCGCACCACCATGCCCAGCTAATTTTTGTATTTTTGTACAGATGGGGTTTTACTATGTTGCCCAGGCTAGTCTCGAACTCCTAGTCTCAAGTGATCTGCCTGCCGTGGCCTCCCAGAGTGCTGGAAATACAGGCATAAGCCACCATGCCCAGCCTACGTGGTTTTATATGTAACCTTTAAATAACCTTTGAAGTAGACAAAAAATATTCACCATTTAATAAGAACACATTTTTAAATGTTTTTCTATAATTTTTAAATTGGAAATCCTAGGCATTTAATTAATATTTATTATTTAATATAACCTTAGATTCTAAATTATATGACAAGTTTGTTTACAAGCATTTGTTCTGTTACATTTACCTGATTAATTTATTTAATAGTTTATCTAGATTGCTTATGAAAACTGTGATAGTCATCATTTAAAGTTATTTCCCTGTCAACCATCTTTATAGTCTATGAATTGCAGGCATTTACCTAAGTAATAAAGTTAAGGTTAAGTATACGGGCATTTTACCAGTAACTTGAGATTTAGCTGTTTTCATTAAACCAACAATATTAAATGTCTTATTTATCAAAAATTACGCAAGCAACAATTATTCTATTTTAGGCCTGATTTAGAGTTTTATAACCCTTACGGCAAATTTTGACACCTTATAGTATTCTGCACGGTTAAGTATGAAACCACTTGATCAATAAATGCAAACAAAAATGTTGCCAGTTCCTCCATTTCTAACATTACTTTACCAATAATTTTAAAGCCAACTTATTGATTACAGATTTTACTTAAGTCATGTGAACTTGAGAAGCATTTGGGCTATTTAATTTATGAGTACTCTTTACCTTTAAACCAATTTGGTATCTTGTGGCCAAAAATACACAACACACTCACCATACAAAAAAAAATCCTATAGCTTTTACTTCAGAACTCTAGCCATGAGATATTAATACAAACTTACTGGTTTGTAAAACAACAACAACAATAAACCAGTTGGATCCAAACAGTGATTTTTATCTCAGAAGAAAAGTAACAGCAGATTTAAAGCAAGCAGAAAAGAAAATAGAGAAAGAGAGAATTATTCATGTTAACTTTGGAATGCCCTTGGCCAAGAGGAGAGGTCCATCTAGATGGTTGGGGGGCCCTAGAATTTTATTTTTGGTTTACACAAGCTGATCTTCCCAGGTGCAGAACAAAGATAGAACGAGAGCAATTAGACTGGGCACAGTGGCTCACGCCTGCAATCCCAACACTTTGAGAGACTGAGGCAGGTGGATCACCTGAGGTCGGGAGTTCGAGACCAGCCTGACCAACATGGAGAAACCCCATCTCCACTAAAAATACAAAATTAGCTGGGTGTGGTGGTGCATGCCTGTAATCCCAGCTACTCGAGAGGCTGAGGCAGGAGAATCGCTTGAACCTGGAGGTGGAGGTTGTGGTGAGCCAAGATTGCACCATTGCACTCCAGCCTGGGCAACAAGAGCGAAACTCCATCTCAAAAAAAAAGAAAAAAAATGAGAGCAATTTTTCCTCCACCTCCCCAGAGAGGATTGCATAATTGATTCTTCCTTTACTCCATTTTTTCTTAAAACTTTCACTTTATCTTGTGTAAAATGTAGATTTACTAGCACTAAATGAAGTCTCACAAGAACGTGACCATTTTCCTTATCACCCACCCACCCCAATTCCCACGCGCTCTCCCCCTTTAAGGAAATGAGTAAACATGAGACCTCCTGAAAACCTCCTCAGGGTCAGTAGTGACATCTGCACCGATGACCCACGTTTTTCCCAAAGGTGCCCTCCAGGTCTGGCTTAGTAAACCAGACTGAGATTCTTGCATTTTGGTTAACGAACACAAGAGAGGAGAGGAAAGAAACGTTAAGACAAGTATTCCATATCTCAAATGTATTTCCCTTTGTGAAAGGAAAATCTCAGGACCCCAAACTCACTTGGGAACTGAGTCAGGCGAAAACTTCCTGCAAGGTGAAAGAAAAACGAGAGAGAGAGGAGAGAGACTGCCTTCCTTTTGTTCCCAAACCGATGGCTGTAATTCACATGCTTACTTTATTTCATGCAAAATATAGATCCATTGAGCTGGAGAAGAATGCATGATTGACTTTCCTGCAATTCCTTTCTTTCCACATGTAAAGTAGATTCACACTCACCGGTGCCTCACAGGAATGTAACCACTGCCTCACTGCCTACCCTCTCTCCTTTTTCCTTCCTTTTTTCTTCCCCTCCTGCTTGCACATTCCCCTTTAAATATTAAAGTTCCCAAAACCCTCTTTGGAAAAAGCACAGGACACAGATCCTACTGTAACTTGTGTCTCTTTTTCCCTGGCTTGTCTTCAACCTCAGCAAAATAAATCCCTAAATCTACTGAGATATGCCTCTGTCACGTTTTAGTTTGTAATTTACAGCTTAAACATAAAAGCCAATCTTGGCTGGGCACGGTGGCTCAGCCTATAATCCCAGTACTTTGGGAGGCTGAGGTGGGCAGATCACTTGAGGTCAGGAGTTTGTGACCAGCCTGACCAACATAGCAAAACCTCATCTCTACAAAAAATACAAAAATGAGGCTGGGTGCGGTGGCTCACACCTGTAATCCTAGCACTTCAGGAGGCCAAGGTGGGCAGATCACTTGAGGTCAGGAGTTCGTGACCAGCCTGGCCAACATGGCAAAACCCCGTCTCTACTAAAAATACAAAAAAAATTAGGCGTTGTGGTGGGTGTCTGTAATCCCTGCTACTCAGGTGGCTGAGGCAGGAGAATTGCTTGAACCTGAGAGGTGGAGGTTGCAGTGAGCTGATATCATGCCACTGAACTCCAACCTGGGCAACAAGAGCGAAACTCCATCTCGAAAAACAAAAAAAAACTGGCCGGGCATGGTGGCACACACCTCTAGTCCCAGCTACCCAGGAGTTTGAGGTGGGAGAATCACTTGAACCCGGGAGGTGGACGCTGCAGTAAGCTGAGATTGTGCCACTGCACTCCAGCCTGGGCAACAGAGCAAGACTCCATCTCAAAAACAAACAAACAAAAAAAG
Organism: Homo sapiens; assembly: GCF_000001405.40. Lineage (NCBI taxonomy): Eukaryota > Metazoa > Chordata > Mammalia > Primates > Hominidae > Homo > Homo sapiens. The sequence goes on along the minus strand of NC_000007.14, from coordinate 158,843,090 downwards.
CCAATCTTCAGCAAGGTGGAGCGGAGGTCCTGTTGATACTTAGCTGTTTATGTAATCTGCATTTGCTCCAGTATGTGGATGTTACTTAGAGAAGATTCCACTTACTGTCCTCACAGAGAGTAGAATCTCAAATCCTGTGTTAAGGAGCATCTGAGTGGACATCTACTAATACTCTGTGCTTTGATTTCATGGTCTTTCTGTAGACAGAAAATACAGATACACAACATGGTGTCTGCTTTGCAGACACTATTTTAACTCACATACTATTATGAATCAGCTTACAGTTTTATATCTTTCTACTTGCTTCAGACACAAAGGCCAATAACTCAGCTCTTTGCCTTACAGAAATTAAGAGCAGAATCAATAAACCTTTCTCATTTCCTGCATTCGGGTGTCAGACACGTCACTATGACCTTCTTCACTTCCACTCATCAGCACTTGACATGAGCGAAAAGGAAGACAGGAAAGGTGTCTGTGACAGCTATCATTTATTTAGTGACTGCTCCAAGCAAGGCACCAAACTCAGTGCGGGCCATTGGTAATTCATTTAATTATCATGCCATAAGTGTATGAGGAGACTGCAGGCCAGAAAGGCTAATTAGCTTGCCCAAGGTCACTCAGAGAAGCAGGTGGACGGACTGAGGCTAAAGCCCACCTTCCTAACCAGGTCACACTATGTCGGCTGAGGAAACGGTGACACTAGAAGAGCTGCCTACTCTTTGTTGAATGTCAGGTTGAATGTGAGGAATAAAACTGCCAGCCCCGGCTGGGCGTGGTGGCTCATGCCTGTAATGCCAGCACTTTGGGAGGCTGAGGCAGGTGGATCACAAGGTCAGGAGTTTGAAACCAGCCTGACCAATATGGTGAAACCCCATCTCTACTAAAAATACAAAAATTAGCCGGGCATGGTGGCGGGTGCCTGCAGTCCCAGCTACTCAGGAGGCTGAGGCAGGAGAATCGCTTGAATCCTGGAGGCGGAGCTTGCAGTGAGCTGGGATGGTGCCACTGCGCTCCAGCCTGGGCAAGACAGCAAGACTCCGTCTCAAAACAAACAAACAAACAAAATACCTTGCCAGCCACAGGATCTGGAAATGTCACACACGACGTGGATGCCCCAGGCCTAGCTCTTAAGATCCGCATCCTGAGCTTCCACCGGCAGTCACAAGCTCCCATCAGAGGACTTCTGAATTATACCTTAAATCTGCCCATTCTTCCCCACTCCAGCAGACAGAACCATCTAAAATGTGAACCTCACGTCAACCTCACTTCTGCGGCACTCCCTCATTGCCAAATAGAGCAACCTAGAGTTTCCCAAAGGCGCCACATCCACAGAGCTTTGCGACGCTGTCTTCTTTTTCACTGTGCTCCACCATATTTGCTGAATAAATGGATTTATGACTAGAAAAGGACCCAAAACAATTATTTTCTGAATAGCTCATTTCCCAATCAGTTACATTCTATCTTATAATATTTCTTCCATCATTTTTATTTATTCACTAGGTGACATACAGAGTTCATTTGATACCCTAGGAAGTGACAGAATGCTAGAAATAGAAAACTAAATAAAATACTATCTGGGGCCGGGCGTGGTGGCTTACGCCTGTAATCCCAGTGCTTTGGAAGGCTGAGGCAGGCGAATCACCTGAGGTCAGGAGTTTGAGACTAGCCTGACCAACACGGTGAAACCTCGTCTCTACCAAAACCACAAAAATTATCTGGGCATGGTAGCACACACCCTGTAATCCCAGCTACTCAGGAGGCTGAGTGAGGTGGGGAGAATTGCTTGAACCCGGGAGGTGGAGGTTGCAGTGAGCTGAGATTGCACCACTGCACTCCAGCCTGGGTGACAGTGCAAGACTCTGTCTAAAATATATATATATATATATATATATATATATATATATATATATATATATATATATATATATATATTTGCAGACCTACAATCTATGGTACATGGCATGTGTTTTGTGACTGGGAGTTGGGGGACAGTTGGAGATGAGGCTGAAAAGTAGGCATGATCCCATTTGTAAAGGGCCTTGAATGTTGTGATACAAAGATTAAAATTTAAAGTGTAAGTCACTGAAATGGGAAAGCATGCTGTAATTGCATGTTGCAGGATGGGCTGGTGGAGAGGGAGTGGAACCCAGGGACAGTCAGGAGGCTTGTGGCCTCCGTGGGCATTGCTCTCTGCTCCAGCCAGTGGGCTGGCCGTGGTTCCTGATGAAGCACGGAGCTCTCTCTGGCCACACGGCCCCAGCACAGGCTCTTGTCGTCCTGGAGCAGGCTTCCCTGCAGTTCACAACAGGCCGAGAGGCCCACTAGTCTCTGGAGGGTCAGCCCAGCACCACTCCACTGAAAACCTCCCCCACTGGGGCCCATATCTGATTCGTGTGTAAATATTCTCCCAGATCCTCTTTTGTATAATGTTAAACATTAATTTCCATCTCCCTAACTAGACTATAAACTAGTTTATAATTGCGTGATTTATAATTTATGATAGAAACAATCAAAACCATTTTTTTAGACGGAGTCTTGCTCTGTCACCCAGGGTGAAGTGCAGTGGCATGATCTCAGCTCACTGCAACCTCCGCCTCCTGGGTTCAAGCAATTCTCCTGCCTCAGCCTCCCGAGTAGCTGGGATTACAGGTGCCCACCACCATGGCCAGCTAAGTTTTGTATTTTTCCTAGAGACAGGGTTTCTGCCATGTTGGCCAGGCTGGTCTTGAACTCCCGACTTCGACGGATCCACCTGCCTTGGCCTCCCAAAGTGCTGGGATTATAGGCATGGGCACCAAGCCCGGCCAAAACCATTTTTTCTTAATTTCTGATTTTTTTTTTTGTAGACAATGTCTCACTTTGTTGCCCGGGCTGGTCTCGATCCTCCCACTTCAGCCTCCCAAAGTGCTGGGACTGCGCCTGGCCAAAAACCATTTTTTCACAGTAGCAAGCAACTTTGTCACAAAAGTCAACCACCTCTGGGTGAAGTGGCTCACACCTGTAACCCCAGCACTTTGGGAAGCTGAGGCAGGAGGATTGCTTGAGCCCAAGAGTTTGAGACCAGCCTGGACGACACAGTAAGACCAATATCCACTAAATTTTTTTTTTTCAATTAGCCGGGTGTGGTGAGATGTGCCTGTAGTTCAGCTGCTCAGGATGAGGCAAGAGGATCAACCCAAGAGGCTGGGGCTGCCGCGAGACAAGATGATGGAGGCTGGGGCTGCACTCCAGCCTGGGTGATAGAGCGAGACCTCATCTCTTTTTTTTTTTTGAGACGGAGTCTCATTCTGTCCCCCAGGCTGGAGTGCAGTATCACTATCTTGGCTCACTGCAAGCTCCGCCTCCCGGGTTCACGCCATTCTCCTGCCTCAGCCTCCCGAGTAGCTGGGACTACAGGCGCCCGCCACCACGCCCTGCTAATTTTTTTGTATTTTTAGTAGAGACGGGGTTTCACCGTGTCAGCCAGGATGGTCTCGATCTCCTGACCTCGTGATCCACCCGCCTCGGCCTCCCAAAGTGCTGGGATTACAGGCGTGAACCACCGTGCCCAGCCAGAGACCCCATCTCTTTAAAAAACAAAAAAAGCAATCACCTTCCTTTCCCATCCTCTTTAGGTTTTGCAGTCAGGTGTTACGGAGTCACATTAGCATCCTCTTTAGGTTTTGCAGTCAGGTGTTACGGAGTCACATTAGCATCCTCTTTAGGTTTTGCAGTCAGGTGTTACGGAGTCATATTAGCATCCTCTTTAGGTTTTGCAGTCAGGTGTTACGGAGTTACATTAGCATCCTCTTTAGGTTTTGCAGTCAGCTGTTATGGAGTCATATTAGCATCCTCTTTAGGTTTTGCAGTCAGGTGTTACGGAGTCACATTAGCATCCTCTTTAGGTTTTGCAGTCAGGTGTTACGGAGTCACATTAGCATCCTCTTTAGGTTTTGCAGTCAGGTGTTACGGAGTCACATTAGCATCCTCTTTAGGTTTTGCAGTCAGGTGTTACGGAGTCACATTAGCATCCTCTTTAGGTTTTGCAGTCAGGTGTTACGGAGTCACATTAGCATCCTCTTTAGGTTTTGCAGTCAGGTGTTACGGAGTCACATTAGCATCCTCTTTAGGTTTTGCAGTCAGGTGTTACGGAGTCACATTAGCATCCTCTTTAGGTTTTGCAGTCAGGTGTTACGGAGTCACATTAGCATCCTCTTTAGGTTTTGCAGTCAGGTGTTACGGAGTCACATTAGCATCCTCTTTAGGTTTTGCAGTCAGGTGTTATGGAGTCATATTAGCATCCTCTTTAGGTTTTGCAGTCAGGTGTTATGGAGTCATATTAGCATCCTCTTTAGGTTTTGCAGTCAGGTGTTATGGAGTCATATTAGCATCCTCTTTAGGTTTTGCAGTCAGGTGTTATGGAGTTACATTAGCATCCTCTTTAGGTTTTGCAGTCAGCTGTTATGGAGTCATATTAGCATCCTCTTTAGGTTTTGCAGTCAGGTGTTATGGAGTCATATTAGCATAATGTCTGTATGCCCAGTATTACACAAAGCCTACCTACAATGTTAACACAAGCAAGATAATTATACAAAGTGGCAGGATCTCGAATTGGCCTAACAGTGGCAGTGGAGTCCAGTTGCCTGAGTCCGTAACCCCAATGGCTTCTCAGTAGCTGTGTGAATTAGGGCAATTTGTTTTACTACATTGTACTTCCATTTCCTCTTCTATAAAAATGGGAGCCACCCTGTAGAGCAACTGTGAAGATTAAATAAGTAATTATGTAAGGAATCCAGCATGGTGCCTAGTGCAAACCAAGCACTCAGTAAATGTTACTGACATGGTTGGGATGTGTGTCCCTGCCCAAATCCATGTTGAATTGCAATCCCCAGGGCTGGAGGTGGGGCCTGGTGGGCGGTGACTGGCTCACAGGGCAGTTTCTCCTGAATCATTTCGCACCGTTCCCTTGGTACTGTGTCAGGACAGTGCATTCTCGTGAGACCTGGTTGTTTAAAAGTGTGGTGCTCCTTCCCCCTCTCTCTAGGTCCTGCTCCTCCTGCCAATAAGATGCCTGCTCCCACTCTCCCTTCTGCCATGACTGGAAGCTCCCTGAGGCCTCCCCAGAAGCAGAAGCCGCCATGCTTCCTGTACAGCCTGAGGAACTGTGAGCCAATTAAACCTCTTTTCTTTACACATTACCGAATCTCAGGTATTTCTTTATAGCCATGTGAGAATGTACTAATAGTTATTAATAATGTTATTATGGGGATTGTACATTATTACCTGAATTATAAGCAATTAGGAAAGATGAAAATGTGTGGAATGATAAAATTATAACCCTGTTTTATAAATTTATAAATTATTCACTATTACAGAAAAACCATAATTGAAGTACTTTTTGGAATTTCAGAGGGCCAGTCAATGCTCCTTTCTTCTCTCTACCAATTACGAGGTTGTGCAGGCAGAAGTCTCCCCTGTGGTCCATGCTCTTGATAGTCCTCTGTCCTTGAGGGTGGGCAGAACCTGTGAATGTGATGGGCTGTCACTCCTGTGATTAGTCTACTAATCAGTTGGCTTTGAATTAGTCAAAAGGGAGATGATCCTGGCGGGCCTGACCTTAAAAAACCAAAGCCAACATGTCAGAGAGAACACATGGGCTGTCCTGGAAGAAGACGAAGCAAACGCCATGTTGCGAGAGGCCTGTGGAGGGGCCACATGGAAGGCCAAGAACCAGCATGAAGTGGGACCTCAGTCCTACAGCCCTGTAGGGAACTGAACTCTGCCAATGCACTAAATGAGCTTAGGAGAGGATCCTGAGCTCCACGTGAGAACAAGCTCAGCCAACACCTTGGCTTCAACTTACGAGACCCAAGTGGAGGACCCATGCATTTGGCACTTGCTAAGCTATGCACAATATCATCTCCACTACTGATAAAAACTAAAATGGAGCTTGTGACTTGACATATGGCCTTAGTTGGGGACTCTAATATGTACCATCAAATTCAAACTTCCCCCAAGAATACGGGGGATCCCCCACATACGCACAGGGCAGCCGCTGGGGCTCCTGAGGACCAGCATCTCCAAAAAGAGACAAGCCCAGAGAAGCGGAGCTGTATTCAGTAGAAAAGGTGATCACAGTGACGAGCACAAGGTACAGAGATGACTGCTCGGGGGAGGAAGACTCCACAAAAGCCGTCCCAGAGGTGGACACCCACATGTTGGACTTTGAAATGTGAACAGGAGTTCACCAACAGGATTAGAAGAAGAATGGTCCAGGCACAGAGATGGTATGTTAGTTCGTTTGGTGTCACTGTAAAGACATAGCTGAGGCTGGGTAATTTATAAAGAGGTTTAATTGGCTCAGGGTTTTGCAGGCTGTACAAGCATAGTGCCAGCATCTGCTCAGCTTCTGGTGAGACCTCGGGTAGCTTTTACCCATGGCAGAAGGTAGAGTGGGATCAGGCATGTCACATAGTGAGGGGGGAGCAAGAGAGAGAAGGGAGAGGTCCTAGACTCTTTCAAACAACTTGATTTCATGTGAATTAACTGAGTGAGAACTCACTCATCACCGAGGGGATGGTGCAAAAGCATTCGTGAGGGACCCACCCCCATGATCCAGTTACCTCCCACCAGACCCCACCTCCAACACTGGGAATCACAGTTCAACATGAGATTTGGACAAACATCCAAACCGTATCCCATGATTTGAGAATAATTGGCAGCATGACACCACATAGGAAAGTGGCTGGAATAGCGGCCAGACAAGGCCGGTGACATTTTGAAAAGCTCTGTCACACTAAGGAGCTTTAACTTCATACCTTCAGAAAAGGAAATATTTTATAAGCAGGGAAGAGATTCAATCAAATATGCATTTTTAATTGGCCATTTGATGGAAATATGGGCTTTAAAAATAATTGTTTGAAATAATTTCAAACTTAGAGAACATATGCAAGTATAAAAAGCTCCCTTGTCTCTGGCTGGGTCACACCTGTAACCCCGGAACTTTGGGAGGTCAAGGTGGGAGGACTCTGCCTGAACCCAGGAGTACAAGACCAGCCTGGGCAACATAGCAAAACCTCTTTTTTTTTTTTTTGTTTGAGATGGTGTTTTGCTCTTATTGCCCAGGCTGGAGTGCAATGGCATGATCTTTGTTCACTGCAACCTCTGCCTCCCTGGTTCAAGTGGTTCTCCCGCCTCAGCCTCCTAAGTAGCTGGGATTACAGGAGCGCACCACCACACCCAGATAATTTTGTATTTTTGGTAGAAATGAGGTTTCAATATGTTGGCCAGGCTGGTCTTGAACTCCTGACCTCAGGTGATCCACCCACCTCGGCCTCACAAAGTGCGGGGATTACAGGCATGAGCCACCATGCCTGGCCACGAGACCCCATCTCAAAAAAAAAAAAGTAAACAAACAAACAAACAAAAATAAAACTCTCTTATCTCCACCACCCAGATTCCCACTGCTAGCCTCACACATTGCTCCACTTTTCTCTATCATCTATCTACACACAGACATTCATTATCATTAGTCTTTTTCTGAATCATTTAAGAGCTTCAAATATGATTATTTATCACTTCCTATCGTAGCCCATTTTGTGCTGCTATAGGGTCCAGCCCTACGGGGCTTAGTGGGTGTTCTCCCCGTGTGCAGAGACGAGATTGTAAGAAATAGACATAAGACAAAGAGATAAAGAGAAAACAGCTGGGCCCAGGGGACCACTACTACCAAGACGCGGAGACCGGTAGTGGCCCTGAATGGCCGGACACGCTGATATTTATTGCATACAAGATAAGGGGGCAGGGTAAGAAGGGTGAGTCGTCCAAGTGATTAATAAGGTCAAGCAAGTCACGTGATCATGGGACAGGGGGCCATTCCCTTTTAGGTAGCCGAACCAGAGAGGGAAGGCAGCAAACGTCAGCACTTTCCCCTATGCACTTATAAGAAAGATCAAAGACTTTAAGACTTTCACTATTTCTTCTACCGCTATCTACTACAAATTTCAAAGAGGAACCAGGAGTACAAAAGGAACATGAAAGTGGACGAGGAGCGTGAACACTGAAGCACAGCACCACAGGGAGGGGTTTAGGCCTCTGGATGACTGCAGGCAGGGCTGGATAATATCCAGCCTCCCACAAGAAGCTGGTGGAGCAGAGCGTTCCCTGACTCCTCCAAGGAAAGGGAGACTCCCTTTCACGTTCTGCTAAGTAATGGGTGCCTTCCCAGGCACTGGCATTGCCACTTGACCAAGGACCCCTCAAGCGGCCCTTAAGCAGGCGTGATAAGAGGGCTCACCTCTTGCCTTCTAGGTCACTTCTCACAATGTCCCTTCAGTACCTGACCCTATACCCGCCAGTTATTCCTGGTAATATGAGTAATACAACAAAGAGTAATAGTAAAAGCTAATGATTAATAATGTTTATACTAATGATTGATAATGCCCATGCTCATCTCTATATCTAATTTGTATTATAACTATTCTTATTCTATTTTCTTTATTATACTGAAACATTTTGTGCCTTCAGTCTCTTGCCTCGGCACCTAGGTAATCCTTCACCCACATGCTGCTATAACAAACTACCTGAGATACGGTAATTTATAAAGAACAGAAATTTATTTCTTACAATTCTGGAGACGGAGAAATCCAAGATCAAGATACCAAGAGGTGCCGGGCGCAGTGGCTCATGCCTGTAATCCCAGCACTTTGGGAGGCTGAGGCGGGCAGATCACGAGGTCAGGAGATAGAGACCATCCTGGCTAACACAGTGAAACCCCGTCTCTACTAAAAATACAAAAAATTAGCTGGGCATGGTGGTGGGCGCCTGTAGTCCCAGCTACTGGGGAGACTGAGGCAGGAGAATGGCGTGAATCCGGGAGGCGGAGCTTGCAGTGAGCTGAGATCACGCCACTGCACTCCAGCCTGGGCGACGGAGCGAGACTCCATCTCAAAAAAAAAAAAAAAAAAAGATACCAAGAGGTTTGATGTCTGGTGAGGGATCCTCTGCTTCCAAGACAGCACCCTGTTGGTGAGGGGAGGAGTGTTGAGTGCTCACCTGGCCAGAAGCCTCGTCTGCAAGGTCACTACCTCCATCCACAGGGAGGAGCCTCATGGCCTAGTCACCTCATGGTCTCACCTCCTTATACCATCACACTGACCACTAAGTTTCTTTTTTTTTTCTGAGATAGGTTCTCGCTCTGTGGCTCAGGCTGGAGTGCAGTGACGTGACCAGAGCTCGCTGCGGCCTTGATCTCCTGGGCTTAAATGATCCTCCCACCTCAGCCTCCTGAATAGCTGGGACTACAGGCACATGCCACCATGCAAAGATAATTTTTAAATTTTTTGTATAGATGGGGGTCCCATTGTTGCCCAGGCTGGTCTTGAATTCCTGGGCTCAAGCGATCCTCCTGCCTCAGCCTCCCAAAGTGCTGGGATTACTGGTGAGCTACCACACCTGGCCTTGGCCATTCAGTTTCAACATCTGAATTTTGGAAGGGACACATTCAAACCACGGCACCCCCAAATACTCTAAAAACAAGGATCACCTCCACTACACAACCTTCCCAGTGGAGAAATCAATATCAATACATTGTCCAACCCATAGACCCCACCCAAGCTTCACCAACTGTGCCCACACTTCTTTTCCCATGTCTGGGACCTCCCAGGAACATGCATTGCATGGAGTTGTTATGTCTCTTCAGTCTCATATAATCTGGAACAATTCTTAGTCTTATCCTGTCTCTTATGACAATTTATTTATTTGAGAAGGGGTTTCCCTCTGTCACTCAGGCTAGAGTGCAGTGGTGCAATCATAGCTCACTGCAGCCTTGAATTCCTGGGCTCAAGCAATACTCTTGCCTCAGCCTTAGTAGCTGGGACTACAGGCTCGTGCCACCATGCCAGGGCAATTTTTAAGATTTTTTTTTGTAAAGATGGAGTCTTACTACATTGCCCAGGCTGGTCTCGAACTCCCAGCCTCAAGTGATCCTTCTGCCTCAGTCTCCCAAAGCGTGAGCCACTGTTCCTGGCTCATGACAGTAATAAAGAAAACAGAATGGCCTTCCTTCTGGGTCTATCTGATATTCCCTAGGCTAGACTGAGGCTGTGGTTTCTGGCAGAAAAGTGTCAGGCGTGCTGCTGTGCTCTTCTCAGCACAGTGCACGGGGACTCAGTTTCAACTTTTCTCCACTGGTGACAGGTGTCTCATTACCTGGCCACGCTGGTGTCTGCTGGTGTTTCCCACCAGAAAGTCTCAATTTTCCTCTTTGTAATGGAAAAGTATGCTGAAGAAAGATGTCCATTCTCATTCCTCATCAAATCTCCACCTACCACCCTGAGCCTCCATTGATAGCTCACTCCTGCAACAACCCCACTACAGTGATTGGTAAATGGTTATTTCCATTCTCACTCCTGCAACAACCCCACTACAGTGATTGGTAAATGGTTATTTCCATTCTCATAATTCCTTCTCCATTTATGAGTTCACATTCTACTGTAAAGAAGAACCTCCCCTTCTCCACTATTATTTTCCCTGCATTCATCACTGGTTTGTTGATCTACATCAGTGTGGACTCAACTCATGCGTTTCTATTTTGCTCACTCAGTGGTAATCTGCCAATATCATTCTTTGTTTTGTTGCTCAAATTGTCCTAGATTTCGCCAGCAAGAACTCCCTCCAACTACTTTCCATGTCCTTTGATCTCCTGTCAATCTTTGAGCACTTCTTCACTTCCTTGAACAACAAAATTATTCCAGGATCATCTTGTACTTCCACTCCAGCCCTGAAATTAACCATTTCTCCAAAGAGCCCTGATTCCTTTTGTTGGAAAACCTTATTTAGAAGATAAGATCTGGGGGCTAGCTGTGATCACTGGTACTGGGGTACCATTGCATCTAGATACTCAGCAGACAGAACTAGAAACTATTTCTGTGTTTATATGCACATATACCTACACATGTGTGCACACACATACAGCTATCTTTATATCTATCTGTATATACATATTTTAAAAAAATGAGTTCATACTACCACTTCCAGTTCCAATCCAATCCCTCAGTGTTCTTTTTAGCCTTCCCTCTTCCATGTTTTTACCTTCTCCAACAGCAAGAAACCTGGCTTTCACTGTCCCCAGTATATTTAATTTGCTGGTATAACCTCCAAATTGAAGAGATGCAGAGCACGTGCTCCCACCCTCCATAACGAGACGTATTTAGAGGTGTGGGGGAGGACCCAAAAGCAGGAAGAGTTGAACCTAAGCACAAGATAGCACTTTCCTCTGAAACCAGGAAGGCTGGAACTTCGCAGCTGTGCACCGGAGCACTCGGAATGACACTCCAGAGAAAGCAGCACTTCTCCTTGTCTACAAGAAGGAAAGGATGGAGGGGTCATGAAAGGTCACAGGAGATTGAGGGGTATAATATTAGCAAAAATCTAAGAGCCGAGCTGGACCTGCAGTCAGACCAGACACCTGTAAGACTGAGCTGTGGCAGAGCCTTAGGATCTGCTTTCTGCAGGCAATTAACCACAGGGAGGGGCTGGAAACCCGGGGCTCACACAGAGGGAAGCTGAGGACACTTGGGCTGACTGGTATGCAACATGGAAACTTCTCTTCAATCTAGTTTACATCCTTGGGTCAACCACTGGATGGCACATGGCACAGGATTTTTTTTTTTTTCTTGAGACGTAGTCTTGCTCTGTCGCCCAGGCTGGAGTGCAGTGGTGCGATCTCGACTCACTGCAACCTCCGCCTCCCGGGTTCAAGTAATTCTCCTGCCTCAGCCTCCCGAGTAGCTGGGACTCCAGGTGCGCGCCGCCATGCGCGGCTAATTTTTTGTTATTTTTAGTAGAGACGGGGTTTCACCATGTTGGCCAGGATGGTCTTGATCTCCTGACCTCGTGATCTGCCCTCCTCGGCCTCCCAAAGTGCTGGGATTACAGAATTTTTTACGTGGCTTATGTTTATGCAAGTCTTTGTAGGATGTGATCCTACAATTTTCCAGTAGAGGAAAGCTGCAAAAGAAAGGCTCAGGCTCCTTTCTGTGTCAACAAAGCAATTACTTGCTTTTGTGTTGAGGCTTAGTTTTGAATGAAAGGTGGTGTTAGGAGCATTAACCGGTTGCATATTTACAATCTACATAATATAATTTGTTGCTGCAGCAAACCAGGGACTGTGAAGAGTAAGAAAAGGGAAACCACTTCCATTCCTTGCTTGGGGTTTACTGCCCTTGCCTGGAGTTGAGAGTTTAGACTCTGCAATGTTTTACATATGTGATATAATCTCCACATACATATGCACACAAAATTATGAAGACGCAGGAACGAGGGGAGACAGATTCCTATGTAAAGGTGACCCTGCTTCTTCTGGGCATTTGTTTATTCATTCAGTACCTGCCAGTGCCCTACTCTGTTACAAATTCAGTAAAAATTTCCTTGGAATTCACTGAATATGCTCAAAAACAGTCAAGTAGGATGTTCTTTGCTACTGTTTGGCTTGGAGTTTCCTTGAAAGAAACTACAGAACAAATATAATTAACTCGATTGAATTCACTGGAAAGTAAAGTGATCAATAGTTGTGTTTTTGAGTTAACTGAAAAGTGACCTCAGGAATCACAGGAAAGGCCCAAAATTAGTCGTTTGAAACAGCTATTCATAGTTGGCCACAATATTAACACCTTCGGCGAAGCTGCGTGGTGCCCGGGGTGGAGTTCCCGAGTGTCAACAGCGTCCCTTGGGCGCTTGCGGTGGTCTTTGCCCGGCACTACCAGACCCCTCAGGGAGGACTTTTGGGATTAAAGGCATCTTAAAAGCCAACTGAACTGTGTGAGAGTTGTCAAGGTCACAACGGAGTCGTTTGTGTTTAAAACCCTGACAAGCAGGGTGGGAAGGGCCCCAGAGGCAGCGTTCTCACGCCGGAATGCCCGATAACAAGACCGTCCCGAGAGACTCCGCAAAAGCCACAACCTTGCACACTGGCTAGGCAACCTCACACCGAAAAATACCGGAGGACTCCCGCCAGCGGCGCCCGTCCGACCTCCGGCGGGCGGCGCCCTCTCACCCGTCCTCCTGGCCGCAAAATGACCGCAAACAGGGACGCCGCCCTCTCATCCCACCGCCACCCCGGCTGCGCTCAGCGGCCGCGCACCCCCACGTTTGCCAGCAGCTCCCAGAGGCGGTCAGCCTTTGGGTTTGACGACGGCAACTTCCCGGGCCTCGGCGAGCGCAGCCACGCACCCGGAAGCCGCCTCGGGGCGCGACGCCGAGCCAAAACCGCCCGCGGGCTCCGAGGCCACAGGCAAGTGGGGAGGGTGCCCCGTGGGGCTCGAGGGGACGCAGGCACGCCCAGCCCACGCACCGAGCACTCTCCTTTCCCGTCCCCGGCTCCCGCCAGCCGAGACACAACGCTCGCGTGATGACGTCGTGCGCCTGCCCGGCCCACTCCAGTAGTCTCCGACCCGGCCCACGGCCCGCCCCGCGCGATGACGTCAGTATCCACCCCGCCCGCTCCCGGTGACGTGCCAGCCCCAGGCCCACGCCGCTCCCGCCCCGCGTGATGACGCCACCGTCCCGGGCGGAGGCGGGCGTGCGGCGGAGCCGCGTCCCCTCAGAGGGGCGCTGGCGCGGGGCTGAGCCGCCCGGGATCAGCGCGAGCACCCAGCCCGCCTCGGCCGGGAGGGCAGCGCGGCACTGCGGGGCGATGAGCGGCGCCCGGGGCGAGGGCCCGGAGGCGGGCGCCGGCGGGGCTGGGGGCCGCGCGGCGCCTGAGAACCCCGGGGGCGTGCTGAGCGTGGAGCTGCCCGGGCTGCTGGCGCAGCTGGCGCGGAGCTTCGCGCTGCTGCTGCCCGTGTACGCGCTGGGCTACCTGGGGCTCAGCTTCAGCTGGGTTCTCCTCGCGCTCGCGCTGCTCGCCTGGTGTCGCCGCAGCCGCGGCCTCAAGGCCCTGCGCCTGTGCCGCGCGCTGGCGCTGCTGGAAGACGAGGAGCGCGTCGTGCGCCTGGGGGTGCGCGCCTGCGACCTGCCCGCCTGGGTGAGTGCAGACCCCTGCCCGTCCCGACCCCTGACCACCAGTCCCGATCTCCCCTCGTCCAGGCAGGCACTCCCCTCCCCGCGACCTGCCGCCTGGGTGAGTGCAGACCCCAGCCCTGCCCCGGCTCCCGCCTTCGTAGTCCCCCACCCACCCCGGTCCAGGCAGGCGCTTCCCTTCCGCCTGGGCGAGTGCAGACCCCAGCCCCGGCCCCCGGGCCGGTTCCTGCGACCTGCCAACCTAGGTGAGTGCAGACCCCGCCCCGCCCCCCGGCCCCGACTCCCAGCCTGCTGGCGACCTGCCCGCTAGGGCGAGTGCAGACCCCAGCCCCGCCCCGGCCTCCGGCCCACTCCCTGCGAACCTGTCCGCCTGGGGCCGCCGCCCGCTGCTCGCCGCTCCCGCCCTAGTCCTGAGTGCTCCGTGCCCTCCCTCCGTCCAAGTCGGGCGTCCCCTTCTCCGCTTCCCCGCCCGCCCAGGCTCCGGGTCCGGGGCGCGTCTGCCCTCGTGAAGCCTCCCCTCGCCGTCCCGCGCGGCTTTCTCGGAGACCCCTCTTCACAAAGCCCGCTTCCCTCCCCCGGCCTGCAGACCCCGAGCGCCAGCGGCAGGTACCGGGCTTGGCGCCCCCTCTTCGGCCGCGGCCCTGCCCGGAGCGCGCGCTTCCTCCTGGTGCCGCCCGCGGGGTCTCCTTAGGGGCCTGAGCGGCCGGTTCTGCTCTCAGAGCGCCCAGCGCGATTCTCGTGCGCATTCCCAAAGCCCTGCCGGCCTGGAAATGCTCCGGGTGGCTTCAGCTTTTCCTTCTCTCTGTTTTTTAAAAAACGTAATGACAGCTGGTGGGGGAGAAGTTAACTTTTTCTTCTACCGGGAGAAGACGCACTCGTGTCTTGGTTGTTTCTGACGCATTTCAAGGGCAGTAAGTGTCTCTCGAAAGATGTGGAGATATTAGATAATTGAAAGATTGTTTCAGTTTTTTTGCAAGTATAATTGTGAGACTGAGCATTTTTATATGGGATCGACCTGAATCCAGTGTGAATGTGTGTGTGTGTGGCAGGAAGTTTTGGAAGAGTTGCAGCAATAACAAGAGTCATGGTATTATTTTATTTTTAACCCGGCAGTTCTCTACCTCGTATATTTATGGACTATAGACACGAAGAGTTGGCTTCAAATCTTTTTCTTGTCATTCCCTAATTCTTTCTTAGCCATGACTTGGCTTCACAGTTTCACACTGCAAGAAAGGATTTTAATGATTCTTCCATTAGGCTTAATATAAACTTTGGGGTGAAGGTGACCAGCAGTGGGTTTCGGAAGGGTCATTTTCTCTTAGAGGAGAAAAGTCCCTGTTTCCAGTCATGAGACACCTGAGAAGTAAGGCATGACACAGATGGCAAACAAGAATTAGAAAGGAGGCGTGCCCAAGACAAGAAGAAGGTAGTAGATGCTACTTTGTGACGTCATATTGCAACTGGAGTAAGAATATAATGTAAGGAGCTTGGGAATGTACAGTTCTGCCGATGCGTGGTGAGCATGAGGGAGTCATATTTGGAGAACCAAGGTAACTGGCATGGTGCAGCTTTTAGCTAGCGGCGGGAAAAACCGAGGGGTGTGTAGAAAAAGGAAGTTAAGAGGAACCGAGGTGGGGAAAACTAAGAACAGAGGAGGTGCACTTTGGAAATGGAAAAGGACTTTAAAGTGACGTTTTGTGTCTATATTACACTAAGATGCATAATACTAAAAAGTAGCTAAAAACAGAGTCCATTAGCATCCATTGCTATGTTATATTGATAACATAGCAATGTTATCAGTGCTGAAATTTGCAGGAAGTGATGATGCTGACTTTCATAGATACTTGGTTATTGGCTAATATCAAATTTGCTTGTTAAAAATCTTTGTGAAACACAGATTTTCTTTTTCTTTTCTTTTTTTTTTTTTTTTGAGACAGAGCCTCTCCCTGTTGCCCAGGCTGGAGTGCAATGGCGTGATCTCGGCTCACTACAACCTCCGCCTCCAGGGTTCAAAAGATTCTCCTGCCTCAGCCTCCCGAGTAGCTGGGATTACAGGCGTGCACCATCACGCCCAGCTAATCTTTGTATTTTTAGTAGAAACAGGGTTTCACCATGTTGGCCAGGCTGGTCTCAAACTCCTGACCTTGTGTTCCGCCTGCCTTGGCCTCCCCAAGTGCAGGGATTACAGGCGTGAGCCACCGCGCCCGGCCACACAGACTGTACAGATGAAATTGCTGCCCTATTGAAGAACTGAAATTTTTTTTTTTTTTTTTGAGACGGAATCTCGCTCTGTTGCCAGGCTGAAGTGCAGTGGCACCATCTCAACTCACTGCAACCTCCGCCTCCCGGGTTCAAGCCATTCTCCTGCCTCAGCCTCCCGAATAGCTGGGACTACAGGCGCACACCACCACACCCAGTTAATTTTTGTATTTTTAGTAGAGACTGGGTTTCACCATGTTGGCCAGGATGGTCTCGATCTCTTGACCTCGTGATCCACCCGCCTCAGCCTCCTAAAGTGCTGGGATTACAGGTGTGAGCCACTGCGCCCAGCCTGAAATTCTTTAAAAAAAAAAAAAATACAAAAGTAATTTAGCCAAAGATTCTTTTCAAGTTTTTAATCTGTGTGACTTAAACTGATGAACTGTGGTGTTCACCTCATGAAGAATTTATATTTTCTCCAGAATGTTTTACTTGTTTATTCCAAATTTGTACTTGAGCTCATAATCCCACATGTGTAAACTTCAGTGTGCCTAGGATGCTTAAGACGCTTCTTGAAGGATTCACATGAAACTTGACAGTGATTATGTTGACAGTTTTAGAGAGATTTTAAAAATATCTTTTAAATTATACTTATGTATCTATTTTGTGATATTTATTAAAAGTGTAATATACTTTATTTTCATAATAAAACCAGCAGGTTGCATGGTCTCGAAGTGTGCCTGAAATTCTGCTGCGCGGCAGGGGTGGTGGGGGTGGTCAAAGCACATCAATAATAGAAGAAACTATGAATAAGAAAAGTTAAGATTTCAGTATTACTTGCACTTTGGGTTTGTTTTTGTTTTTTTTTTTTTCTAGAGATGAGTTCTTACCGCGTTGTCCAGGCTGGTCTCAAACTTTTGGCCTCGAGGCATCCTCCCACTTAGACTTCCTAAAGTGTGGGGATTACAGGTGTGAGCCACCATGCCTGGCCAATATTACTAGTACCTTGATTTTTACCATACATACATTGGTGCTTGGGGTTTCTGAACTTTGGACTGGTATTTTGCCTTGAACAAGATGTATCTGTACATCCCAAAGGCTGTACTTGTTTTCATAGTGTGTCGTTGACAACCGTGAATTCATGGCAGAGTGGAAACATAGGAAAACATGAATTAAGGAGATACTAATTTCCTCACCTCACCTTTGTATATATTCACTGACAGCTTTTCTTCTTACTGAGTAAAAACTGAAGCTGGATATGGAAATGAGATAAGAGTATTAATACTTTGAGAAACTATATGTACTGTTCCTGATTGAGGCTATTAGGATGTGACAGATGGCTCTCACTTAACTGTGATAATTCTGTAAGTTTGGTCCTACAGCTTTAATATAAACAGTGTTGTTATTCTTCACTTCTTTTCCCATGAACAGTTATGTTCCAACTGCTTAGGGGAAAGGCCTGGCAGGCTGGATGAATTGAGGACAGGGCTTTTTGTTGTTTAAGTGTCTACCCTGTGGTAATGGGCCCTGGACCATTAGACTACCCTGGGTGAAGAAGAGAAGATTTATTTATTTATTATTTCATTTATTTATTTATTTTTGAGACGGAGTCTCACTCTGTTGCCCAGGATGAAGGGCAGTGGCATGGTCTCGGCTCACCGCAACCTCTGCCTCCCGGGTTTAAGCGACTCTCCTGCCTCAGCCTCCCAAGTAGCTGGGAGTACAGGCGCCCGTCACCACGTCTGGCTAATTTTTGTGTTTTTAGTAGAGACAGGGTTTCACCATGTTGGCCAGGCTGGTCTCAAACTCCTGACCTCAGGTGATCCACCAGCCTTGGCCTCCCAAAGTGCTGGGATTACAGGCATGAACCACCGCGCCCAGCCTTTTTTGTTTTTTAAAGAGAGGCGGTTCTCGCTGTGTTCCCCAGGCTTGAACTCTTGGGCTCAACTCTTGGGCTCAAGCGAACCACCTACGTGAGTCTCCCAAGTAGCTGGGATTACAGTTGCATGCCACCATGCTCAGGGCTGTGAGGAAGATTCTTGAAGAGTTTTTATAGAGATTAATAAGGGCAATTTTTCATTACTATTTTTATTTATTTGAAAATATTATCTCTTCATAGGATAAAGTCTGACTCTATCCTGCTTTTACTATTGCCAATAAATGCTGATTGTATGGCTGCTATGGATAATACTGTCACGGATAATACTACTTAACTGTTCTGACAGTTGGTCTTTTATTACCCTCATACTTGGATTATTGAGAATTAAAGCATATTAGCTTCCTTGGTTATGTTGTTCTGTACTTTTGTATACAAACTTTCTCTGGGGAGAGCTTTCTTCCCATTGCCCTTCTGGGAAGTTCAGGAAAATTTAACTCTAGCAAAAATATGGTATGTATAGTCTAAGAACTAAATGAACAGAAGAAAATAATGCACTGTGATCTCATGTAAAGAAAGGGCAAATATTTTTTTATTCTCAGTGTTAATCATTGACTTAATACTTTAATAAAATATTGTGAAGACTTGTAACTGAAAATAGTTGGCATAGCTAATTCAGGAGCCACAATTTAGCTATTTTAAACAAGTGCTTCTTCAGCACCTGAATCCGAGTGGTCATGTGGTTGAGGAAGTGTTGGAGTCCTCATCGTAGCTGCAGATAGGATGAGGATGCTGCTTGGGTTTCTTGTTCACACCCACACTGCGGCTGAGACACAGAAGGGAAAGGATGTGACCGTTGTTGCTTCAGTTCTGTGGTCTGAGAACCTCCTTCAGTTAGAACATTAATGCCCCAAGATGGCTAAAAATAAAGCAGTAAATATCAGGTTTTTAGTTTAAGCTAAAAAATAGATTTAAATTTAGGATATATGCAATCCATCAGCCTGTATGTTGTGGATTTAGTAAAATTTCTACTTAAGATTAATATTATTATCATTCTACATTTAAGGATGGGAGGGTATAGAGCTAGGACTGAAATATAAATAGTTTATATGGATATATACACTTAAAACATAATATATTTTATAAGTACGTATTCATAAATGTAAACTTCCATCCTGTGAAGATCAGTTATGGAATAGTGTTATTGTTAGACCTAATGAACCTATGATCGTTTCTGTAGGCTTTCATGATTTCCACATTGGTCACAGCCTTTAACCTTGAAGTAGACATTCTGAATATACTAAAAACCATCAAACTGTTTACTTTAAATGAGTGCATTGACGAGTATGTGAATTATGTCTCAATAGCACTGTTAAAAAATATAGACATCAGGGCTGGGTGCGGTGGCTCACACCTGTAATCTCTGCTCTTTGGGAGGCCAAGGCAGGTGGATCACGAGGTCAGGAGATTGAGACCATCCTGGCTAACACGGTGAGACCCCGTCTCTACTAAAAATACAAAAAATTAGCCGGGCGTGGCGGTGTGCGCCTGTAGTCCCAGCTACTCGGGAGGCTGAGGCAGGAGAATGGCATGAAACTGGGAGGCGGAGCTTGCAGTGAGCCGAGATCGCACCACTGCACTCCAGCCTGGGCGACAGAGCCACAGTCCGTCTCTAAAAAAAAAAAAATCCAATGTCTTTTTTTTTTTTTTTTTTTTTTTTTTTGAGACAGAGTCTCACTCTGTCGCCCAGGCTGGGGCACAGTGGCACCATCTCGGGTCACTGCAACCTCCGCCTCGCTGGTTCAAGCAATTCTCCTGCCTCAGCCTCCCAAGTATCTGGGACTACAGGCGCACACCGCCACATCCAGCTAATTTCTTTTGTATTATAGTGCAGACAGGGTTTCACCATGTTGCCCAGGCTGGTCTTGAACTCCTAAGCTCAGGCAATCCGCCTGCCTCAGCCTCCCAAAGTGCTAGGATTACAGGCGTGAGCCACCATGCCTGGCCTGAATTTCTTTTAATAATGGATGAAAAGGTGGTCAGTTATAGTGCAAAGTGAGGTACACCTTTGCTTACGGAATTCTAGCTAAAACTGTAAAAGTTTTTAAGGAATATTGTTCTAACTTAAGTTTGGGGGTATTTACATTTTAAAGGAGAGTTAATGAAAGGGTTAGGTATATGAATTTTAAAAACTAGGTAAATATTTTTAACTTAAACCTAATAGTACTTTATTTTTTGAGCTGGAGTCTCACTGTGTTACCCCAGGCTGGCCTCGAACTCCTAGGCTTGAGGGATCCTCCTGCCTCAGCCTCCTGAGTGGCTGGGACTACAGGTGTGAATCATTGTACCCAGCTCTAATATTACTTTATTTTTATTTATTTTTTAATTTTATATATTTGAACATTTTTTATACTTGTAGTAGAGCCGAGGTCTTGCTATGTTGCCCAGGCTGGTCTCAAACTCCTGGGCTCAAGTGATCCTCCTATCTCAGCACTTCTGAAGTGCTCTGATTACAGGTGTGAGCCACCACCTCGGGCCTCTAATAGTCCCTTAAACACGGATGCTATACTATATTGGCTTAAACAAATATTAATTTTAATTGCATAGCAATAGAAATCATGCTTCAAAAATATAAAAAACCGAAATCTGTTTTTCCGTGAGTTATTCCAAAGTCTTAACTGTGATTCAAGGTATCAGTATATAATCATCACATATGTTTGAGTAGTTTAGCTTATGGATTGGTTTGTTTCATACTGGGTACATTCTATCAGAACATAATTTTATCATGTATTATAGAATACATTGTGGTCTTTTGTCGTCTCTTGCATTTTGTTATGGTTTGGCAAGTCATTATCTTTTTTAGTTTTCATGACGATTCTGTCTCAGAGGAATTTTATTTCTTCATTTAGAGATGTAAGGACCCACTCTATGCAGATGATTGTGCCAACACAAGTGTAAGAAATCATCCTGTCTTCATATTTACACTCTGCTCAGAGTAGTTAGAAGAAGCACCTGGGAGGCGGGCTGTGGTGATGGCTCCAGTGTCACGGTGGCTCAGAAGAAAGGAGCAGGGAGGGTTTGATGGTAACTAAGGGGGCGTGTTATAAATTTACGGACATGCTAGGGAAGAGATTCTACTCTTATTGAAGGGCATGGCCTTACGTTCAGTGGCAACAGCGCGAGCGGCCGTGTGGAGGACAGTTGCAAAGGCAGATTTCTGGGCCGTCTCATCTGGAGGGAAATGCATGGAAGTTCTGATAGGGTTGTAACTCCTCCACCTGGTAGAAGGCTGCACTCAGCTTGGGACTTACTCTGGGCCCAGCAGTGAGGAAAGGAAGTGGTCCCACTAGACCCCAGCCCAGGTCCCCATGACCTGGGAGGAGTAGAAGTGCTCCTTCTGGATGGCTGGCCCAGGCCCTCAGGGCAGTTCTGATTTACAGGATGCAGGGACGTGGCTGGGATTACTGTCGTGCTTTTAAGACAGAGTTTGGACATGATGGGGGTGAAAGTAGTGATGTGTTCAGATCTAAGCTTGTGAAATCAGAAAAGGAAAGCTACTGTGTAATGCAGTATACTTCTATTCTTGCTGTAGCTACCAGAAAACTCACAGCCAAAATTATTGCTGGATTGTTGGGCCCTGTACTACTGTAATAGCCGGGAGTACCCATCACACTTTTCTTCAAATAGGCGATCTTCTTTTACTCTCAATGATCTTATTGTTCCTTGAACACTGAGTCACCTCCTGTTCTTTTGGAATTGGGTGGGGCATAGTTCTTACACAGATGGTGAATATGTTAGTAGTTGTCTTTTGCATGGGATCATTTTTTCCATAAAGCATGTTTTATTTATGGAGGTTTTTCCAGAGTCTTTCTTCCTGTCACTAATTTCTTTTCTTCATTTATTTTTCTTAACTGTTTTTAAAGTTCTATAATGTTTGTTAAAGCAAACTATTTATTTTTGTGAATTTTTTCCTGGATCGCATTTTAAGAAACTAGTCCAATTTATATGTAAGCATTAAAAATGAGTCTTGATGAATTTATGGACATTTATTAGGCATTTGCTATGTTCTAGGTACTGTGTTAGGTGCTAGTGACACAAAATGTGTGTAAGACAAGGCCTTAAACTCAGAAATTTACCAGCCGGCAATAACACAGCAAATCTGTTTAATCCTAGCATTAGTCATAGTATGAATTGGTGGGTTTTTTTCAATTATTTTTATTTATTTATTTTTTGACACAAGGTTTTGCTCTGTTGCCCAGACTGGAGTGCAGTGGCACAATCATGGCTCACTGCAGCCTCAACCTACTGGGCTCAGTCACCCCTCCCGCCTCAGCCTCCCCAGTAGCTTGGGCTACAGGCATGCGCCACCACGTCTCACTAATTTTTAAAATTTTTTGTAGAAGGGAGGTTTCTTACCCAGGCTGGTCTTGAACTCCTGGGCTCAAGCGATCCTCCTGCCTCTACTTCCCAAAGATCTGGGAGGGAATACAGGCGTGAGCCACTGCACCTGGCTGTTGTTATTTTTTTATCTGATAAAAGTATTATTTTTATTGTGTTCAACATGTTTTGAAATATGTATACATTGTAGAATGTGCTAAATCAAGCTAATTAACAAATGCATTATGTCACGGGCTTACCATTTTTTGTGGTGGAACACTAGAAAATCTACTCTTAGTGACTTTTTCAAGAATATATTATATTGTTGCTAACTATAGTTACAGTGTTGTACAATAGATCTCTTGAACTCATTCCTTGTAATTGAAATGTTTTATCCATTTGTTAATATCTCTCTAGACTCTCCCCCATTCTTTTAGTAAAAATAATACATGTTCACTTTTTTAAAATCCAAGAAAAAATATATTTAAAAGATCATCCATAATACCAAACCATCCATAATGGTAGTTGCTAGTAAAGTATAAATTGAATGGGGTTTAATGGATTACGGCAGTGTCTAGATGAAAGTATCAGTACAAAGTAAGAAGCACATCCCACGTGCACTTGTGTATTGCAGCAGCAGTGTCCTTTCGGATAACAGCTTCAGTTTTGTGCTTGGTGATTGCGTGCTGGAATTAGTGATAACCACACCAACAGCAGATGTGGAAATACTAATATGATGGTTTTCATTATGCTTTCTTTATTACTTGTAAAATTGTCATTGAAACTGAGTTTCTTTTTTTTAATTTGTTCAGTTACACGGTGAAGTCCCCCTTTATCTTTCTATATTTAATGAACATGTAGTTGTATTTTTCTTCATTTCTTATGTTATGGCTAGACAGGTTTCAAAAACATTTTTTTCTGATTTAAAGAAGAAAGTATGCTCATTGAAGAATAAGCTTTGGAGGAGAATAAAGAAGAAAAACGTTACCTGCAATTCTACTAACTAGTGATAACATTACATTGGCAACATTTCCGTGGATTTTGTTAATGTTTTAATGATATGTTTGGATATATGGGTGTGTATAGTATCCTCCTTTCTTAAATGCTATATTATGGATAGTATGTTATTCTTCAGAAATATGACTTTGACTATTGCAGTATCATCTGTCTTATGAAGCTACCAGACTTTATTTAAATGATGTCTGATAGACATTTGAAAAACTAGATTGTGAGATATGATATAATGAGAAGAGTTAAAAATAGAATTTGAGATATTTAATTTTCTGCTCTTTTTAAGTTATGAAAACGTATTTACTTGAGCTATTTATTAGATCTGTGTCTAGGATATATGAATTATTTTTGAACTCATTAGACATGATAATTTTGTAAGCAGAAGTCTGGCCTTGGAAGGCAGTGTTTGTTTTTGCATGGTATGTTGTTAAAAGACAGAGGATTTATCCCTATCTCTTTTTGTCTGAATAACCTTTGGAAGAAAGCATTCCCTCCATAATGAGTCACAACTTCAGATTGCTTTTCTTCCCCTGTGCTGTGTTGGTATATTAAAGTTTGCTAACAGTTACAAGTATTTTTAACTGCCATGGTTTCGTGTAGCACAATTGAGTAATGGCTACTTTGAGGTTCCCATGATGATTTGTTGAATTGGTGTGTCCTTGTCTGGACATGACCAGTCATGTGGCCAGGGCCCGTGCGAGTGGGGCTGCCCTTCTGTGGGGTGTGCTGAGGTGTGGCCACCGGCCTCTGGTTAGCTTTGAGGCTCCCACCGTCTCGCAGAGCCCACAGCTCAGGCTCTGGCTCTGGTGGGTGTGGGTTGCGCCCTGAGACCCACCCCTTCCTAACTCCCTGCCCTTGGGTGAGTCAGGTCCAACTCTTAGAACCTTGTTTCCTCTTTGGTTTGATGGGGGTTGAGCCTGACTCTGTGCTGTGGTTGTGAGGCTGGAATGCGGAGAGGCCAGTGAACACACTGGACATGGGCGGGCAGGGAGGCATGTCCTCGGGTCAGCCGTCTGAGTCACAGGCCCAGAGATGCCCAGCTGTGACCAGTGCTCCGCTTGCAGGCAAGTCCTGGTGTGGCCTTTGCCACCTCCCTCCCCCACCTCTGCTGAAATGGAACAGATGAGCCCTGGGGTTTTTCTTTGTTTCTGTTCCACCGTGGTTTGTTTACGCTGTTGCTAAGAATTTATCTACCATAATGCTTTGTTGTTATTAACACTTGCAAGTATGTGTGCCGTAAAATTTCACTTTCTCTTCCTCTCTGTATATCCCTAAAATAATATCCAAGGAGCCTACAGTGGCACTCCTCTTCCTTGCCTTGATTTGCTCTGTATCTTCCTTAAAACAAATATTGTTCCAAGGACATGGCTAATCTTTCTTGACTCCACTTCCAGGAGTCATCCTGATGCCATAGATAATGATAGTTAATTTTACATTTTGTACATATAACATTTAATTATTCTAATATTCATTAACTTCCTTTTGTGAATAAGTGCTGGTTAGTGACTAAAAAGTGGGGATTTGAAAGTGCACATCCTATTTCGGGGTCAGTTGTAATAGTTTAATTTTAACGTGTATTATATGTGGAGTTGTTTCCTGTCTGAGGGATTGATATGTTTTAAGTTTCCCAGAGTAAGGTAGATCTGTAGAAAATAAATCCAGTGATTTGGGAGAACATTATCTAACTTCATGCCATAAATATTATACTGGAGTACCTATTATATGCTAGTTTTTGATTATGCTGCTCACATTTTGAGAACCAGTATCAAATTGCTAAAATTATTAATCTGAATGATACTTTCACCTTCCATTTTCTTATGAAACTTTGTTATATATTTGTTAAAGCATTTAGTTTAATCTGTAAACCAAAAGTATCTGAGACAAGTCTCAATTAATTTAGTATTTTATTTTGCCAGGTTTAAAGGATGCTGGTGACATAGTCTCAAGACATTTGCCCAAGGGGGTTGACCTGTAAGTTTTAGGGATACATAAGACACCAATCAATACATGTAAGCTGTACATTGGTTCAGAAAGGTTGGACACCTGGAAGTGGGTACATTGGTTCAGAAAGGTGGGACACCTGGAAGCAGGTACATTGGTTCAGAAAGGTGGGACAGCTGGAAGCGGGTACATTCGTTCAGCAAGGTGGGACACCTGGAAGCAGGTTGGTGTGGGGAGCGCTCCAGATCATAGCTGGACTCAAAGATTTTTCTGATTGGCAATTGGTTAAGTTACTGTCTAGAGACCTGGAATCAATATAAAGGAATGTCTGGATTACCTTGTGGAGACCAAGGTTTTATTGTACAGATGAAGCCTCCAGGTAGCAGGCTTCAGAGAGAATAGATGGTTAATGTTTCCTGTCAGACTTAAAGAGTCTGTCAGTTCTTCTGTCAGTTCTGTCAGTCTTAAGTCTGTGTCATGGTAATGAGGTGTGTCCGATGCCCCACCCCCTCATCGTGGCCTGAAGTAGTTTTACAGGTTAACTTTGGAATGCCTCTGGCAGAGAGGAGGAGCTGTTCAGATAGTTGGGAGCTTAGAATTTTCTTTTTGGTTTATACTTTGTACCCAATTTGTAAAATGTTATATAAAGCTGGTGTTGATATTTATACACAATTAGAAGTGAATTGCCTACTGAGATCATTAATTTATTTCATTTGTGCTACAAATCTTTAAATGGCTAGTAAGTGCGTACCTAAAATTTGTTAACACCGTCTACATTAATATCTGAGTGCTAGACTTTTGAAACCGAAACTCCAAATGTAATCCAATACAAAGTAACAATACTCTTCCTACTTATTTTTTCACACATATAAAGATCTTGGAATTTATCCAGTAACTAGTAGAAAGAATTGATTTTACTTAATCACAAATGGTGCTGTGTGTGAAGCAAAGTTTTAAAAGAAATGCTCCGTAGATGTCAACGTGAGTACTGGAGCAGGAGGGAAAGGATGACATGGTTGGTGCATTAGGGCGCCTGTGACAAAGTGCCATCAACTTGGTGGCTTCAGACAACACTCTTATCTTTTAAGGGTTCTGGAGGCCAGCAGTTGGAAATCAGTTCCTCTGGGCTAAAACTGAGGGGTGGGCAGGGTGTGCACTCTGGAGGCTCCTGGGGAGAAGCTTTTCCTGCTTTTCTTGCTTCTCAGCCACATTCCATGGCTGCAGGCCCTTCTCCCTTCAGAGCTGGCAGCTGCTTTCATCCTCATGGGGCCATTCTGCTTTCTGTTTTGTCAAATCTCTGTTCCTCCCTGTTTTCTTTCTTTTCGTTAGACAAGGATTGAGGCTGCAGTGAGCTGTTTGCACCTAGGCTGGAGTGTGGTTGTGTGATCATAGCTCACTGCAGTCTCGACCTCCTGGACTCAAGCAACCCTTCCACTTCAGCCTCTCGAGTATCTGGGACTACAGGCCTGTACCACCACACCCAGCTAATTAGCTAATTTTAAACATTTTTTGTAGAGATGGAGTCTCACTGTGTTGCCCAGGCTGGACTTCCTCCGTTTTTAAGGATACTGGAGATGGCATTTAGGGCCTTATGGATAGTCCTCCACCAGCGAAGATCCTCCATTTTACCACATCTGCAGCGTTCTTTTTGCCATATAAAGCGACACTCACAAATTCCAGGGATTAGGACGTGACCATCTTTTGAGGGCTGTTACTCAGCTTCCCACACTACCCTGTTTCTTGGAGTATTCAGGAGCCAGGAAGGCTTAGTTCCAGCACTTTCCCCGTGCCGTAACATCTCAGAAATCAGATTTATTTTACAAGGGTGTATCACTGTTAATGGACTGTGCTCTTAGTGGCACATAAAGTGATGGTGCAGCTTATAATTGATCACATCTTGGATTCAATACTAAGGTTTTTTTCCATTTTTGGCTGTAGTCCTGGTGTCTGAGGTTGGATGTGGTCTTTCAGAGGTGGGATGAGGAGGAGCTGTGCAGTGGGAAGAAGGGTTAGGAACTGTGGGAACTGAGATGACCACAGGAAGCAGCACCATAAGTTACACAAGTGGAAGAGTTGGGCTTGATCCCTAGACACAGGGCAGCATCCAGATATCCACTAGAGGGATGTGTCCCAATTTAAAAGGGGGGTTTAGCAAGATACATTTGGCAGGGATATCCAGAGGGACTGGGGACACATATCTAAGCATGAGGGGGAAGGAGTGTGCCTGAATGTCAGGGGAATAGCTTTGGGGAGGAAGGAAGATAGATGAGTGAGCCAGGAATGTGAACAACCACCCCAGGGTGTAGAAATGATGGCTGGAACAATAGGAGCAGTAGTTTGAGGCTGGGGCTGCGGTGGGAGATTACTTCAGTCTTTAATGTTGGTGTAAGAAACCCAAGGAAGTTCCAAGAGGACTCAGCCCAACAGCAGCCAGCACCTCCCTGGAGAGACAGGAGACAGGCAAGCGAGAGGCGGAAGACCGTGTGGATAGCTTCACAAGGGAGCTGCCTCTCTGCACTCGGAGGAGTGTAACAGAAAACCCGTGAGAAAACAAACGGTGAATGTGCTTAGCACTCATTGCAGGCTCTCTTCTAACTCTTTACATGGAAGTCATTTAAACCTCACAGCTAACCCGCCACCTTTGTTTTACAGGTAAGGAAACAAGCTCTGCTAATGTCAGAGGTGAGCAAGGCAGCCCTTGACCTGTGAGGTCTGTGCACTCCCTTGCATTCTCTGCTCTCTCCTCTCTCTTGATGGCAGTAGGGGAGGAACTGGGGATTTGGCACCATCTAATCTAGTCATTTTTACAACCCCAAGAGAATTGCATGTCATTTCCGCTCTTCAGAGGAGGAGCTAAGGTCTGAGAGACCCTGCAGTCACCCCAGTACAAGTCAGGTGTACCCGCCTGGCCATACTCAGTGCCCTGGGAGCTGGGCCCAGCCCATAAAACCTGTGCTTTGCAGAAGGCACCAGAGACACCAGGGTGGTGGCAGGTTACTGTTTCTAGAAGAGCAAAACCAATGCAAGTGAATAAGCCACCACCTTGTTAGCCAGTGGGAGTTTCTCTGGGTGTTTTAAGTTTATATACTGTTAGCATTCTTAAATACGTTAGGAGGTGACAGCCAGACTGTGATATATTTTTAAATGTTTCACATCTGTGAGAGTAATCGGGACGAGTAACGTATATTTTTAAATGTTTTAGATCTGTGAGGGTAATCGGGACGAGTAATGTATATTTTTAAAACGTTTTTGATCTGTGAGAGTAATCGGGACGAGTAACATATATTTTTAAAACGTTTTTGATCTGTGAGAGTCATCTGGACGAGTAAGGTATATTATTTCATATATATATATATATATATATATATATATATATATATATATATATATATATATATATAATTTTTTTTTTTTTGAGACGGAGTCTCGCTCTGTCGCCCAGGCTGGAGTGCAGTGGCGCGATCTTGGCTCACTGCAAGCTCCGCTTCCTGGGTTCATGCCATTCTCCTGCCTCAGCCTTCCGAGTAGCTGGGACTACAGGCGTCCACCACCACGCCCGACTAATTTTTTGTATTTTCTAGTAGAGACAGGGTTTCACCATGTTGGCCAGGATGATCTCTGTCTCCTGACCTCGTGATCCACCTGCCTCGGCCTCCCAAAGTGCTGGGATCACAGCGTTAGCCACCGCGTCTGGCCTGAGTAACATATATTTTTAAAATGTTTTTGATCTGTGAGAGTCATTGGGACGAGGAACGTATATTTTTTAAACATTTTTGATCTGTGAGAGTCATCGGGACGAGGAACGTATATTTTTAAAACGTTTTTGATCTGTGAGAGTCATCGGGACGAGGAACGTATATTTTTAAAATGTTTTTGATCTGTGAGAGTCATCGGGACGAGGAACGTATATTTTTAAAACGTTTTTGATCTGTGAGAGTCATCGGGACGAGGAACAGAGGTGCTCTCCCTTGGTCTTTGTTTCCTTCTTACTGTTAACACGTTTTGTCTGGGATGATTTTCCTCCTGCCTGAAAAACTTACTTTAGTATTTCTTTTAGTGCAAGTCTACTAGCAATGGATTTTCTCAATTTTTGTCTGGAAAGGTATTTATTTCCGTTTCACTTAGTTAAATTAATAGACTTCATTTTTTAGAACAATTCTGGATTTCCAGAAAAATTGAGCAGATAATACAGAGCCCCCACATCCCTTCTTACAACTTCCTTTGCTATGTCTGTCACAACTAATGAGCCCGAGTTGATATGTTTAATACTAGTCTGAAGCCCACAGTTTACAGTACAGCTCATTTTCAGTGTTGTACATTCCGTGGATCTTGACAAATGGATAATGGCATGTATCAGCTATTACAATGTCATACGAAGTAGTTTTGCTGCCCTAAAATCTTCTGTGCTTCAATTCAACTCTTCCTGTCCGTCTGCCTGTGCTTACTGATCTTTTTACATAGTTTTGCCCTTTCTAGAATGTCATATATTGGAATTATAAAGTATTGGCCTTTTCAGATTGGTTTATTTCACCTAGAAATATGCATTTTAGGTTCTTCTGTGTCTTTTCATTGCTTGATAGCTCATTTGTTTCATTTTTATTGCAATAAATTCAAACATAAAACCATTTTAAAGGACACAATTCAGTGCCATTTACTACCTTTACATGTAGTGTAATCATCACCTCTCTCTGGTTCCAAAACATTTTCTCTGCCCTAAAAGGAACCCTGTTTTGTGCCCATTCGTGGTCACACCCTGTTTCCCCTCCCCCAACCCATGGCAACCACATCTGCTTTGTATCTGTGGGTTTACCTGTTCTGGATATTTCCTGTAAACGGAGGCATGTAATATGTGTGTGATCTTTTATGTGTGGCTTCTTTCAGTTAGCTTAGTTTTGAGGTTAATTTGCATTGTAGCGTATACCAGTGTATCATCTCTTTAAGGCTGAATATTCCGGTACCACAGTTTGATTATCCATTCATCCACAATGGCCATTCGGGTTGTTTCCACCTTTTGGCTGTTTTGAATGGTGCTGCGATGAACATTCATGTACACGTTTTTGTTTGAATATCCATTTTCAGTTCTTTTGAGTATATACCTAGGAATAGAATTGTTGGGTCTATGTTTAACATTTTGAGGAATGCCAAACTGTTTTCACAATGCCTGTACCATTTTACATTCTCCCCAGCAATATATGAAGGTTGAATTCCTCCACATCCTTGCCAACACTTGTGTTTTTCTGTTTTTATTGTTATTGCTGTCCTAGTGGATGTAAAGTGGGAGTCACTGTGGCTCTGACTTACATCTCCCCGATGACTGACTAGTACCACCTTTACATGATTTTGTGCATTTCTTCCACCTCCACATTCAGTTAGGTCATTTGGTAGCTTGAAATTGGCCATAGTGGGAATATTCACACCTCAGAACTTAGCAGTCTCGGCGAAGTGGCTGTGAGCAGGAGCCAGCCCAAGCCCATCCCTGCTCTGAAGCATGTACTCCTCCAGAGGGGCTCCCCCGTCCTCTGGAAGGCAGAGTGGGCACAGGCTGCCCTCTCCAGGGTGGGTCTGAGCCGGCCTGTGGCTGTGTGGCAGGGGGAAGCTGTGGCTGCCTCTGATACTCTCTGCTGTAAGGCCCAGCCCTCCAGATGTTGTGACTGGGAGTCTGCAGTGTTTCCTAAGTGCCTCCTGGTCTGTCCCAAAGTCCAGTTTGTGCTTTCTCAGTACAGCATCTTGCCAGAAGCTCTGTTTTGCTCCTTCGAGGCTAGCCTCTTGCCCTGGGTAGCTTAGGAATTTAGCAAATTCCTCTTGAAAGAGACTGTACCCTTCTTCCCACTTTCCTCTTTCAGGGATCTTGGCCCCTCAGATTCTGGTTGTTTAGCTGACCCAGACTCCAGTTCTTGTCCCGCCAGTCTCCTGAGACGTCCATAAACCCTGTTGGCTTCTTTGAATCTCAGCCACATTTCTCTGGATTTCTCAACCTCTTGTAGCACAACCTTGAAGGAGAACAGCCATAGAAAGTTGACTCACCACTCTGTGGTCTCCGCCTCCCCTGAATCCTGCAATGTTTCCAGTGTTTGCAGGTGTGTGTGTGAGCTGTGGCGGCCTGTGCACATGTGCGGGAGCTTGTGTTCATGCGCCTGTGTGTTCCTGTGAACGCGCATGGTTCATCTTTATGGTCTCACCAAATATTTCAGTTCTGATGTATTTCTCAGTGATTAACTAGTTTGGCAGATAATTTGGGACCCACAATGGAATGGCTTTGCCCCTCATTTATCACTGAGCTGAGCCATGTGCTCTTTAAGGACCAGATAGCTCACTGGGTACCTTTGTTGGTTGGTTAAGCCACGAACAAGGAACTCTGAATTAGGCCACTGATTTACTTTGGGTCCTCTGGCTCTACTTACTTGGTTCTGTTATTATTTGGGGAAGTATCTAATTAAAATAAATGGGCCATGGTAAAAGCAGTATGTGTTTTATAGATTGAGATATTCATTTCTTTTTTCTTAATTTTAATTTTTTATTTTTTATTTTTTAAGAGACAGTGTCATTCTGTTGCCACGCTGGAGTGCAGTGGTGCAATCATGGCTCACCGCAGTCTTGACCTCCTGGGCTCAAGTGATCCTCCCACCTTGGCGTCCCAGAGTGCTGGGATTACAGGCTTGAGCCACTGCGCCTTACCCCTTTTGTTTTTTTTAACAGCTGTATTGAGCTATAATTCACATACCATACAATCCAGCCATTTAAACTATACAATTAACTGTTTTTCAGTATATTCTCAGGATTGTGCAACCATCACCGAAATCTCTTAGTAGATCCTTTTGTCTTCTGTAAAGAAACCCTATACCCATCAGCCCTCAATCCTCAGACCCCTCCACTGCTCTCCCTGTCACGCCTACCCTAGCCACCCAGTAATTCGCTTTGTCTCTAGAGGAAGACACCTTCTGGACATCCCATGTAAATGAAATATTATAACATGTAGTCTTTATGATGAGCCTTTTTTTTTCCCCCCCAAGACAGGGTCTCGCTCTATCACCCAGGCTGGAGCGCAGTGACGCAATCACGGCCCATTGCAGCCTCCACCTCCCAGGCTCAAGTGATCCTGCCATCTCAGCCTCCTGAGCAGCTGGGACCACAGGCATGTGCCACCATGCCCATCTAATTTTCAGATATTTTGTAGAGATGGGGCTTCACTGTGTTGGGCTGGTCTTGAACTTCTGGGCTCAAGTGATCCTCCTGCCTGTCAGCTTTCCTCCACAGTGCTGGGATTACAGATGTGAGACACACCATGCCCGGCCCACTTCTTTCACTTACTAGATAGTGTAACATATATTAGTGTTTCATTTCTTGTATTGACAAATAATTCTGTTGTATGAAAAGGCTATATTTTGTGTAGCCATTTATCAAGTAATGATCCTTTGAGCTGTTTTGACTTGTAGGCAAATATAAATCATGCTGCTGTGAGCATTCATGTACAGGTTTTTGTGTGGATGTGTGTTTTCCTTTCTGTTGCATATATACGTGTGGGTAGAGTGGGTCATATGGTACCTCTGTGTTTACATATTTTGAGAATATGCTAAATTGATTTTCAAAGGGGCTACATCATTTTACATTACCACTGGCAACAAATGAGAGTTCGATTTCCCCACGTCTTCATCAAAACTTGTTGTTAAAAGGAAAATCTCAGACAAATTAAGTTTAACGTAGTTTAATTGAGCAAAGAATGATTCACAAATTGGGCAGTCCCTGAACCAGAATAGGTTCAAAGAAGCTCCAGTGCATCCATGTAGTGGAAGAAGATTTATGAGCAGAAAAAAGAAAGTGAGCTACAGAAACAGCCAGCCAGGTTATAGTTCTGCATTTGCCTTATTTGGATGTGGTTTGAACAGCTGGCTGCCTGTGATTGGCCAAAACCTGGTGATTGGCCTAAGAGTATGCTACAGTCTCTTCACACATCCAGTTAGGAAACCTTCAGGCTGAAACTTACAATGTGTTAAGGAGACAGCTTTAGGCTAAACTTAACACTGTCTATATTTTAACCATCCTAGAGGGCATGAAGTGATACCTCATTGTGATTTTGATTTGTATTTCTCTAACTCATAATGTTGAGCATCTTTTCATGTGCTTCTTGGCCATTTTTATATCCTCTTTGGAGAAGCGTTTATACAAATACTTTTGCCCCCCTCATCCCCCCTGGTTTTTTTTTTTTTTTTTTTTTTTGAGATGGATTCTTACTCTGTAGCCAGGCTGGAGTGCAATGGTGCGATCTCGGCTCACTGCAACCTTCGCCTCCCAGGTTCAAGCGATTCTCCTGCTTCAGCCTCCCGAGTAGCAGGGACTACAGATGCACGCCACCACGCCCAGCTACTTTTTGTATTTTTAGTAGAGATGGGGTTTCACCATGTTGGCCAGGATGGTCTTGATCTCTTGACGTTGTGATCCGCCCGCCTTGGCCTCCCAAAGTGCTGGGATTACAGGTATGAGCCACCACGCACCACGCCCCGTCACTTTTGCCCATTTTTTAATTGGCTTAATGTGATCCAAAGTTTACTACAGTAGCCCCCCCTTATCTGTGGGGGATATTTTCCAAGATCCCCAGTGAAACAAGATAGTACCAAACCCAGTTGCTGTCAATCAGAACATCTGTTTTGTCTTCTACCCACAAACTTATTTGTTTATTTATTGGTTTTGTTTTGTTTTGTTGTTGTTGTTGTTTTCTGAGATAGAATCTCACTCTGTCACCCAGGCTGGAGTGTAATGGCGCAGTCTCGGCTCACTGCAACCTCTGCCACCCGAGTTCAAGCAATTCTCGTGGCTCAGCCCCTCCCAAGTAGCTGGGACTACAGGTGCCCACCACCACACCTCGTTAATTTTTTTTTTTTTTTTTTAGTAGAGATGGGATTTCGCATGTTGGCCAGCCTGGTCTTGAACTCCTGACCTCAAGTGATCTGCCGGCCTCAGCCTCCCAAAGTGCTGGGATTACAGGCAAAGTCCTGGGATTACAGATGTGAGCCCCTGTGCCAGGCCCCAGCCACAAATTTAATGCCTTTTCCATCTTAAAGTTTGACATGTGACAGCAAAACTAGCATGAAATTATTTTCCTTCTTCAGTTTCACAGATGGAAGATTCGTTCTTACATCTTAGCAACCTCAGCGTATGATACTTAGTAAGTCGAGAACTTTCACCTTTTCACTTAAAGGAAGCACTCAATGGCTTCTCTTTGGCATATCTGAATGGCCAACATCACTGTTGGTGTGTTTTGGGCCATTAAGTAAAATAAAGGTGACTTGAAATGAGCACGTCGATCCCACGACACTTGAGCTGACGATCAAGACAGCACAGGTGAGTGGGCGGGAGCATGCTCGGCGCGAACGTGCCGGACGGGGCTCGTGTCTCGAGCTGGACAGAGTGAGATTTCATCACCTTACTCAGAACAGCATGCGGTTTAAAACTGACGAATTGTTTGTTTCTGGAAGTTTCCATTTAATATTTTCTGACCTTGGTTGACTGCGGGTGATTGAAATCACAGTGGAACTGCCGATAAGTAGGGGATTTCTGTAATAGGTAACAAATTGGATCCAGGTCAGTGGGTTCAGTTTTCAAACACTTTAGTT
The DNA here is from genome assembly GCF_000001405.40 of Homo sapiens. Lineage (NCBI taxonomy): Eukaryota > Metazoa > Chordata > Mammalia > Primates > Hominidae > Homo > Homo sapiens. The sequence goes on along the minus strand of NC_000007.14, from coordinate 158,808,080 downwards.
ACCCCAATGTTAAGATTTGGGGTATTTCTAATAAAAAAAGGAATGTTTGGCAGACATTTTTCTGCACCTGGAGCTGTGGGGCCTGCTCTCTGGAGAGAGAGGCTGGACGGCCCTACCCCGTGGCGCCATCCTTTTGCGGGTTTGCGCATCCCTCTCAGCGGGCAGCAAGCCTCAGCTCATAGCCTGGCCTCCTTTTTGTTTTTGTGGCCAGTGAACAGCTTTTACATTTTTTAATGGCTGGAAGAAAGTAATTTGTAGGAGGTGAAAATGTTATGAAATTCAAATTTCAGTGACCATATTAAAGTTCTTTTGGAACACAGCCGTGCTCATTAGTTCATACTCCAACTGTGGTTGAGTTGTAGTGACAGAGACCTCATGGCCCGTAAGTGCCCCAGATATTTCCTGTCTGACCCTTTATGGGGAATGTGTAACAGCAAACAGCAGTGAGGCACACAGGCTATAATTGGGAAAGATGTTCTGGAACCTTGGTATCGAACATCCAGTGAAGGTAATGAACATATTCAGGAAAAAAGTACTAGTGTTTTCATGTGTCTGATTATTTACTGTTTCTTCATTGTGTACAAATAAATAATTAAAAAGGAAACAGTAAGTTTTAGGGTGGTAAATTTCCGACCTCCTTCTCATAAGTCGCGATAATTTCCTATCTGCATGAGAATAAAGTTAAGCTCCTAGGAGATACATAAACTTATTTCTTCAAAATGTAAAATTCACAGATAAATTTTAAGTCCGATGTTAATTCTGAATCCATGTAGATAGATTTTTAGTATTCCAGTCACTTCTGTAATTCTTTTTTTTTTTTTTTTTTCCTTCAGACGGAGTCTTGCTCTGTCGCCCAGGCTGGAGTGCAGTGGTGCGATATCGGCTCGCTACAAACCCTGCCTCCCGGGTTCATGCCATTCTCCTGCCTCAGCCTCCTGAGTAGGTGGGACTACAGGCGCCCACCACCACGGTTGGCTAATTTTTTGTATTTTTAGTAGAGACGGGGTTTCAAATAACCCTGTTTTTACAATCTCATGTAGTTTCTCATATATATATATTAGAATAAACTATATATACTATGTATATAGTCACACAAAGCTGGATTCATTTAAGTAGTATACAGAATATATGCAATTAATTCAGTGCTACAATTGCCCATCTATCTTTTAATCCATTCCAGTCAAAACATAAGCGTGTATATTTGAATTAATATTCATTTGATTTAAATTTAAAATAAAAACAACCGGATTGTCTTAGGTGTTTCAGTGGAGGAGATGAGAAGACAGATTTCCTATTCTTGGACTCATTTTAATTTGTGATATTGATGTAACTCATGCCAGAACTTCAGCTTAAATCACGATTATGAAATAATTGTGTGACCTTTCTTTTAGCAGAGACAGGAAAATGTCTAAAGGACTTCAGAATTTTGTGAGAATATGCTTCAAATCTTTGAAAAATATTCTTCACGGACGTGTTTATATGTAAATAAGTCTGTTGACATTAGTGTTTCCATGAAGGGATACCCTGTTCTCCTGAGTAGAAGCTGTGAGGCATCCCTGTTTTGACTCTGCCATTGAATATTAGTCCTGGTTTAAATTCTCCTAATATTTCACGCATGCACTAAAAGGGGGCTTAACCCCTTTAAAAAATAAATGGATAGAGGAAGAGTATATGTCAGATATAACATGAAATTCAGGGTACGTTCTCTTAGGAATTTAAGACTTGGATTTCAAGTGACTTAGACAGCTTTGTTATGAAAGGTATGCTGGGATCAACCTAGTTTTTAAGTTTTTCTTTGACTCTGTTTTCTGATCTACCAGAATAGGTGATGGTCACTTGTCTAATGAAGAAATAGTGATGAAGTGTTGCAAACAGTGAGGAAGCCCTCTCAAGGCCAGTGCCTCCTACGCATTGTGCGCCAGCGCCTCCTACGCGGTGTGCCCCGGCACCTCCCACGCGGTGTGCCCCGGCGCCTCCCACGCGGTGTGCCCCGGCGCCTCCCACGCGGTGTGCCCCGGCGCCGGCTCTGCTGCTAGTGTCCTCCTTCAGGCCAAAAGAGCCCTGTGTCCCTGGGGCCCATGGTGGCCACAGCTGTGGCTCAGCCGTCATTCCTTTCGTGGCAAGAGTCCTTATTTTACACTGTTAAGAGTTTTAGGTGACATAAGAAAGCAACAATTTGCCATAGCTCTGGTAGACAACACCATTTGATTTGTGGTGAGAAAGTCAAGGAGTGACCATGATCACTACCTGTGGTCTCAGTTAAAAACTTCAGGGATATTAGTGTCTTTTCGGATTTCCTAGTGAAATTTCTCATTAATGTAAAAAGCACCTGGGGAGAATTTTGAAAATGTTTTCTGTTAAGAAATGACCTTAAACAGATGGATTTTTAAGCAGTGTCATTGCACCAAAGCATTAGGGTATCCAGTTACTCTGTTGCAGTAATCGAAGCCCATAAACCACAGAGAAAATTACAACCTTGTGGATTTTGGAAAAGATCAATTGCTTTATTTACTGTGTGAATTAATTGATGGCCTGCTTTTTATGTAGACTAGAAATAGATAAAAATGGTTATCTTCTGCAATTTCCTTTTACTATTGGAGGTAGTAATTTGACCATACTGTGACAGCTTATTACAGGGTTGACAGATGTTTTTAGATTCCTCTCTACCTTTTTAACCTTGACTACTTTCTTTGTAGAAGCAACTATTTGGATAAAGCATCCTAATATCTTTGAAAAAAATACCATTTAATCAAGATTTCTAACCTGCTTTTTCAGTTTCCATGAATACTGACCAAAGTCTCTAGAGAAGACAGGCAGATAGGATTTGAGGATCTTGAGGAGGGACAGATAGTTTGGGAGATGAGTAAAGACATTTGATTATACAAAGATCAGAAGGCACAAATTTGTGTTGGTACCAAATTATATTTAAGTCACTCTACTGCTAAGTTCAGCAGCCCAGCTGTGGGGACGAGCAGAGATCCCCACTGATGTGGAGAGCTAACAAGTGCTCCGTCAGATCCTCGTGCCTTACAGTTCTAAACATTGAAGCGCCGTGTGCCTGGAAGTCTCGTCCACTGTCAGGAATACTGTCCCTAATACTTTTTCTCATCGTAATCTGATAATATGAAGAGGTGGCTCTGAGTTGCTTTTCCCCAGGCCCCACAGAAGTGCTTCTCTTCCCTCCAGTGCAGGACACCAGCTTTCTTGGAAAGCACTGAATGAGGCCTTGGGTTTTTCATGCACCTCACCCTTCTCGGCAGCTTGTGTTTTTCACGCGCCTCACCTTTCTCAACAGTTTGGGTTTGTCACACACCTCACCTTTCTCGGCAGTTTGGGTTTATCAAGCGCCTCACTTTTCTCAGCAGTTCGGGTTTGTCACGCGCCTCACCCTTGTCAACAGTTTGGGTTTGTCACGTGCCTCACTTTTCTCAGCACTTTGGGTTTGTCACGCGCCTCACCTTTCTCAGCACTTTGGGTTTGTCACACACCTCACCTTTCTCGGCAGTTTGGGTTTATCACACGCCTCACCCTTCTCGGCAGTTTGGGTTTGTCGCGCGCCTCACTTTTCTCAGCAGTTTGGGTTTGTCACGCGCCTCACCCTTCTCGGCAGTTTGGGTTTGTCACACACCTCACCTTTCTCGGCAGTTTGGGTTTGTCACGTGCCTCACTTTTCTCAACAGTTTGGGTTTGTCACTCGCCTCACCCTTCTCAACGGTTTGGGTTTGTCACGCGCCTCACCCTTCTCGGCGGTTTGGGTTTGTCGCGCGCCTCACCCTTCTCGACGGTTTGGGTTTGTCGCGCGCCTCACCCTTCTCGGCGGTTTGGGTTTGTCGCGCGCCTCACCCTTCTCGGCGGTTTGGGTTTGTCGCGCGCCTCACCCTTCTCGGCGGTTTGGGTTTGTCGCGCGCCTCACCCTTCTCGACGGTTTGGGTTTGTCGCGCGCCTCACCCTTCTCGACGGTTTGGGTTTGTCGCGCGCCTCACCCTTCTCGGCGGTTTGGGTTTGTCGCGCGCCTCACCCTTCTCAACAGTTTGGGTTTGTCGCGCGCCTCACCCTTCTCGACGGTTTGGGTTTGTCGCGCGCCTCACCCTTCTCGACGGTTTGGGTTTGTCGCGCGCCTCACCCTTCTCGACGGTTTGGGTTTGTCGCGCGCCTCACCCTTCTCGGCGGTTTGGGTTTGTCGCGCGCCTCACCCTTCTCCGTGGTTTGGGTTTGTCGCGCGCCTCACCCTTCTCGACGGTTTGGGTTTGTCGCGCGCCTCACCCTTCTCAACGGTTTGGGTTTGTCACGCGCCTCACCCTTCTCGGCGGTTTGGGTTTGTCGCGCGCCTCACCTTTCTCAGCAGTCCCCAAGTCCTGGCTGCTCCAGGAAGGTGTTCTGTGTGTGTTAGAACCTTGGACTCCCTTTTGTTGTGCTGTGTGTGAACCAAAATTTTCTGGGCAGTTTTAACTTTCTGCAAGTCTTTCTGACCATTTGCGCTGACTTTAATTCATATTCAGAGAGAACAATATAAAACATTTTAAATATTTAACGTTTTTAGTATTTCTCCAGACTGAATTATTTGAACGCAGGCCACATCTGTTTAAGTAAACCTGTAGTATGCTGAGTGCTTCCAAGTAAGGGTGTGTTGCTTGCCTAAAGGCTTCTAGAAACCAGAGTTTCCGATTTCTATTGTGATGTAACTGATAAAGAAGAGGCGTCTCATGTTCTTGTAGAACCGAGGTTCTCTGGTCCTTTTTGCCTTATCTGTTCCATTTTTGAGACTGTGTTGATTTTACACAAGGAAACAAAGCTACCCGCTTAGATGTTGTTCATTTTATAGGCTTAACGTAGAACTAGCCAAGTGGTGTAGGAACGTTGGTGTTTTCAGATGGCCAGTAAATGGGTGACCCTCTCACTTAGGTGTGCTCCGGGGAACGGCGCGTTGGCCCCCACCTATGCTGGTGGGGCCTGCCCCAGGGCACACTCTCGATTGCTGTGCCAGGGACTCAGATTCCTTCTTCCTTCCCCTTTAGTTGTGGTCTAAGAGAGGGAAAGAATTCTTCCTTGCAACCAACCATTGCTTCCAGTAAGAATTTTGTGTGTTTTGTTTTTTTCTTTTTAAAATAGTGCCTAAAGGGTTATGCAGCATTGAGCAAAGCTCAAATCCTTCTTGGAATGAGGAAGAATCTTGAATAAATGAACTTGATTGGCAAGTTCATGATTTCATGTTTAGTGGCATTTTGTTTCTAAAAGAATCATTTTATCCATTTATCTTTTAAATTTTACTTAAAGGTATTAAATCAGCAATGCCTCAGGTGTAGCATCTTTCTTCATATTGTCTCAGACATTACCTATCTAAACTTATTCTAGGCTATTAATTTTTAAAGAGGAATGAGTCAGCAGAATTGATACTGCATGTTTCAGTGTTACTAATGTTAATGGAATTTTAAAATAACTCCTCTACATTCCCTGTCAAGTGCCTGCTGTACTTTTTTTTGTAATTAAAAGTGCTTATATCAGCCTGGTGTGGTGGCTCATGCCTGTAATCCCAGCACTTTTAGAGCCCGAGGCAGAGGGATCACTTGAGGCCAGGAGTTTGAGACCAGCGTGGCCAACATGGCAAAACCCTGTCTCTACTAAAACTACAAAAATTAGCCACTTGTGGTGGCGGGCACCTGTAGTCCCAGCTACTCGAGAGGCAGGAGAATTGCTTGAACCCGGGAGGAGGAGGTTGTAGTGAGCTGAGATCGTGCCACTGCACTCCAGCCTGAGTGACGGAGTTAGACTCCATCTCAAAAAAAAAAATGCTTATATCGTGCATAGGACATGGAATTTATGAACAATAAAATCCTGTGCAAGTTCTGATTGTTAATACTGGTCTTCAAGGGGAATGTTGTTTGAAGAAAGACATTCCTTTTACTTAATTTTTGTTTTAAATGTTAGCTGTCAATTTTTTTATGTTTGGATATAGGAAGAATATGATTTAATTGGCAAGAAAATTTTGACCAGTTATGTCAATTCCATCCTGTATACTTCAGCAGGGCATAGCAGGAAGGACTCTGGAGTCCTTTGGGTCTGGATCTCTTTATTCTACCTGTTCCCCCGAGGCGTTTTGTTTTCTGTTAGATGGAGCCACTAATTGTTCAAAGGTTCTGGTGAGGATTAAACAAAATATTGTATGTAGAGTTCCTGGAGCACAGTTAAATGTTCTGTCTTTGTATATTTGGTTTAATTTTTCTAAACAAAACAACTTTGGTAATAGCAGCGTATTAGAATCTAAAATACGCCTTTGTTCTTTTAAAAGATAACATTAAAGAGATTTTTGCGGGTGGTGTCAACTCAAATATAATAGAAACGTGAATAATCGTACAATGATTATTTCTAGTTCATACAGATAATATAAATATTGAAATTTGTTTTATAATTAGAACTTAAGAGAGATTTGAGTCTTTAAGTTGAAAGATAAGATTTAAAACCGAATCTGTGTTCCTGTGTTCCTGTGTGATTGAGGACTGTGTTTTCTGTGATCCCTGTGTGTCCCAGTCTTTCTCTGTGATGTTTTTGCTACTTTAGATTCTGTTTTATGCAAAATAAGCAAATGTTTATGAATATGTATTAGCGAGAAGCAGATTTTTGACTTAGTGAACAGAATTTAAAATTTCGTAACAGATTTGCTTTGTTCAAATCTGATATATTCTCTTTCTCTTTTTCTTTAGCACATTGGGATAATCACTCATAGATGAAAAACCTCAGAACTATTGAATGCCTTGGGATAACACTACTAAGAGACGGCTCGATTTTCAAAGCCACTTTGTGTAAATTCTAATACAAGCCAGTTAACCAGTAAATTCTAATACAAGCCAGTTCACTTATATTCAAAGCTTATTTGGGCAGAGGGTTTCTCTGTTCATTCCAGAATAGAATGGGGCACTACAGGCAGCTCCTCCCGTGCTCCTGTCCATCACTGCCTCACTGCAGGCTTGGGTGCCGCCGCCTCCGACGCTCCTGCCCATCACTGCCTCACTGCAGGCATGGGTGCCGCCTCCTCCCGTGCTCGTGTCCATCACTGCCTCACTGCACGTGCTTTCTGTGCCACTCGGGGGGTGCTGATGTCACCACACAGGCAAGGGTTGGCACCCATGCCTACAGTGAGGCAGTGATGGACAACATGGTGAAACCCCATCTCTACTAAAAATACAAAAATTAGCAGGGTGTGGCGGTACCCGCCTGTAATCCCAGCTTCTCGGGAGGCTGAGGCAGGAGAATCACTTGAACCTGGGAGGTGGAGGTTGTGGCGAGTCGAGATCGTGCCACTGCACTCCAGCGTCGATGACAGAGGGAGAGTCTGTCTCAAAAAAAAAAAAGAAAAGAAAAGAAAAAAGAAAAAGAAACCTATTTAAAAAAAAGTGGACTGGGCACAGTGGCTCACACTTGTAATTCCAACACAGGGGGAGGCTGAGGCAGGAGGATTGCTTGAGGCCAGATGTTCAAGACAAGCCTAGACAACATAGTGAGATCCTGTCTCTAAAAAAATTTAAAAATTAGCCAGTTGGCACATGCCTGTAGTCCCAGTCCCAGCTACTCAGGAAGCTGAGGCGGGAGGATCACTTTGGCCCAGGAGTTCCAGGCTGCAGTGAGCCGTGATTGAACTACTGCTCTCCAGCCTGAGTGACAGAGTGAGACCCTGTCTCTGGATTTAAAAAAAGAAAGAAAATATTTTCTCTGCCATTGGGGCTAAAATAAAATATCCTTGGCCGGGATCGGTGGCTCACACCTATAATCTCAGCACTTTGGGAGGCAGAGGCAGGCGGATCACGAGGTCAAGAGATCGAGACCATCCTGGCCAACATGGTGAAACCCCATCTCTACTAAAAATACAAAAATTAGCCAGGCGTGGTGGTAGGTGCCTGCAATCCCAGCTACTCAGGAGGCTGAGGTAGGAGAATCACTTGAACCCGGGAGGCGGAGGTTGCAGTGAGCCGAGATCGCGCCACTGCACTCCAGCCTGGTGACAGTGAGACTCTGTCTCAAAAAAAAAAAAAAATTAAGAGGCCACATAGTCTTAAAAATATCATACGCATATGCAAATGTGTATAGAAACATGTCTAATGTAAGTTATACATGCTTATAAACGCATAGAAAAGAGGTTTGCAAGAATATGTTGGCCAGGCTGGTCTTGAACTGCTGGCTTTAAGTAATCCTCAGCCTCCCAAAGTGTTGGGGTTACAGGCATGAGCCACCATGCCTGGCCCTAAATAGGTTTCTTTTCTCCTGTACAAACCCTTCTCCAGTATCCAGGCCCTACCTGGAGAATTGTAAGAGGGATCCCTATCTGGGTGAAGGTGGGAGATGATGGTATGGAGAGGAGCCATGTAAGGAAAGGTGTCTCTTAGCTGGTTTGGGCCAAAAGAGAAAAGCAAAAGGGAAGAGTGAATTTTATTTTAGTTTATATTTTGTTACTTTATTTTATGGAGTCTCATTATGTTGTCCAGACTAGGGTGCAGCACTAATCACAGGCATGGTTGTAGCACATTGCAGACAAGCTCCTGGGCTCAAGGGATCCTCCTACCTCAGCCTCCTGAGTACCTGGGACTTGCAGGTTTGGGCCACCACGGCTGGCCTGGGAAGGGTAGGGGCTCTGAGCCTAGATTGCCAGGACATGATGATAATACTACTGACAAATTAGAAACATGTTTTTTTAAAAAGGTAGAGGTCAGTTTTGTATAATTTATGATGTTTCAGATTCCAGTGAATTTCCTCTGGACAGTGGGGTGCAGAGAAGACTCTGATGGCATTTTCCACACACAACTTTTTTGCTCATTGTGTTCTCAGAACGTAAAGAGCTGGGGTGCCATGCATTTCACTTTCCCTCCTTGGAGACCAGTTTCCCAAGCTTTAGAGCAGAGTGTTTTAAAGAAGCATCTTGTAAACATAGGACGTATGATGAGAATATGAAATTGCCTGCTTGACATTTTATTTACAGTTGTTGGGAGTTAATAAGTCATATGTGTGTATTTTCCTCCTAGGTTCATTTTCCAGACACTGAAAGAGCAGAATGGCTAAATAAGGTAAGATTAGAGTATACCAACTACCATCCATCAGTGGAATTGGAGGATGAGATACCATCTTTCCATATTTGGGGATTTGCATGTTGGTAATATTTGAGCTCGTTTGGACTTTAGTGGGTTGGCTTCTGGTCCCCAAAGACCTCAGTCACAACAAATGCATTTCTTTTCTTTCCAGAGAGTGAGAACTGTCTCTTTGACTTGAGAAAAGTATAGGCATGTGCATATTTGTGTCTCTGGCCATGTGTCTTCTTTTCTGAACAGCCAGGGCTCAAGTCTATTTTATAACAATCATAAGTTTTAAAAAACATGACAAAGAAAGAAATAACTTACAAGAAATTCAATAATCAATAACAGTCTTTTTTTTTTTTTTTTTTTTTTTTTTTTGAGACGGAGCTTCACTCTTGTTGCCCAGGCTGGAGTGCAATGGCATGATCTCGGTTCACCACAACCTCCACCTCTTGGGTTCAAGTGATTCTCCTGCCTCAGCCTCCCGAGTAGCTGGGATTACAGGCACGCACCACCACGCCTGGCTAATTTTGTATTTTTAGTAGAGATGGAGTTTCTCCATGTTGGTCAGGCTGGTCTCAAACTCCCGACCTCAGATGATCCACCCGCTTCAGCCTCCCAAATGCTGGGATTACAATTGAAGAACTATATAAATATTAATGTTGTTTTCAGCACCAAGTTGAAACCACAGGACTTCTAGAAATCTTTAAATGTGCTGACATATTTAACCAGAATAACTAGTTCCTGCAACATATTGGTTAATCAGTAGTTGGTTTTTCTAATAACTTTTTAGAATTTAGATCATGTTGATTTTGCATAACAACAAGATCCTCCCGCCCTTTATTTTCAAAACCAGGTTTGGTCTGTTGCGAGGGTTTCTCACGAGCACTCGTGTGTGTCATGCATTATATAGCATTTTGTTTAAACTGAGTTCTTTTTCCTTTCCAGACTGTAAAACACATGTGGCCTTTCATTTGCCAATTTATAGAGAAGTTGTTTCGAGAAACTATAGAACCAGCCGTGCGGGGAGCAAACACCCACCTTAGCACCTTTAGTTTCACGAAGGTCGACGTGGGCCAGCAGGTCAGTGTTCTCTTAAGTATCCTCACGTGCACACAGTCAGATTGCTGTGAAAACACAAAACAACACATTTTCTTTTTTTTTTTTTCTTGAGACGGAGTCTCGCTCTGTTGCCCAGGCTGGAGTGCAGTGGCACTATCTTGGCTCACTGCAAACTCTGCCTCCCAGGTTCACACTATTCTCCTGCCTCAGCCTCCCGAGTAGCTGGGACTACAGGCGCCCTCCACCACGCCCGGCTAATTTTTTGTATTTTTAGTAGAGACGGGGTTTCACCATGTTACCAGGATGGTCTCGATCTCCTGACCTCATGATCTGCCTGCTTCAGCCTCCCAAAGTGCTGGGACTACAGGTGTGAGCCACCGCGCCTGGCCGAAAAACACATTTTCTTTTAAATTTTTTTTTTTCAGACGGGGCCTCACTATGTTGCCCTCCCTGGCCTCAGACTCCTAGGCTCAAGTGATCTTCCTGCCTCAGCCTCCCAGCTAGCTGGGTATATGTTTTTTAAACAACTTCAGCTGGAAGCAGTGGCTCATGCTTGTGACCCCAGCACTTTGGGAGGCCTGAGCTTAAGAGTTTGAGACCAGCCTGGGCAACAAAGTGGGACTCCGTCTCTACAAAAAAATTTAAAAGTTAGCTGGGTGTGGTGGTGCACGTATATGGTCAGAACTACATAGAAGGCTGAGGCAGGAGGATCACTTGAGCCCCAGGAGGTGGAGAGTGCAGTGAGCCATGATCACACTACGGCATTCCAGCCTGAGTGACAGAGCGAGACCCTATTTCAAAAAACAGACAGCTTCAAATTATGTTCTGAAGAAAATTGTTCACCAAGGTCTACCGGGTGCGTTTCTCACTCAGGCTCTGCCTCCAGCCGTGGTGCCTTTTCCCGTCTCTGTCGGGAGGCTGTCCTGCTGCCCTCTCGCCTGCAGTGCCCTTTCCCGTCTGTCGGGAGGCTGTCCTGCTGCCCTCTCGCCTGTGGTGCCCCTTCCTGTCTCTGTCACTCAGGCTCTGCCTCCAGCCGTGGTGCCTTTTCCCGTCTCTGTCGGGAGGCCTTCCGGCTGCCCACTCGCCTGCAGTGCCCTTTCCTGTCTGTTGGGAGGCTGTCTTGTTGCCCTCTCGCCTGCAGTGCCCCTTCCTGTCTGTCACTCAGGCTCTGCCTCCCGCCGCGGTGCCTTTTCCCGTCTCTCCTGGGAGACCGTCCTGCTTCCCTCTCGCCCGCACTGCCCCTTCCCATCTGCCGGGAGGCCATCCTGCTGCCTTCTTGTCCGCGGTGCCGTCTTGGCCATGTCAGCCTCCGTCTCATGGCTTCTCTTTAACACTGACTTTTTCTCCACCACGTGTCTTTCTGCTCCACGTTCTTCTGTCAGCACGCCCTTTTCGGAAGCACTAGTTTTAAGTAGTCTTTCCTGTGAGCGAGTTTGATATGTGAATTCATGCTAAATGTGCAGTAATTGACAAGTTTAAGGTGTTTACCCCTCTCGGGATGTTAAAAAACAAAACTACTAATGACTCTAATGCTGGTATGTTAGGTACAACATTCATTACGTAAGTGGAAGAAAAGATGGATTTTGTTAATGGAGTCACATTATATAAAAAGGAAAGCTGATACTTCCTAATACCACCTTTCATAAAAGCCTCAAGAGTACATTTAGTTGATCATGGGAAGTTTTTCTTTTTCTATTTTTAAATCAGTGTTTAAGTAGCAACAGTCCAAGGTAACATTGTTTTATATGCCTAAAGACTCAGAACGTGATAGTTCTTGTAAACACACACACAGTCTGCACACGTTGTTGCACACACAGCAGAGTCAGCAAACAGACATCCCCGTGCAGTGCGGTTCAGGGTTGTGATAGATGTGGCTGTGGGAGGGTCTGGCATGGTCACTGTGTATTTGCCACCTGTTAGTGGGCACCAGTGTACACCCCATGATCTCCAGGCTGCTGGCTACCTTTCTCCATCAGAGCTGACTTTCTGTGTGCAGAGAATGCTCTGTCTCAGAAGCAGTTACTCCAGACCCCGTGCCTCCTGTGCAGCCTTACGTGTGACACCTGCCTGTATGTGCTGCTGCTTTTCCTGTGACATGCCTGAGGTGTGGCCATCCTGTGCAAGAGTCCATGTCTCTACACAGGACGCCCGTAGGACGAGCCCATGTCTCTACACGGGACGCCTGTAGGACACTTTCAGTGTTGACTTTACCTTCAACACCTAAAATGGTAACCACAGATGGGAAAAAACACAATTACAAGTTAAAGTGCCATGTGAGTGCAGGTTAAAGTCCCAGTGACAAGTTAAATGCTGTAAAGCAGGGGCTGCATGCTCTGTCTGTACATGGCCGCAGGGGCTGCATGCTCTGTCTGTACGTGGCCGCAGGGGCTGCATTGTCCTGCTGTCTCTCCCTCCCTTCTTCTACAGCCCTTTAGCCAGGTGAAAACCATACTAGCTCCAGGGCTGTAGAGTCAGGCCAAAGGCACATTTAGCCTGTTATGCCCTAAGTTACAGCATGTTCGTGTTTGTGGATATTTAAAATTCCATCTCAGCTGGGTTTATTTTAGGAATAATTTAATTATGTTTGAGTTCCATCACACACACTTTAAGTTTGATACCAGCTGAATAAGGAAATCCTTGGAGAATAGCAAGAGTATTAAGAGGAGTGCTGATTCAATAAAGATAGCTTTGGCATTTTCATCTACTGTACCAATGTCTTACAAGTGTCAAACCCAGGCTTTCTGATGAAGGGATGGATAGAATGGCATGTGGAGTCCTGTGCAGGGTCCTTGGCCAGACTGTGTGCTGACCAAGACTCCCGGCAGCTGGGCAATGTTGCCTTCTGGTGTTTGTCCTTCATTAGGTAATGCCCAGTCATCTGGAGTGGGGTTGGTCCCCTCATCTCCACGTCATTTGGGGAGTATGTTATCTGATGCACATCATGCCTGCCCCATTTTCACTTATTAGAATAGTGTGTTGATTGTGTTTTTTAGTGCAGTCTGTACATGGCTTAGCTAGTACCATAAAGAAAAAGCCTGGGAACTTGGGAGCATAGGAGGTGGCTAGACTTTCAAGTAAAGGCTTAGAGTTTGATTTGACAGCTCGTTGAGAGGTGTGATTTTAATACACTCATGCTTGTCAAAGTAAGCAGTAGTACTCTAAAGGTAAAGTGCTTCTTTCATTTTTGAGACAGGGTCTTACTCTGTCACCCAGGCTGGAGTACAGTGGCGTGATCACCACCGACTGCAACCTTACCCCCCCGGGCTCAGTGGATTCCCCCTACCACAGCCTCCCGAGTAGCTGGGACTACAGGTGCACGCCACCACGCCTGGGGAGTTTTTGTAGAGATGGGGGTCTCCACTCAGGCTGGTCTCAAACTCTTAGGCTCAAGTGTTTCTTCCGCCTCCACCTGCCAAAGTGCGGGGATTACAGCTTTGAGCCATTGTGCCCAGTTTTGTTTTGTTTTTAAGAGATGGGGGTTCACTCTGTTGCCTAGTCAGGAGTGCAGTGGCACAATCATAGCTCACTGCAGCCTCAAACTCCTGTGCTCAAGCAATCTCCCCACCTCAGCCTCCTAAGTAGCTAGAACCACAGGTGTGCGCTACCATCTTAGCTAATTTTTTTTACTTTTTGTAGAGATAGGGTTTTAACCATGTTGCCCAGGCTGGTTTAAACCTTCTGGCTTCAAGCAGTCCTCTGCCTTGGTATCCCAAAGTGTTGGAATTACAGACCTGAGCGGCCACGCCTGGGCGTGAAAGTCTTAAGAAATGAAAAATTATGAGACATAAAGAATAAATGAAAGGAAGTTATGTTTCAAACATGGTAGTAAGGATGGAGTAGAGGGAAAGGGTCAAGTTAGATGTGAAGAGACGAGAGTAAGAAGCTTGAAAAGAGCACATACGTATTGTTACATGTGCTGACAACAGCAATCATACCCAGTGCTTATTAACTGCTGTGGGCAAGGCATGCACTGCTGTCTTGACATTTATTTTGTCACCTAATTTCACAGTAATCTTATGAAACAGAGGCCCTTGTTTTCTGCAGCTCACGGGAGGAAGGTGAGGAACAGGTGTTAAATAGCTGAAAATCAAGCCACACTCTGTTATGAAGGCAGAATTTTAATTCCTGTTGTAGTCTGAAATTTAAAGCTTGTTCTGTTTGTCTCTATGGTATGTTACACGGTTTGATTTTTTTTTTTAACCTCTGTATCTTAAAATAAGCTACTTCTTATTTCAGCCCCTCAGGATCAATGGTGTTAAGGTATACACTGAAAATGTAGACAAAAGGCAAATTATTTTGGACCTTCAGATTAGGTAAGTTTTTATTTGTTATATTTGTGTTATGGTTAATGGCGTGTAATGTCACTTAGCTGTACCTGTAAGGTGGAGGATACAGTGAGCACACGTCTTACCTGCTGTTGATTGGAATTCGACTAAATTCTTGTTAGACATCCAAATATTATTTACCTTCTGGGTCTCAGTTTCTAACAGCCTTGATCATTGCCATTCATAAAATATGTTAAATAAGAAGTTAAAGACACTGCAAAAAAAGAAAACTATGGACCAATATTCTTTATGAACATTGATAAAATCCTTAACAAAATACTAGCAAACTGAATTCGGCAGCATATTAAAAAGATTTTACACCATGACCAAGTAGGATTTATTCCCAGAATGCAAAGATAATTCAGCATACAAAAATTTGTCGATGTAACACACCACATTAAAAGGAAGGAAAAAACCAAATCGTGATTATCTCAGTTGATGGAGAAAAAGCATTTAACAAAATTCAATACCCTTTCATGATAAAAACACTGAATGAACTAGGAATAGAAGGAAACTAACTCAACATAATAAAAACCATATAAGAAAACCCCACAGTTAACATACTCAGTGGGCCGGGCGTGGTGGCTCATGCCTGTAATCCCAGCAATTTGGAAGGCCGAGGCGGGCGGATCACGAGGTCAGGAGATCAGGACCATCGTGGCTAACATGGTGAAACCCCGTCTCTACTAAAAATACAAAAAATTAGCCAGGCGTGGTGGTGGGCGCCTGTAGTCCCAGCTACTCGGGAGGCTGAGGCAGGAGAGTGGTGTGAACCTGGGAGGCGGAGCTTGCAGTGAGCCGAGATCATGCCACTGCGCTCCAGCCTGGGGGACAGAGCGAGACTCCATCTCAAAAAAAAAAAAAAAAAAAAAACCCCACGTTATACTCAGTGGTTAAAAACTGAAAGCTTTTTCTTTAAAATCAGGAACACTGCAAGAATGCCCTCTTTCACTACTTCTCTTCAACACAATATTGTGAGTTCTAGTTGGAGCAGTTAGGCAAGAGAAAGAAATAAAGGGCACCCAGGCTGGAAAGGAAGAAAGACATTATATATATATATTTATATATATGTATGTGTGTTTTTGTTTGGTTGGTTTTTTTTTTGTTTTTGACACAGGGTCTTGCCTTATCACTCAGGCTGGAGTGCAGTGGCGCAGTCTTGGCTCACTGCAGCTTCGACCTCCCAGAATCAAGCGATCCTCTCACCTCAGCCTGCCGAGTAGCTGAGACTACAGGTGCATGCCACCACGTGTGGCTAATTTTTTTATTTTTTTTTTGTAGAGATGGGGTTTCACCATGTTTCTCAGGCTAGTCTCGAACTCCTGGGCTCAAGTGATCCACTCACCTTGGCCTCCCGAAGCTCTGGGATCACAGGCGTGAGCGACTGCACCCAGGGGAAGGAATTAATCTTTGTTTACAGTTGAGATGATCTCATATGTAGAAAACCCTAAAGATCCCACCAAAAAAAAAAAAAAAAGAACTCGTGGAACTAAGAAATAAATTCAGGAAAGTAGCCGGATACAAAGTGAACACACTAAAATCAATTGCATTTTTATACACTAACAATTAACAATCCCAAAAGAAAATGAAGGAAACAATTTCATTTGTAATAGAATCAAAAAGAATAAAATACTTAGGAATAAACTAAGGAGGAGAAAACTAAAATATTGCTGAAAGAAATCAAAGAAGATACAAATAAATAGAAAAACATTCTACCTTAATGGATTAGAAGACTTAATATTGTTAAGATGTTACTACTACCTAAAGCAATCCCAGATTTAATGCAGTCCCTATAATCATGAATCCGATAAGCAGTCATCATCCAGGATATATAGAGAACTCCTGAAATTCAACAACAGAACAACCAAACAGCCCTATTCAAAAATGTGGAAAGAACTTGAACAGACATTTCTCCAGGGATGATACAGAAATGGCTAGGAAGCACATGGAAAGATACTGACCATCACTAACCATTAGGAAAATGCAAATCTAGACCGTAATGAAATACCACCTAACACCTATTAGAAAGGCTACTGTCAAAAGAAACCCAGAAAATAACAGGTGTTGGTGAGATGTGGAGAAATTGGAACCTTTGTGCACTGTTGGTAGAAATGTGAAATGGTACAGCTGCTGTGGAAACAGTTCCTCAAAACCTTAAACATAAAATTACCATGTGATCCAGAAATCCCGCCTCTGTGTACATACCCGAAAGAATTGAAAGCCGGGACTTGAGCAGATATTTGCACACCCACATTCTTAGCAGCATTTTTTACAATAGCTACAAGGCGGAAGCAGCCCAAGGATGCGTGGGCCGATGAATGGATAAGCAGAATGTGGCCTGTACACCTTAGAAACACGGGACTCCTGCTCCAGGCCGCCACATGCTGGACCTTGAGGACCTTATGCTGAAGGAAACAAGCCAGACACAAAGGGACAGCGTCTGCATAATTGCACTTGTGTGAGGTTTCTGGGGGAGTCAAACTCATAGACAGAAGCGGAATGGTGGTTGCCAGGGCCTGGGAGCAGAAGGAATGGGGAGTTAGTGTTTAATGGGGGGAGAGTGTTCGTTTTGCAAGTTGAAAAATGGTCCGGAGACGGATGGTGGTGATGGTTGCACGTTATGGATGTGTTTAGTACCACTGAGTTGTACACTTAAAAATGATTATGAGGGTAGATTTTTGGGGTGTTAATTAATTCATTTATTTATTTTGAGACAGAGTCTCACTCTGTTGTCCAGGCTGGAGTGCAATGGCACGATCTTGGCTCACTGCAACCTCCGCCTCCTGGATTCAAGCAATTCTCCTGCCTCAGCCTCCTGAGTAGCTGGGATTACAGGCACATGCCACCATGCCTGACTAATTTTTATGCTTTTAGTAGAGACAAGGTTTCCACCTTGTTGGCCAGGCTGGTCTAAAACTCCTGACCTCAAGTGATCCGCCTGCCTCGGCCTCCCAAAGTGCTAGGATTACAGGCATGAGCCACCATGCCCAGCCAAATTTTTGTGTATTTTAATACAGTGTTTTACATTGGAAAAAAACAGAAATTGAAGATCTGCCAACTGCCATGCCTAGCATAATAAAAATGGGCTTCCTTCCCCCCACACCCCCCATAGGGTCTCGCTCTGTCACCCGGGCTGGAGGGCAGTGATGCAGCTGTGGCTTAAAAGCGGGCTTCTCTTGTCCTTCATCCTCATTCTTCCTTGAGCTTGCTCAGGGCTTCCTGCTCCACGTGGGGCCTCACAACACGCTGTGTGTGGTGCCCAGTGAGTACTGTGCACTCAGAACAACCATGTAGTGTCTAGCAACTCAGAGTTGTGTGCTGTT
Organism: Homo sapiens; assembly: GCF_000001405.40. Taxonomy (NCBI): domain Eukaryota; kingdom Metazoa; phylum Chordata; class Mammalia; order Primates; family Hominidae; genus Homo; species Homo sapiens. The sequence continues at coordinate 158,790,314 of NC_000007.14, read as the reverse complement.
TTTGATCCTTTACTAAGGATCATTTTATTAAAATGATCATCTTTGAGTTTACAAAGTATTTAAATATAGTGAATGTACAAAGTTGGTACCAAGTTACCTTTATTTCAGAAAGAAGCATAGACTTTCTTTAATATGGAAAAATCTGCCTCTTTAAAATATTTGGTGCTAGGGCAAACACCATTGTCATCAGTGGAATAAAGGAGGAGGCCCACGTATGTCTCGGGTCAGGCAGTGCCCCAGGAGGACGCTCCGCCCCCAGGAGGACGCTCCGCCCCCAGGAGGACTCTCCCCACTGGGCTGATACCAGGCTTCGTGAGGGTCGGAGCCTTGTGCTGTTGTCCAGTGTCCCCAGCACCGAGCGAGTTTGAGTCCATCAGTCAGTGGATGCCATTTTGAAGGTGCAGTCTGGTTTCATGGTTAGCTGCCATAACATATGCCAAGTATCCTGCTCACATTTACGTCTCTGAACAAATACGCATCAGTCTGGTTTCATGGTTAGCTGCCGTAACATATGCCAAGTATCCTGCTCAGATTTATGTCTCTGAACAAATATGCATTCTGCTTTGTTGTGAGTTCCAGACAAGCACTTTAACCAAATTGGCAGGCAGTAGAGATAGGGAAGGAGTAATTGAAAAGTATTAGAAAATAAAATGATCCAGGCCAGGTGCGGTGGCTCATGCCTGTTAATTCCAGCAGTTTGAAAGGCCCAGGTGGGTGGATCCCTTGAGGTTAGGATTTCAAGACCACCTTGGCCAACATGGTGAAACCCCATCTCTACTAAAAATACAAAAATTAATTAGCGTAGTGGCACACACCTGTAATCCCAGCTACTCGGAAGGCTGAGGCAGGAGAATCACCTGAACCCAGATAGCGGCCGTTGCAGTGAGTCATCATTGCACCACTGTACTCCAGCCTCGGCAACAGAGCGAGACTCCATCTCAAAAAAAAAGAAAAGAAAATGATCAAGTCATAGAATGAAGAAAAGGAAAGTTTTTTTAATAGTTTCGCAACAGGTTAGTGGTGATTTTACCAACTAGGTAGAGAGTAATTCTCAATGAGAGGAATCTGTAGGTATTGGCTTTAACACCAGGACAATAAATATTGGAAGAAACTTATCCCAGATTCCTTTTGTTACTATTTTGCTTATCTGCTTAGACATTCCCTTTCTAGCATTTATCAAACTTACCAACAAACATTGTCAGGTAGGAGTGTGACATCCTACCTCCAAGAGCCAAGGGTTGGGTTCAGGTCCTACACTAACCCATGGAAAAAGTATTTGACATTTCATGTTTATATTAAAAACAGGTGCAAATCTTGCCTTTAGCATTATGTTTGTTTCATATTAATATTTGAAATGACTTAATCATTGAGTAAAATTGAGGCCCCAAACAGATACACTGTTTCTAGTCTTTGATGTTATAGAGGCCTAGGGCACTGTGAGATTTATCATGATTGGGAAGCAAGGTGTGAAATTTATTTGTGTGAAATAAAATTAAACTTTTTAATGTTTAAACATCAGATTTATAAGGTAAGAAAACTACATTGCATCAAAAGACTGCTTCAGAAGTTGCAGTTTGTTATTCGCATCTTCTTTTGAACATGGACATTTATATTTAGTTAAGTGTTTTATATATAAGACCAACAACAACCACAGCCATTGATTGATTGATTGAGAGTATTCCTCCCAACGTCATAGCAGTGTTGGATCTGATAACAGCCTGCACACCTGGAGCAGTAAAATACTATAATTTGATGGGCCACATTTTAGGGTTTTTACCTACAATCTGATTTGGTTGCTTTACTATCATTTTATTCAGATTATACATCTTGCAGGTCTATAATGATTAAGAGAATAGTTCATTTCACTTACATCATGTAATGCAGAATTTTTTGTTAGTTTTGTAGGAAATTGTGAGATTGATTTGGAGATCAAACGATATTTTTGTAGAGCTGGTGTGAAAAGTATCCAGGTAAGTTTTTTGTTTTTTTGTTTTAATTTGACAGTTTTCTAAAGTTCTCTAAGCTGTATTCAAAAATAAAATTAGGAAGTTTTTTTAGCTTGGAATTTTTTTGACGTTCAGTTTTTAGCTGTAGGTCATAGTTGAGATAAATAAGAAGTCACATGCTCAAAAGTTACTAAGATTCGCATGCAAACTCCTTGCGTTAAGCGGCCCTGCAGAATGTTTTCTATTACATATTTTGGTTTCCTGTTTGAGTTTAGATTCATGGTACCATGCGGGTGATCCTGGAACCGTTGATTGGAGATATGCCCTTAGTTGGAGCTTTGTCTATCTTCTTCCTTAGGAAACCAGTAAGTCAATATTTATTTCATTTTTATTTTCCCATTTGGTGGCAAAAATACATACCCGTGGAAGAATATATAAAGTGGAGAAACAAAATTTTATCAACTCACCGTTGTCCCTTTCTGTTGTGTGAATCCTGTGGGAGTTTTTTGTATTTCTTTGTGCCTTAACTGAGAGCTTATCTCTTGATAAACAGCTCTCTTTCCTGATTATAAAAATGTTACAAAAATTTGGAAACATGGACTTCTTCAGAAGGGTGGGTCTTAGCTCACATTTTATTCACCACCTCACTGAATATGATTTATAGATATTTGCTCATTTAATCCTCATGACTCTAAAGCTAAATGTTAACATTGTTTTCTCTTACTGTTCAGAAACTGAGATTTTGAAAGTCTTATTTTTCCAAGTCACACAATTAATAAGAGCCTGTATACAGATCCAGTTTAGTCTGATACAGAGCTCATGTTCCTGAACACTTTGTTGAGAAGACTCATCTGTAAACCTCCCTCTTCTCCCTTCCAGAGATAAGGGCTGCTGTCATTAGCATGCATCTCCTTCCTCTTTTGGGGTGTGTTTAATGAACTGTACACACAGTTTTATATACAGGTTGAATGTTATCGGAGATGCTTGGGACCAGATTTGTTTCAGGTTTTGTAATATTTGCGTTAGACTCCAGTGAGTATTTCCTTTGAGCATGATGCTAGTACTCAAAAAGTTTCTTATATTGAAGCATTTTGGATTTTTAGATTAGGGATGTGGAACGTATACTGTGTTGTTGTTGCTGCTGTTTTACAGTAGTTAATACTATTTGTTATTTCCCACAAAACCAAGACAACAGAACTGTTACTCCCACCAGACAAACTCCTTCCTCCTTCCCTGGGCTCCTGCAGCCTCTGTCCAGCGTCTCCCTTTGCTGCCCTCCGTGTTCATTGTGCTCCTGGTCATCTTCTCCAGGTGCACACTGCCCATATGGTTGTCTGTATCAGCCCACACCTCGCCACTACCTCCCTGTGCCTTTTTCTTTGCCGCAGAAGGCTTTCTTCACCCCTTTTGTTTCACTTTTGTGAAACTTTCTTCGCCCCTTTTGTTTCAGCAATTTCTGCACAGTTATTGTTAGCTCTTTGAAAGCAAGGATCATAACTGTCTCCTTAGAGTCTGGCAAATGAATGATGCAAGATGTGCCATTGATGAGTCCTTTATGGAAGTACCTTCAACATCATTTGTAATTTAAAGTAGGAATATTAATTCATATAATTTGATTCAAATAACTGATTAAAAATTGTCATTTGGCTTTTAAAATACGGGTTTATCTACACCTGACATAAACTAAGTTTACTACAGCTTGTACTTTTTCTGTATAAAAACAAAAGAATTAAGTGTCATCACTTTCTGTTATGAATAAAATAATTGTTCTGATTTTCTTATTACTGAAAGAATGGGCTTATTTTGAATCGATTTTAAGTACACGAAACATGGGAACGTCCAAAAACTCCTAGGTCATCTCTGTCAAATTTTACTGTTAAAATTAAATTTTACTATTCAGGAAGTTAAGAGATTCATAAGATTTAAAATTAATGTGTTTTTTTTCCCATACCAGTCATTAAAAGTCCTCTATGTTTAAGAAACGAACTTCATTAGTGACCAAAAAAACCTCAGTAATCTTAACAAATTGCTAAGTATTTTTAACTTACCCATCTTTAGCCAGGGACATTTTTAACAATTTAGAGAAAGACCTTTTTAAAAAGTTCATTTCAGAATGTAACGAAATCCAAATCTTTAAATCTTCTTCAAAATTTAATAGTGCTGTTACTTAGTTTGGATCTTCCATTGATGACTTTACTTTTAAAATAACGTATTAACTTCCAAATGAAATTTAGTGCTCAGAAAAGAAGGATGGGGCTGAGAAGTTCAGAGTCACTCATTTCCTTATATGGTGAGTAAAGTCATCAAACGTACTCCAGTGAAAAGGAAAATTTTCAGTTTATTTTACTGGAAAATATGAGAACAGAGTTACAGCTGGCTGCCAAGTAATTCCTCCTCATCCTGGTGAAAGATATTTCTAGAAAGGTTTTTATTTTGTGGGTTTTTTAAATTTCTTTCTACTATTTGGATGATTTAGAAACCCTTACGAAACCTTTATACATTTTTCTACTTGTTGGCTTGTTTAGTTTTTATAATGTAGAACTTGTTGAAGGAAAAAAACCCTAAATATTGCTGAGGTGACGAAGTTGGAGTGTAGGTGAAGAAGGCAGCACAGCGCTGTGGTTAAGTGATAGACGTGTGTGTTGGACAGCCTGGTTTTCCACTCCTAGTTCTTTCTCTTACTGTAGCCTTTGAACAACTTACTTCTCTAAGCCTCAGTTTTCCCATCTGTAACATGTCAGGACAGTAATACCTACCTCACACAATTAAATCTGAAAATTAAATGCCAAATGAATGTAAACTGCTTAGTATAATACCTAACAGATAGTAGTCTTCATATTTTAAGAAATTAAATATTTCTCCTACATGTAGGTTTAGTCCTGACACTGGAGGTGATTTATTTATTTATTTATTTATTTATTTATTTATTTATTTATTTATTTTGAGACGGAGTTTCACTCTTGTCACCCAGGCTGGAGTGCAGTGGCGCAATCTCGGCTCACCGCAACCTCCACCTCCTGGGTTCAAGTGATTGTCCTGCCTCAGCCTCCAGAGCAGCTGAGATTACAGGCACCCACCACCACGCCTGGCTAATTTTTTTCTATTTTTAGTAGAGACGGGGTTTCACCATGTCAGCCAGGATGGTCTTGAACTTATGACCTCAGGTGATCCACCCACCTTGGCCTCCCAGAGTACTGGGATTACAGGCGTGAGCCACCGTGCCCGGCCACTAGAGGTGAATTATCAGTAAGGAGAAAAGCTTGGATAATTGTTCTGGTAAGAACTCAACCAATTGGTGTTTGCCTTTGGCTGTGCATAGGGAATCCTTCTCACTTGGTAGTTGTTGGGCAGCATACGGTTTTAGGGTGTTTCAGAGTCCTTAGTCTTGTTGAGATTTATCCCTCGACTAGAGGGGATCCCGGAGGTCTTTCCCAAAACTTCCCTTAGAAATGGTCCTAGGCTTACTCCAAACATGTTCATCCACCAACTTTTGGAGTCTTCCAGCCCAATGCGGAGGTGCTGGCTGCTGGTATCTTTTGAACCGCAGATTCCATTTCTTCCTCTGTAAAATGGAAACAGTGTCTTCTGTTATGAGAAGAAATTGAATCCTATTAGCCAAGGACTCCAGAAATTGATGTGCTTTAAGCAAATGGGGATAAAAAGGAGACGAATTTATTTAAAACATAAAAATAGCATATATTGATGTCTCATGACGTGTACAGGGGACTGCAGTTGAGTCTCAGGAACAGAACGGAACCAGGAATTCGAAAGCCTTCGTGACTCTCTCCACCTCTGCTCGCTTTCCTCTCCCTCTGAGACTAGCTTCATCTGGTTCTGCAGTCCACATGTGGAATAGCATGTCTGCCAGCACTTCAGAGAAAGCCTTGCGTCTTCCTGCATCCTTGGCCTCTCCCTTTGGCCTCCCAGAGTACTGGGATTACAGGCTTGTGAGCCATTCCAGCTGGGTCAGATACCGACCCCTGGACCAGCTGGGGGTAGGAGGGTTGCAGTGTTTGAACAGGGCTCCCTGAAGCCCATTCTTAACAGCCTTGCAGATGAGGCTGCAGTGAATTCCAGAGTCAGGGCCACAGGCACATCCACAGACTCAGACCACACGTTAGTAACTGGGAGTTTTTGCAGTATTTATCCTGCTCTTTTCCCCGACTTTCTGGGATCTGTGGTTTGATGTTTATATTATTTTGGACAGTCTTGCCCACCCCCAGTAGAGGGGGTACAGAGGAGCTTCCTGTTGTCCTGGTCCATCCTGGGTCTTGGGGCCAGAGCTCTCCCAGAGACCCTCCTCCTCCTCCCTGTGCCTTGTGTCTTTGGCGGGTCTTTTGCAGGAGAGGGTCTGCACCTGCCCCAGCAATAGAGGTCTCTACCAGCCTGGGACATTGTCCTACCATGTCCTTAAGGGACCTCTCCCCAGCTGCAGTGGGTTCTCAAGGTGCTTCCCTCCCCCATGGCTTCTGTCCCTTAAGGTGGAAGGTGGGGCGGGGCTTCCTTTGTGCCCTTCTACAGTGGCAGCTGCCTCCTCCCGGGCTCCTCCCCATGGGAAGTGTCCTCCCTGGGGTCGTCTTTGCACACCGGGGATGCAGGTGCCACCACGTGATGTGCACACCTCTGTGGTTCTCTGACTCACCCACACTTGGCCTGTGGCCTTTCATTAGGATCTTGCTGGAGTCGTCTCACTTGTTTTGTGGGGATCTCGTCTTCCTTCAAGTTCAGCCCACTCCTGCCTCTCCTCCCTCAGAGCTGCCCCGAAGGAGGGGTTTCACGCTGGCTGGTGGCTCAGGATGTCAGCTCTCCCGTGTGGTCAAAAGTGAAGCTCTCAGAAGTCCTGGGACTTAGAAACATAAGAAAAACATTTTTGAACTTTACCAACAGCCCAGATCTGCTAAATAAAAAACTGGAGAAAGGTGGGAGCCCTGAGTTTGTATTTCCAACAGACTTCCCAGGTGATTCTTGTTCTGAACTGTGGAGCTCAATGCAGCCAGGATGCCAGGCATACAGCACTGGTCAGGTGCCAAGCAGCTGCCCTGGAATTGTAAACGTTACCCACACCCGTCACAACGGATTAGGGAACGTAGAGAGAAGAGGGGCATCTGTGCGCTTCATGAAACACGTGGATACATCTGTGTCATTCCAGTTGAAACCTGACATTGTTTTCCGATCTTGGAGTGCCGTACACGTTCTGCTTCTCGTAGAAAAGCCGCAACAGCTCAGAGGTGACTTCCTGTCCTTTGGAAATGCCTGTTCCACTGGCTTTTCAGTTTCCTGAAATAGCTCAGTCCTCCAGAGGCGAGGCTCCCAGCATCCTGAGGCACGTGTCCATGGGGAAGGAGGGGCACGCTGATTTTAGTTGCTTTTCCAAAGGCGCCTTCTAAAGCCAGGCCTTTATCGGGCCCTGCTGGTGGCTTCTCCACGGTGCCCTCATGTGGACCTCAGACTGGGCTTTGGAGCCTCCTGTCTCACACACCCATTTTGTCCTTCCCACACACTCGTTCTCTCTCACTTGTTCTTTCACACTTGTCCGCACTCATTCTCACAGACTTGTTCTCACACGGTTTCATTCTCACATTTGTTCTCATGGACACACATTTTCACACTTGTTCTCACACATGCTTGAGCTTCCATACTCATTCTCACACTTGTTCTCTTGCAGATTCGTTTTCACACCCATTCTCACATTTGTTCTCACACTTGTTCTTTAATACTTCTTTGTTCTCACATACCCACTTCACATGTTCTCATTTGTCACACGCTCTTGTTCCTTCACACTCATTCTTTGTTCTCACACTCCCACTTTCCCGCTGCTTCTCACACTCATTTTCTTACACTCGCTATTCCACTCACACTTGTTCTCACTTGTTTCACACACACCTCTCACTGTTCTCACACTCGTTCACTCACTTGTTCTCGTTCTTACACTCACACCTCACTTTGTTCTCACACTCGTTCACTCACTTGTTCTCGTTCTTACCTCACTTTGTTCTCACACTCGTTCACTCACGTTCTTACACTCACACCTCACACTGTTCTCACACTCGTTCACTCACACTTGTTCACTTGTTTCACACATTTCTCACATTTTGTTCTCACACTCATACTTGTTCACTCATTCTCACTCGTTGTTACACTCACATCTGTTCTCACACGTTCACACTTGTTCTCACTTGTTCTTTCACACTCACACCTCACTGTTCTCACACTCACACTTGTTCACTCACTTGTTCTCGTTCTTACACTCACACCTCACACTTTGTTGTCGTTCACTCACATTTGTTCTTACATACACCACACTTCACACGTTCACTCACACTTGTTCTCGTTCTTGCACTTACACCTCACTTTGTTCACACACTTGTTCTCGTAATTACACACATCTCACACTTTGTTCTCACACTCGTTCACACTTGTTCTCGTTCTTACACTCATACCTTTCACACTTTGTTCTGTCGTTCACTCACACTTGTTCTCGTTCTTACTTGTTCTCGTTCTTACACTTACACCTCACTTTGTTCACACACACTTGTTCTCGTTATTACACTCACATCTCACACTTTGTTCTCACACTCGTTCACACTTGTTCTCGTTCTTACACTCACATCTCTCACACTTTGTTCTCACTCGTTCACTCACATTTGTTCTCGTTCTTACACTCCCACCTCTGACACTTTGTTCTCAGTCGTTCACTCACACTTGTTCTCACTTGTTCTTTCACACACCTCACTTTGTTCTCACACTCGTTCATTCACACTTGTTCTCGGTCTTATACTCAAACCTCTCACACTTTGTTCTCACAGTCGTTCACTCACTTGTTCTCGTTCTTACACTCACACCTCTCACACTTTGTTCTCACACGTTCACTCGTTCACTTGTTTCACACTCACACCTCTCACACTTTGTTCTCACAATCACTTGTTCACACTCACACTTCTCACTCGTTCTTACACTCACACCTCACACTTTGTTCTCAACACTCGTTCACTCTCACACTTGTTCTCGTTCTTACACATACCTCACACTTTGTTCTCAACACTCGTTCACTCTCACAGTTGTTCTCACACACCGCACACTGTTCTCACACTCGTTCACTCACTTGTTCACTCACACTGGTTCTCACTCATTCTTACACACACCTCACACTGTTCTCACACTTGTTCACTCATACTTGTTCTCATTTGTTCTCTCACACTCCTCACACCTCACACTGTTCTCACATTCGTTTCACACTTGTTCTCGTTCTCTCGTACTTGTTCTGACATGTTGTGTCTCACATTTGTTCTCACATTTGCTCTTATGTTCTCACACACTCCTCACATATTCTCACACTTATTTTCTTTCTCACGCTCATTCTCACATTAGTTCTCTGTCCCTCTTTCTCACATAGATTTACACAGCCTCTCACACTCTTTGTCTCACACACATTCTCACTCATACACACGTGTTTCCTTTCTCTCTTTCCACTTGCTCCCTCCGTCATTACAGCCTCTGGCTCTTGCTCCTTCACCATTCCCTGTGCTCAGGGACAGGCCTTTCAGTGCCTTGAACATGGGGACCCCTTTGCCTGGTGCCTTCTTTCTTGCATTCAAATCTCTTCCTTTCAAAAGCCAGCTGAGTCCTTTCCTTCCGCAATTCCTGCTCCTGCCTCCCTGACGATTAGTTTCTCTGAACTTCAGTAGCACTTAAATGTATCTCAGTCTTTTCAACAAGGCCCACGTGGGCATGCCCTCTGTTGCCTGACAAGCTTATACTAAAACTTCCTTGTTTTGTGTTTTTAATACTCCATCGTTGATAGTTAATATTCTTTTTGAGGTTTTGTTTTAGACAAAGTAATGTTTTTCTGAAATGATTCTAAGACAATTGGTCAGAAATAGTCTCTGCTTGTTTGGTTTATGTTTGGTCAGTTGTGCTTTGATTATAGATGGTTCCTCATCTGAGATTAAAGTGGGACAGAACTTCAAAAGTAAAAGGGTAAATGTTCGCTGTGATGCTTATGTGGCACATGTGCTAGTCCTTGATAGTGGCGAGAAAGATCTTAATTGCTCAAAGGGATTTCCAGGGAAGGAAGCCCTCAGGTGATGACTGCAGTCGCAGGCAGTGGGCTTGGAGCCTGGCGTGTGGCCTCTGTGCATTGTCTGACTTAGTCCTCACAGGATGGGATTGTTCCCGTGTTACTGGTGAGGAAAATAAAGGCCAGTTTATCATTAAAATGGAAACTTTGATAGGGATGCTTCTAGTATTGACATTTATTGTCTAAAATCTCCCAAATTGTACTTTAAAGTTTAGAAACTTTGTTCTTGAATGGTCTCTTTCGTAGGTAGTCATTCTGAGTGACAGATTTGGAAATGGATGTTTAGGGTGTCACAATAATGGGGGCTGGGGCCCCTATTGCCCTTAGTGGTAGAAACCAAGTTGGATGCTGACCACTTAAGTGTCTTGTAATTGTCAGTGTTGTGTAGCAGAGGACTGCCCCTCTCCACCCCAGGGCCAAGAACCCCTTGTTCATAAGCTCTGCATAGCCTCTGTAAGCAAATACCCGAGTCAAGGTAGCTAGGCATAGAAGCAAATATGGGCCTGGGCTGTCTGCCAGTCATTCCACGTAGAGAGACTTAGAAGCAAGTGAGAAGTCAGTGAGCAAGATGAGGCACATCAGAGACAGGAGCAGATTGGACGGTTTAGAGCAGAAGGGGCCGCAGCACCGTCTGCACAGCTGTCCTTAAAAATCAGTCGTTTCTTCCCATGTGGGTCCAGTGAAAAGATGAGGATTTCATTCTGTCCTTGGCTTATCTAGTTGTGAAAGGCAAAAGGTTACAGATAAGATTACTTCCTCTAGGTCTTAGTTTACTTAACTGTGAAACTAGAATAAATGATTTTCTCAGTTCTAGGACTAACTCTGAATTTGAAGACCCACTTTTTAGCCTAGTTTTATATGTAATTTTCAAAGTGTGTCTGTTTGGCTTCTTTTTTTCTTGAGATGGAGTCTTGCTGTGTTGCCCAGGCTAGAGTGCAGTGACTGTTCACAGAAGGAATCATAGAGTGGAGCACACTACTACAGCCTCACACTCCTGGGCTCAAGCAATCCTTGTGCCACTACACCTGGCTCTCTTGCTTTGTTTTTGAGCTTACTCCAATAACCCTTCATGCTCTTTGCTATAAATAGAAACTTCTTCCTATGTTTGATGCCTTTGATCTTTTGTTTTGATAGGCAAGAAGCCATCTTTCAGATTTCTAGATAGCCTTAAGGAAGTTTTATCTAGATAGTTTGCCTACAAGAGGAGCATTAATACTACCCATTTATGGAGGTTTTACTTGCCAAATTTGGGCAGTTTTTATCATTTAAAATCTAGCAAAACATTATGTCAGTGCCCTCCCAGGCCTTTAAAGTCTTCATGTAACAGCAGGCTAGGGGTTTTGTCAGCTGTAAAGTTACATCTTCTGTTCCTCCAAACAGAAACATACTTTTTAATCTAAACAAGTGGATACTTTTCTTGGGAGCATGTTAAAAAAAAAAAAAAGTGAAGCCAGCCAGTCACACGGTGTGATGTCGTTTTTACATAGCACCTTTATACACGATATAAAAAAGTAGGTTTTTTGCATCAACTGCAAACATGTTTTGTACTCTGTGGATCGGAATCTTGGTGAGGAAGAGCATTGCATCCCGCAAAAGGCTGATGAGTCAGTTAGCTGGAGAGACAGTGCCATCATTCTGGGTTGCAGTTCTGGTGAAGTAAGTAGGATGTTAACACTGCAGATGGAAATGGTTTTCAGATTGCCACATGGAATAATAGTATGGAACGTGAAATTTCAGGAATAGGAGGAGATTCTTTTATTATTTTCCTCCTTCCACTTTGTACATTTTTTTAATAGCCTGCAACTAGTTACATTTATCTTTTTTTTTTTTTTTACATTTTTATCCATAATACAAGTAACTTGACTAAAGCCAGTGTCTGTTTCATGTAAATATATTAACAGGTCCAAAATCACCAACTAAAATTAGCTTTATACTGACTTTTTCTAAAGTCAGTCCTTGTCTCACCCAAATATTTTAACAAGTCCAAAAATAGCACATAGCTACTTGGAACCATATTAAAATCTCATTATAACATGAATTTCAGGTATTCCATGTTGTAGACTTCTCCTTGAAAGATAATGACATTGAAAAATGCTCTTAAGAGAGTTGTTAATTCTGTTTCCCAAAACTTCCTGGATAAAACAATTCTACCTTAATGCTATTAAGACTATGGTAGGTGGTTTTTTTCTTAAAGTAACAAGACTGACGTATAAAATATGAATGCGACATTTAAGATGAAAGTGTTCATAGGCACACCTCGCTTTATTGTGCTTTGCTTTATTGCGCTTCGTAGATACTGTGTTTTTACTAGTTGAAAGTTTATGGCAGCCCTGTGAAAAATAAGCCTGTCCGTGCTGTGAAGCGAACAGCATGTGCTCACTTCATGGCTCTGTGTCATGTTTCGGCAATTCTCGCAGAATTTCACACTTTTTCATTATTATCTGTGACTGTGATCTGTGGTCAGTGATCTTTGTTGTTTCTAATGTAATCGTTTTGGGGCATTACAAACCATGCCTGTGTAAGATGGCGGATTAGTACATTCTCACACCGCTATAAAGATTCTACCTGAGACTGGGCATTTTATGAAGAAAGGGGGGTTATAAAGATACTACCTGAGACTGGGCATTTTATAAAGAAAGGAGGGTTAATTGACTCAAGGTTCTGCATGTCTGGGGAGGCCTCAGGAAACTTACAGTCATGGCAGAAGATGAAGGGGAAGTGAGGCACATCTTACATGATGGCAGGAGAGAGAGTGTCCAGGAGAAACAGCCACTTTTAGAACTATCAGAACTCATGAGAACTCCCTCACTATCATGAGAATAGTGTGGGAGAAACTGTGCCCACGCCAATCACCTCCTACCAGGTCCCTCCCTCAACACATGGAGATTACAGTTCGACATGAGATTTGGGTAGGGACACAGAGCCAAACCATATCAAATGGCCAGGTTAATTGGTAAATGTCGTATCTTCTGACTGCTCCACTGACTGACTGTTCTCCTATGTCTCCCTCTCCTGGATCTCCCTATTCCCTGAGACACAACAATATTGAAATTTTAGGCGAATTCACAACCCTGCAGTGGCCTTTATGTATTTAAGTGAAAGACAGAGTTGAACGCCTCTCACTTTCAGTCAGAAGCTAGGTGGCTCACGCCTGTAATCCCAGCACTTTCAGAGGCCAAGTGGGGCGGATCACTTGAGGTCAGGAGTTCAAGACCAGCGTGGTCAACATAGTGAAAACACCTCTCTACTTAAAAAAAAAAAAAATACAAAAATTAGCTGGGCGTAGTAGTGTATGCCTGTAGTCCCAGCTACTTGGGAGGCTGAAGCAGGAGAATCACTTGAACCTGGGAGGCGGAGGTTGTAGTGAGCTAAGATGGCGCCATTGCACTCCAGCCTGGGCGACAGAGCAAGACTCTGTCTCAAAAAAAAAAAAAAAGCGAAGCTAGAAATGATTAAGCTTAGTGAAGAAGCCATGTTGAAAGCCAGCACAGGCTGAAAGCTAAGCCTCTTGTGCCAAACAGCCAAATTGTAAATGCAAAGGAAATGTTCGAAGGAAAATAAAAGTGCTGCTCCAGTGAACACACCAGTGATAAGGAAACAGCCTTCTTGCTGATAGGGAGAAAGTTTTAGTGCCTGGAGAGATGATCAGCCCAGACATTATATTTCCTTAAGGCAGAGCCTAATCCACAGCAAAGTCCTAACTATCTTCACTTCTATGAAGACTGACAGAGGTGAGGAAGTTGCAGAAGAAAAGTTTGAAGAGGTTGGTTTATGAGGTTCACGGAAAGAAGCCATCTCCATAACATAAAAGTGCAAGGTAAAATAGCAAGTTATCCAGAAGATCTAGCTAAGATCATTGATAAAGGTGGCTCCACTAAACAACAGATTTTCAGTGTATATTAAACATCCTTCTGCTGGAAGAAGATGCCATCTGGAACTTTTCCAGCTAGAGAGGAGCGGTCAGTGCCTGACTTCAAGGCTTCAAAGGACAAGCTAACTGTCTTGTCACAGCTAATGCAGGTGGTGACTTTAAGTTGAAGTAAGCACTCATTTCCCATTCTGAAGACCCTTGGGCCCTTAAGAATCACGCTATATCTACACTGTCTGTGTTCTATACCTGGAAAAACAAAGCCTGGATGACAGCACACCTTTTTACACACTGGTTTACCAAATATTTTAAGCCCACTGTCCAGACCTGCTGCTCAGAAAAAAAAGAGTCCCTCAAAATATAACTGCTCATCAGCAGTGCACCTGGTCACCCAGGAGATCTGATGCAGGTGTACAAGGAGGTAAATGCTGTTTTCTTGCCTGCTGACACCTCATCCATTCTCCAGCCCATGGATCAAGGGGAAATTTCAACTTTCAAGTCTTATTATTTAAGGAATACTTTTTGTAAGACGATAGCTGCCACAGACAGTGATTCCTCTGATGGATCTGGGCAAAGTAAGTCGAAAACCTCCGGAAAGGATTCACCATCCTAGATGCCATTGAAAACACTAGTGATTCATGAGGAGACAAAATATGAATATTAACAGGAATTTGGAAAAAGTTGATTCCAACTCTCATGGATGACTTTGAGGGGTTTAAGACTTCAGTGGAAGAAGGAAGTGCAGGTGGAAGGGAAATAGTGAGAGAACCGTAGTTAGAAGTGGAGCCTGAAGAGGGGGCTGAATTGCTGCAGTCTCAGGATCAAAGTTTAAGGACGAGAAATTGCTTCTTATGACTAACAAAGAAAGTGGTTTCCTGAGATGGAATCTACTCCTAGTGAAGATGCTGCAAACATTGTTGAAATGACAATAAGCGATTTAGAATATCACATAAATTTAGTTGATAAAGGAGTAGCAGGGTTTGAGAGGATGACTCCGCTTTTGAAAGCTGTTCTGTGGGTAAAATGCTATCAAACAGTGTGGCATGCTACAGAGAAATCTTTTTTGAAAGGCAGAGTCAGTCAATGCAGCAAACTTCACTGTTGTCTTACCCTAACCTTCAGCAACCACCACCCCGGTCAGTCAGCAACCATCAGCACTGAGGCAAAACCCTCTACCAGCCAGATTATGACGCGCTGAAGGCTTATGTGATCGTTAGCATTTTTTAGCAATAAAATGTTTTAAAATAAAGGTATGTACATTTTTAAAAAGATATAATGCTATTGCACACTTAAGTATGCCTTGGGAAACCAAAAAATGTGTGTGACTCACATGTTGCAATATTCCCTTTACTGCACTGCTCTAGAACCCAGCCCACAATATCTCCGAGGCATGCCTGTATAGGAAAAATTCTTTATTTCTTTGTTAAATAGCATCTTTGAATTGTATTCTCTTTCCTGTTCTTTTAACTACAATGGCCTCATCTAATTGTATTTAGAAGCTTACCTGCCACTTTCCTTGACACAGCCATCCTTTCCTGAAGTTCATGTGGCCCCTGTGTCTCACAGCTCTGCGGATGGAGCAGTCACCAGTGGGTGTCCTCTGATGGTGCGCTGTGTGAGGTGCTTGCATTTTAACCTGAGTCAAATGCAAGATTCTGTGCTATATCTTTGATATGTTCTTACTTCCTGATGTAGATTTGTGATCAGAAGTAACAACCTTCAGAACTAAATGATAGAATCCTGTTGTGATGCCCTTTTAAATCTTCGTTTCCTCATGACAGGTATTTTTGTATGACCAGAATATTTTGCTGTGGCAGGGAGTACCTGTTCCTTTTTAAGTTGTGTAAGAGAAAAGAGAAAGGAAAATGAGCTCTTAAGTCAGTGTTTATAAATATATTCATATGATTTAGAATGTAGAGGTTTAGCCAGGTGGGTTCAATGGGTGGACTAGGGAAAAACATTTATTTTAAGGGGGAGGTAAAGCATAGGTTGATACTGATGTTTGCAATCCAGTTTGAAGATTAGTTGCCTATTTTTTCCTTCCTAATATTTTATATTTATATCTCATTTCTGTTACATTGAGAAATCTTAGCCTTTCAGGATCTTAAAAATTGTTTTTTGTTTGTTTGTTTGTTTTTAAGTTTTGTTCTATCTATAAGAATCTTGACTCTTCCACTTTATATTTGCTTGCAACCAAAAAGGGATTGCAACCAAAAAGCAGTTTTGTTACTCAACTATATGGGTGATTGAGATCATGCAATTTTACTTAGAATTTCTTCTACAAATATAGAACACAAGTAATTTTATTATGTGCTGTTTTGTTAGGAAAAGCGGTATTTCTAATCAATAGTTTTCATCAACCCACATCTACTTAATGGAATGTTAGCTAACTGGGAATTATTCTAAGATAAACACAGATGTTGAATGAGTGGGTAGAGCATGGTCTGCTAATTGGAAAATACAAAGTAAAACAATGATAAAGTCCATTATTTAACTGCCAGATAGGCTGGCTTTTAGTATTGTTTTTGGTGAGGTATGTGAAAAGGACATTTTCATACACTTTGGTTGGGAATGTAAATGGATACAGTATTTTTGGAGGGCAGGTAGGTACCATCTATTGACATTAAAAATGAACATAAGCCTTTGACCCCAAAATCTCACTTTTTGAATGCTAGTCTGCATATGTATATGAGAACATGTATGTAAAAAGATATTCCCTGACTCATTATTTGTAATTACAATAAAGAAAAGTTGTCAAAATTCTAAGTATCCATCCATAGGAGAGTGGGTAAATAAATTATTTCATGATTTTACTAGCAAAAACTGTGACATTATCAAAAAACAAAAAGAGGCAGGTCTCCACGTACCACCAAAGAAAAATGTCCTTGGTATATTACGAAGGATGAAGGGTGTGGGTCTGTGTTGTGTACTAACCCATTTTGTCTACAAAGAAACAAGCCTGTGTGCACCTGATTCAATAATTGGAAATTGTTTGGAACTTAATATTTTGCCCTTGTTTTAAAACAGCTTTTAGAAATTAACTGGACAGGACTGACGAATCTTCTGGATGTCCCTGGATTGAAGTAAGTCTCGTGTCTGGTCCCGGAGGCTTAGCGTTCGAGGGCGTGTTGTGCATTTTGGATGTCTTGACAATAGTGTGAGAATGGTTAAGACCTGCGTCTGCCAGGTGAATGGGTGCCTTCTCCACAGGCTGTCGTGAGAAACAAGCAGAGGGTACAGGGGCTTTGTTCTGCCTGCCGGGAGCTGCTGGGAGGCGATGGGCCAGGGCGGGAGGGCTCTGGAGTGCCAGCTGAGGACGCAGTCTTCATTTGCGTTTGTTCACCACAAGGTGTCTTCCTGGCCTTGGCATGTTCGAAAAGTAGAGGTCTTTTAATATTTTGTAAAAACAGTTTGCAAATTTTTTTTTTTAATCTTCTCAGAAACAATAAAGGAAACTTTAAAAGGAAATGCTTTCCAGGGTCTCTCCAGCCTATGGCTACCCCACCCTTTCTGCCTTTTTTTTTTTTTTAACTTTTATTCCATTCCTTTTTGAAATGGGTTGGGGACAGTGTGGACTTCTGGACTTCGCCAGAACTCTTGAGTGTGAGAGGTGAGGAACTTGAAGTTCCGTATCATTTCACTGGGAGTCCCTTCATTATTCCGTAGTGATCTAGTGTCTAAAACAGGAGAAAAATGTTCCATAACAAGCATCTGAGGCCCTGGAGGGTGCATCCCTGCTTAGAGACAAGGAGTCATTCTAGTTGCCGTGGTGCCATTACCTGAAACAGTGCGTGGGGCTGTGGGTGGCAGACCTGTTGGTCACCTCCAAATAGGAAGTTTTGAAATTACAGCCTCTAAATGCTTTTGCTGGCTTTACCGTTTTATTTGAAAGTTAAAACATATCACCTGTGGGTTAAAGTTATATGTTTCTAGTGGATATTTTCTAGTGTGATTTGTTTTCCCTAAAATAGTTTAGAAAATTATGAAACTTGGTTTCAGACTATTTTTTTATTCTCATATATTTGTTTATGCCTCTGAAATGGCCTTTCTAAAGAGTTTTGTTTCATTATTAGGGAAAAATTAGGACTTTAATTATCTGAAGCACAGTCATCATGAAAGTCCTTTTTAGGTGCTGTGGTTTACTGGATGCAGAAAAATGCTGTGATCTTTAAAAGATCTGCGGAAAGAAAGCACAACTTTAAAAGATTGGTTAAAGAGTTCATTAAGATTCTGGTTGCAAGCAACAAACCTGACTTAAGTGGTCTTAAGTAGGTAAATAAGTAAGTTTCTTTTTTTTTTTTTGAGATGGAATCTCACTCTGTTGCCCAGGCTGGAGTGCAGTGTTACAGTCTCAGCTCACTGCAAGCACCACCTCCCAGGTTCAAGCAATTCTCCCTGCCTCAGCCTCCCAAGTAGCTGGGATTACAGGTGCGCGCCACCACACCTGGCTAATTTTTGTATTTTTTTAGTAGAGATGGGGTTTCGCCATGTTGGCCAGGCTGGTCTTGAACTCCTGAGCTCAGGTGATCTGCCTGCCTCGGCCTCCCAAAGTGCTGGGATTACAGGCATGAGACACCGCACCCGGCCAGTAAATAATATTTTCAAAAAGCAGTTTATTCACTCTTCCAACAATGGGCGCCCACTGCCTGCTCTGAGCTAGCTGCAGCCGCTCGTGCATGGGACACAGCTGTGCTTGTTTCCTGCTCGGCAGCTGGAAAGCTGGCGTGTCTTCTGAGGGACTTCAGATGGAGCCGGTGTTGGGCACCATAAGGGCTCTCTCGCCAGCTCCCCACCCATGCAGGGTGGGCGTGTCCCTCGTGGGCTTGTTTTCAGGCAGTCTCTTGCTGTGCCTGCAGCTACAAGCATTTAGTCTGCGGACTTAGTCGCCTTTCCCGCTAGGTCCCCGCCCAACTTGTGTGTGCAAGGGCCACCCTTGGACAGATTCCTGCGACTCCGATGATCAGGTTTCAATCTCACATACACCCCTACAGAAGGCAAAGAAATGGAAATTCCAGTGAATGGGGGCATCCCCCAAAGCAAAAACTTTCTCTAGAAATAGGGGGAGGAGATACTGTTTAGCCAAATGGAACAAACATCCACACACATCAGTGTAGAAAAAAGTATTTGATTTTGCCTCCCTTCAGTATCATAGGAGGACTGAAATAAAACAGCATTATTGAACATCTACTCTGTAAACAACGTTGTATTAATACTGGCAACCTGAAAGGGCAGTCAGAGAATGTGTTCTGCCCCGGCAAGCCTACAGTTTGGGGAAGTTGATCCCCTGATTCATTTTATTTAAAAGTCATTCACACATACACACGTAAATACAGAGATAAATATACATGTATAGCTCCATTCTATTTAATAATTTTTATGTAGGCTCTTTTTATACAGTAGTCATTTCTAGCTATTTTATTTTTATTTTTCATTTTGTTTTCAGAGATAGATCTCACTCTGTTTCTCAGGCTGGTGTCAACCCCCTGGGCTCAAGGGATCTTCCTGCCTCAGCCTCCCAAGTAGCTGAACTATAGACTTGTACCACTGCATCCAGCTTCTCTTGTTTTATATGTAGATTTTATATATGTAATACAAAAATATAATCATAAGGCCAGGGGCGGTGGCTCACGCCTGTAATCCCAGCACTTTGGGAGGCCGAGGCAGGTGGATCATGAGGTCAGGAGATCGAGACCATCCTGGCTAACACAGTGAAACCCTGTCTCTACTGAAAATACAAAAAAATTAGCCGGGCATGGTGGCAGGCGCCTGTAGTCCCAGCTACTCGGGAGGCTGAGGCAGGAGAATGGCGTGAACCCAGGAGGCGGAGCTTGCACTGAGCAAAGATCGCGCCACTGCACTCCAGCCTGGGCGACAGAGTGAGACTCCGTCTCAGGAAAAAAAATATATATATATATAATCGTATATGTATAATTATGTCATTAAAAATATATACTTACCTAACAGATAAATACACAAACACCATTCAAAAAACAGGCTGTTGTATAAAAGGGAAATGTAAAAATATCTTTTCTAAGTTTATATATATAGGTATATATAATTTATGCACAATTATGTAGATTTTATATAATAAATTATGTTTACATAAATGTTATGTACTAAAATTTAATAGATATGTACGTAAAATTGGGGCTACTAGTTGTCAGTCTTTCTATCAGATAAATTACAGCTATGGCAACCCTTAGGTTATAAAAGTGAATATTAAATAACTATGAGGCTGAACGCGGTGGCTCATACCTGTAATCCCAGCACTTTGGGAGGCTGAGGCGGGTGGATCGCCTGAGGTCGGGAGTTTGAGACCAACCTAGCCAACATAGTGAAATCCCATCTCTACTAAAAATACAAAAATTAGTTGGGCGTGGGCACACACCTGTAATCCCAGCTACTCGGGAGGTGGAGGTTGCAGTGAGCCAGGATCATGCCATAGCACTCCAGCCTGGGCAACAGAATGAGACTCTGTCTCAAAAAAAATAAATTAATTAAAAAAATAAATAAATAAATAACCATGAACTTAACATAATGAAATCTTGTCCCAAGCTTTATAAAATGAGCATCCACATGTTATATTAATTGATTACAAAAAGAAACCCCAGACATTATAGAGTAAGAATAATGCCTGAATTCCTTCACTACACCATAACTTTGGGCTATCCCTATTAAATATCCATTGTGTTTTAATAAGCGGCTCTAAGCTGAGTGTTGAAGTCGTAAGAAGGGTGAAAATTATGATTAAATATCCGTTATGTTTTGATAAGCGTCTCTAAGCTGAGTGTTGAAGGTTTAAGAAGGGTGAAGATTATGGTGGAAACAAAATACGGGTGATGAGTAGTCGTGGTTCCGAAGGACACACAGGGAAATAGTGACTCCCAAGAAAGTAACCACTTCAATAGACGCTTCTGTGGAGACCTAGGGGAGCAGCATCCACATCCACAGTTCGGGGACATGCAGGGTGTAGTGGGGTGAGGAGGCGCAGTGAGGGGAGCCCCGCCAGGGAGCTCCGTCAGAGCTGCTGTGGCCTCCGAGGCCAGGAGTCTGTGTGTGAGAAAGGTGGGTGGGTCCTGCCTCTGCGTGGTGAACACACAGCCAGTGTCTGCTGGCTGAAGCCCTCCGAATCTCTGTGGAAGTATTAACTGTCTGAATAACTGACCTGTTCATAAGTAGAGTAGTGTTACATATGGTTTTTCTTTTGGGGATTTAAAAAATTTTTTCCCATATTAAACTGAAAAGTCCTTGAGGTGCTGGGTCATCACACGTGGATACTGTCTTGCAGTGGGTGGTTGGGCATTATTTGTTGAACGCTGACGATTATCACGGTCTCAGAATTTATTTGTAATTATGTATGTTAATAATTTTAGCATCTAAAACATTACGGGCGAGAAGCAAAGTACTTTCGCAACTTCACAATTCAGGTAAAGGTGTTATACAGCAACGAAACTTAGGTTTATAAATGTGTTTAAAAGTGCTGCCACATATGCATTATTTAATTCTCACGTTTACCCTAAAGAATAGGACATATATATATGTTTGTTTGTTTAAATAGAGATGAGGGGTCTCGCTCTGTGTTGCCCAGGCTAGTCTCTAGCTCCTGGGCTCAAACAGTCCTCCCACGTTAGCCTCCCCAAAGTGTAGGGATTACAGGCGTAAGGCACCGTGCCCGGCCAAAAAAGATATATTAAAAGTACATCTTTGACCAGGCGTGGTGGCTTACGCCTATAATCCCAGCACTTCGGGAGGCCAAGGTGGGTGGGTCACCTGAGGTCAAGAGTTCGAGACCAGCCTCGCCAACATGGTGAACCCTGTCTCTACTAAAAATACAATATTAGCCAGGCGTGGTGGTGCGCGCCTGTAATCCCAGCTACTTCGGAGGCTGAGGCAGGAGAATTGCTTAAACCCAGGAGCTGGAGGTTGCAGTGAGCTGAGATCATGCTGTTGTACTCCAGCCTGGGCAACAGGATCAAAACTCTGTCTCATTAAAAAAGCAAGTATATTTTTTCCTTTAGCCTAAGCAATTTTATTCACTTAGTTTGCTGTGCAGTGATGTATAGTATTTCAAAAATTATTAATGTGTCCAATACTCAAAGTGTTGGATAATGGATAAGAGAGAACAAAGTAAGTTCTCCTTCAGTGGGGACTGGTGTACAACAACGGAGAAATGAGATGTGTATATGAACATGAATGGGCCAATGAATGTTATTCTCTGTACTTATATGTATGTTTGAAATAGTTTATGTTAAAAAAAGTCAATGAGGTGTATTTTAGTAAATAAGTATAAAATCTGTGATGAAGTAGGAATACATTAAATGTTATTTAGGAAATTATGAAGTGTATTAGGTTGGTGCAAAAGTATTTGCAGTTTTTGCCATTTTAATTGCAAAAACCACATTACTTGTGCAATAACTAGAATTTTACCTTGTATTCTATAAATAAATTCTGTATCATAGTCACCATAGTGGTATCACAGCTAAAGAATTGAAATGCAGGTTGTAAATATTGCACTGGAGGAATGAGATAACTCCTACTCTGTAAATAAATGGGACTTACATCATATTCGTGGTAAGTCTGTTGTCAAAGGTGAGAGAAGCATTCACATGTCTGATAGTCCGTTTGCTCTTTTTGTCTCCCAACTAACAGTGGTTTATCAGATACTATCATTTTGGATATAATATCAAACTATCTGGTGCTTCCCAATCGAATCACCGTTCCACTTGTCAGTGAAGTTCAAATAGCTCAGTTGCGGTTTCCTGTACCAAAGGTAAGCGTGTCCCGGCATCCATTCACATTTAAAAACATCTTGGAGACCTGCCTGCCTGCGGGTGTGGCATTGGGTGCTGTGACTCTTTGTCTCTCCCCAGCAGCCAGCTTGCCACACGGGTCTTGATGCATTGACTATTGGTTGTCCGTCACTTTCCTTAAGAGACTTGACTGATGTGCGCTGATCCTAAAGCTTGTCGTGGAGACAGCAGGATGATTCTCACCCCATAGCTGTGTTCCTCAGAGGGGCTGATAGGGATTTAAATCTGCAGGGGTACATGGCACGGACATCTTAGTTACCTCAGAAAGCACATACTGCATTTGTTTTTATTAAAATGGACAGCCCTCAGCAACAGGCACCAGTTTTCCTGGCAGTCATGATGAGAGCTTCATGTAATAATTTGTATATTTTCTCTCAGATGTTAGAATTCCGTTGCCTCTGAAGCCATTTAATGAGTAACCTGGTAGAAGAAGCACTTATACAACAGCTGCCCTGGATAAAATGGAAAGAACAAAACTAGATTTTTGTCGCAGCTCTTGAGTTTAGCTGTAGCTTTGCTTTTATGGGTATATTACTTGGTGTGGCTGGGCCACAGTTTTGTCATCTGTAAAATGGGACAGCACCCAGCACACAGAGCTGGTTGCAGATACTGATGTCACCTTCATTTGAGCAAACTAAATAAATAACTGCAAAGTAGTCAAGAACATGAGATTCCTTCTGCTGACTATGGAAGGGGTGGGTGGAGTGAAGGATCTCTCATGGGCTAAGGAGCTTTTCAGTCACTCAGGTGTTAGATCCCATGTCTGTTTAAGTCTGTCTGGACTTTGGACTCCAGAAGCCAGTGAGCATTACCACCGTGGTGGTGTCTGTAGTAAGCAGTGCACACCACATTATTTATATTTACTGAAACAGGACGTGGTAAGTTGGTCCTGTTTCAGTGGATATGTTGTTTTTATTTTTGTTCGCTGAAGTAGAAGTAGATCGCTTTCTCCTGATGCCTTTTTACTTTTTCTGGTTTAATTAGATCTAAATAATGGTGCACAAATTAACAGACATGCAGAGGTATCCTTATATTTTTTAAGAGTAACAATATGCCAGTAAATTTGGTGCTCAAATTGGTTATATCGCTGGCATTCAACAGCTTTAATGTGATGCTGTATATTAGAAAAGAATGTCTTTTTTCCTTAACTTCTGACTCTCACCTCTGGAAATGCAGGAATCCCTTTACTTGTAGAAATCCTCTGCACCTAAGCCTCTTATGCTCTGAGTACAGGTGAGCACCTGAGCCTGGATCTGGCTGCCCTCAGCTGCATGGGCTTAACAGCCGGTGCTGTCAATAGATGTGGCCAGATTATCTCAACTTTAGACATGTGAAAATATAAACAAGAGCTGCTTCGAGTTTTCCAAGTGTGTTCCTCTGTGGGGGGACATGTATTCCTGTGCTGATTGAATGAGGAATATCACTCTGTAAATTTTTTTTTTTTTGAGATGGAGTCTCGCTCTGTCGCCCAGGCTGGAGTGCAGTAGCACAATCTCGGCTCACTGCAAGCTCCGCCTCCCGAATTCACACCATTCTTCCACCTCAGCCGCCACCACACCTGGCTAATTTTTGTTTTTTAGTAGAGATGGGGTTTCACTGTGTTAGCCAGGATGGTCTCGATCTCCTGACCTCATGATCCGCCCACCTCGGCCTCCCAAAGTGCTGGTATTAGAGGCGTGAGTCACCGCACCTGGCCATCACTCTGTAATTTTAAAAAAGGATGTGTGGGGGCAGAATGCTTCCTACCAAAAGGTGACTTGAGCATCTTTGTTTGCCTTGGAAGAAATAAGAGTGAATTTTTTTTTTATTTTATCAATAAAACAATATTTTCGGGAAAGGACTATATTTGGTTTTTTTGTTCGTTTATTTATTTATTTTGAGACAGGGTCTTGCTCTGTCGCTCAGGCTGGAATGCAGTGGCGCCATCTCAGCTCACTGCAAGCTCTGCCTCCTGGGTTCAAGGGATTCTCACACCCCAGCCTTCTGAGTAACTGGGACTACGGACATGCGCCACCATGCCTGGCTAAATTTTTTGTAATTTTAGTAGAGATGGGGTTTTGCCATGTTGGCCAGGCTGGTCTTGAACTCCTGGCCTCAATTGATCTACCCACCTCGGTCTTCCAAAGTGCTGTGATCACAGGCATGAGCCACCGCGCCTGGCCAAGACTATGTTTAAAGTCTATGAATAATACATATTTCAAAGTTGCAGTTTTCTCCTCTCTAAAATAAGTTTAATGACAGGATTGCATAGAATTATTCTGAAAATGAAACAGCATAGTTACTACATGTCTAATGCTTCGTGACAGGTCTGATACAACCTCTCATGTTATTACTCACTGTAGCACCAGGATCTAGTACAGCTGGGTGGCCTGTGTCACCAGCCTCCTTGAGATAAGCATGGTACTGTGCTGGGTCCTCTGCATTCGGCGTCCCTCTGCCAGGAGCGCGCTCTGGGGCTGCGTGGGGCTGTCTGTCCTCGTGTCTCTGTGGAGGGGTTGTCCCTCCAGAAGCCCATCTGTTCTCCTCTGAGCCAGCCTCACCTGGGCACTGCTGCCTTGCCCTGCTCTTGTTTGTCTCAGCACCTGCTTCTCCTATACACACTTGCATTTCCCCGCTGCTGGGATGTACTCGGCACCAGAAGAGGGTCTTTATTCCCTCGGCACTCCCAATTCTCGAGACGGGGTTAGGTGCGTAGCTATCTTCCATGCCAGTTAAACAAGCCAGCCAAGGGTCTAAACTTCAGTTTGTTCTTCTTTTCAGGGTGTTCTAAGGATACATTTTATTGAAGCTCAGGATCTTCAGGGGAAAGACACTTACCTTAAGGGACTTGTCAAGGGAAAGTCAGACCCCTATGGAATCATTAGAGTTGGCAACCAAATCTTCCAAAGCAGAGTCATCAAGGAGAACCTCAGTCCAAAGTGGAATGAAGTCTATGAGGTGGGGTGTCGTGTCTGCTGTGTTGCTGGGGTGGTGGGCTGAGCCCTGAGCGGGATGGCCAAGCTCTCATTCCAGCACAGTCACGTGGGAGTGTGGCTCATTTAGGCCATCATTTAAATGTTCCTTGTTTAATTTCCCATCTTTAAAAAGTGTCGTACCTTCTCTCCTTACTACACAACATTCTTGTCATGCCAACAAGTAATGTTTTAAACCTTAATTACATAATGCTATCATACTGAATGATCAGCAAAATATTTTTCATAATGTGAGTAGCTTGTATTTCTAAGTATAAAATGTTACGTGTGGTTATTAATGCAGTAAACACAAAAATGAGGTTAGTTATATACCTCCTTGCAAGCTTTTTTTTAAATTAGGACATCTTCACATGTCAATGAATAGAGATCTACGTGATTTTTAATAACCATTCCATCGAATAGACGCCTTCATCTGTTTACCCAGAGAGGCCTAGGCTATTCAGGTCAGCATTACAAACAATGCTGTACAAGTAGAATGTGAGTGTCTCTTCACTCAGCCAAGTTTTCCCCAGATAAAGCTCTTTAAAGTGAAATTGCTGGATCAAAAGTTACACATTTTTAAAGGACTGAAATATCTTTGTAGAATTACCCTTCAGGACAGTCGTGTGATTTATACTCCACCAGTTTTTAAAGGACTGACGTATGTGTAGAATTACCCTTCAGAACAGTCGTACGGTTTATACTTCACCGTACGACTCCTCTCCCCCACTCCTTTGTGAGTCTGGTCTCTTGCCAGTTTCTTACCCTGAGTGGTGCTAAGCAGATAACTCGTGGTTATTCCAAGATAGCATCTGAGTGGAGCCACTTCAGGACTAGAGGGATGTGTCCTGGATCTTTGGTCTGTCTCATGCCTTGCACCAAGCTTGTGGGTGACGTATCATGACCTTGTTGGAGTGATTGAACTTGATCTATTGAGACGCAATCCAGGATCCCTAGAAACAAGCACGGTAGACTGTTACTGTGTGGCAGGTGTTTCAGTGACCTCCCGTCCTCAAGAGGTGTGTGTGACTTGACAATAAAAAAATAAGTGTCCTAAAAGAATTTACTGGCTGGGTGCGGTGGCTCACACTGGTAATCCCAACGCTTTGGGAGGCCGAGGTGGGTGGATCATTTAAGGTCAGGAGTTTGAGACCAGCCTGGCCAACATGGTGAAACCCCATCTCTACTAAAAATACAGAAATTAGCCGGGCATGGTGGCACATGCCTGTAATCCCAGCTACTTGGGAGGCTGAGGCAGGAGAATCGCTTGAACCCAGGAGGCGGAGGTTGCAGTGAGCCAAGATTGTGCCACTGCACTCCAACCTGGGAGATAGAGCGAGACTCCATCTCCAGAAATAAATAAATAAATAAATAAATAAATAAGGATTTACCACCAGAGAAAAGTACCTGGTCATATTTACTACAATCATCATATCATACTCAGTGTATGACTATATTAGTAAAAATGCACTTAACTACTAACCATTGATGTTTTAGGCTTTAGTGTATGAACATCCTGGACAAGAATTAGAGATTGAGCTCTTTGATGAAGACCCAGACAAGGATGACTTTTTAGGAAGGTAAATAAAGCCCATTGTGGTTATTGGAGGAGGGCATGGGGTCAGTCTTTTTGTTTAATAATCAAAAGTATGTTTTAAAATACATTTGTATACTTGTTGTCTATTCATTAAATGGTTCTTAGATATAACAATTGTTTCACCTTGGATTTCTTAAAACATTTTTATTCCTAAAAGTTTCACATTTAAGAGAAGTGAGTCTTCTAGATCTGTGCTGTCTATTACAGCAGGCACTAGCCTTAAGTTAATTAAAGTTAAATAAATTAAAAACTATCTGAGTGGCACTCTCTTTGTTTACAAGGCTTAAAGCTACATGCAGAACCTGCCGCCGTATTGAGTTCTAGTGGACAGTTCTATTCCAGATTGCAAAAATGGGTTTTTTAAGTTTTTTGAGTTGCTGGATTAATTTTTGTCAGGATATAGTAATTCACATTGGGAAAATAAATACTGGTTTGTTCACTTCAATTGAACAACTAGTATAGCTTTAAAAATAAACTTTTAAAATGGTTATTGTTTGACCACCATTTGTTAATATCAATTATTTCTGATTAATTTAACCTAATTAAGTTATTTGACTGAATTAAATTGTGGCAAAAAAGATGTAGGGATAGAATACATTGGAGAGGTTCATACCTCATCAAGAATGGCCCTTGCACGTTGTGGCCTGACTTGAGAGTTCATGAGACTTCCCAGGACAACTAGGAACAATTGAGAGATTTTAAGCCAGACAGGATAGATCAGGTGCTCATTCTAGGAAAATCACTGTGTGGATTGGATTGTCGGGGGCTGAGCTTAGAGACTGGCAGACCAAATAGGAGAGTGTGTCATAGACCAGGACAGAGAGAAGGCGGTGTAGACATAGATTGTGGGGGGCAGAAGAGGCTACAAGAAGAAGTGGGAGTATAATCATCCCATCTAGTTGTATCTGGCGTCTGGGGGTGGTGCCAATCTTGGAAGTACGGGAGGTTTAGGGGAACGGGAATGGGCCTCCTCTCAGATGCACCGAGTGAGGGCGTCCATCGGGCTCAATGCAGCATGGGTCTAGAGCCTGGGAGCAAGGGTGGGGGAACGTGAGGTTAGCGTTCACTGTGCGAGTGAGGAATCCACAGTAACGCACAACCCTACTGGAGTTGTGAGTGAACGTATAAAATAAGACGTTCCAAGAGGACGTGTAAAATAAGAGGGTTGAGATGCTTTCAAACATTTTTTGATGCATGTAACATTGTAGGGAAGATGAGTTGTTTTTGTTTTTGTTTTACAGCTCTAACCTCAGCTGGGCCAAACTCAGTATTCTGAGCTCACAGAAACTCCACCTCACTCTTCCTTACTCTCCTGACACTGGGGGTGAGCTGGAGGAAGCTTGTGGAAAAATAGTCTGTTCCTTGATAAATTATTAGCGTTTTGTTGCATTTCTGGAGTGCTTGTTCATAGACAAATGCTTAAGGTTGTTTCAGGAAGAAATGTGTTTTCTATGTTTTAAAGTTGTTTCAGTAAGAAATGTGTTTCTATGTTCTAAAGTTGTCGTATTGTTATTTTTATAGTCTTATGATTGACCTCATTGAAGTTGAAAAGGAGCGCCTTTTAGATGAAGTAAGTTTCCCTGGAGTGTGGGTCTGTTTACAATTGTTGACTGAGTCCCTGCCCTGTGCCAGAGGAGCCACGAACCACCCCTTCACCATCACACAGTGCCGGAATCCTAATTAGTATGGCATGAACAACATTTACTTAACATATACTAAGAATTTAGGCCTTTTAGAAATAGCAAATGAAAAATAAATTTAAGAGTCCATTCAGGTGCGTGTTGAGTCCCTACCATATGCTGGGAATCCTTACGGATATGAAGCATAAACTGACGTTATTGCAGACAAATATGCGATCCCCTGCAGGAGTAAGGGCAGGGCTGTGCGAGATGCCCCCTAGTGATGGAGATTTTCAGGTGTTTGGAGGGAATGGTGGAGAAGGCACAGTGCGGCCAGTGAGGCATCTCACGTGAGAGATGCCTGTAGAGACAGTGGGAACTCATGGCAAGGAGACTCGACTTCCACCATTTTATTGCTATCAGAATAAAAAGTATCAAAAAGGAAACATTTGTGGTGGCTTCTAAAAGAAGGGTAAGATTTAGATAAATGAAGCAAAATTAAACAAAAGTGTTGAATTCTGCTGCTTTCGTAATCACACGTTTCCTTCCCTTGAGTGTTCAGCATTCATTGGCTGTGACATCTCGTTTTCCTGGGTGTGCCAGGCACTGGATGGACAGTCCTGCCCATGGCTTCTATCATTTAGCATTTGAGGAGCATCTTTGATTAATTATTTTGTGACTTTTAAGCTGATACAACTGTATACTATTTTATTAGTATAGAGTGATGAATTAGAACAAACAGATTAAATCGTTTGATACTGAAATTCAGTATTTGGAATCAATGTTGTATTACCTCTTACCCTGTACATTCCGTTAAAGGCCATTTGGTGGAGCATGCTTGCCTACACCTGTGGTCCCAGCTGCTGGGGAGGCTGAGGCAGGAGGATCGCTTGAGCCCAGCCTGGGCAACACAGCAAGACCCCTATCTCAAAAAAAAGAAGTCTATTCATAGAAGACTTTACTGTCTCTAGGTAGTGCTAGAAAACATTTGAATTCTTATGTGTAAAGTGGGAATGATACTAGTACTTGCTTAGGGTTTCTGTCGGGGTCACGGGGTTGGTGTGTGTAAAGCACTTAGAATGGTCGCTCACACCTGTTGCTGCCATCGCCTCCAAACGTGAGGTCACTGGCATCCACATAGCGTAGAGCTGGATATGGTGAGGCTCAGCCTTCGCGTTACTGAGAACTGTTGATGCCTCGTGGTTAGTGAGCAGCATGGAACATTTGTAGAGACTGGGTTTAATTTGGATTTTTGATTCAGAAGAACTTTTGCTGAACGTAAACATTTTTTCTCTTCAGTGGTTCACTCTGGACGAGGTTCCCAAGGGGAAGCTACACTTGAGACTGGAGTGGCTCACGTTAATGCCAAATGCGTCAAACCTCGACAAGGTGCTGTTGAAGCATGTGCTCTTGAAAACTACCTAACCAACTACTCCTCATAACTGAGCTTGGTCTCTCAGTTGTGTTGCTACTTGATTTTTTAACAATTATAGCAGTAATTTTCATTATTGTGTAATAAGTCACTACAGTAGCATCAGGGATAAATTAAAGATAATGGAGTTTTTAAAATGAAATTTATAGGTCCTTCATACCTGTTTTATCAGATCTTCAGTTTTGAGCTTGTTAAAGTGCAGGGATTTGTAGAGCCAGAAATCACCTGAGTGCTTCATTTAATTGACTTATATATGGAATAGTAGTCTTGTTATTTAAAAGGCATTTATTGTTTTAGTTCTGTCTCTGTTGCATGGATTGGATGGTTTCTCACCTTTCTTATTTTTAGCGTAATCAACATGATACAATCAGATAGAAATAGTATCTAATCCTGTGGAAACATGGCTGCTAAGGGCTTTTTCCTTTCCTTTTAGGTGCTAACAGACATCAAAGCTGACAAAGACCAAGCCAACGATGGTCTTTCCTCTGCATTGCTGATCTTGTACTTGGATTCAGCAAGGAACCTTCCGGTAGGTAACACAGTGGTAACACCTGTGGGTGCGTATTTCCTAGCAGCTGCTCTTGCTTATAACCACTGCTTTGTGCAGCACTCTGCATCACCTGTTCTCTTCTTGTTGTGTTTTCACTTCACGTCCAAGTGCAGGAGAGTGGCAGTGGAGAGGGAGAAGTTAGTGTTTGCTCTGGGAGTGCATACATTTCTGTTTACACATTTAGCTGGATTTGTGCAGTACATAGGAAAAGAAGATGAATAGTGGTTAGGAGAAGAGGTTAACTCTCTAGAAAATCACTAAGCATTAAAACTTAGTTGCCTTAGGATGGAAATTGTCTCTCTTTGGAATGGGAATAAAATGAAGCAGCTCTGATTACAAAATGCAGATTCCTCATGGCTGTCGCAGGGCCGTGCGTGAGCTGCTGGGCCTTGGCGATCCGTGGGGCATCAGATGGCAGAATGGTGCTGCTGCACAAGCGAGCTGGCCTCCGGGTGCCTGGGATGTTTCTCGCAGAACAAAAGGAAGCCATGTCTCGGAATGACCTACTGCCAGATACAAGACACTCTGTGCCTAGAAGCATATATTTTTGTTTGTATCAGAATTGTTCATTCGTAGAGAAAAAATGTAAAATGTTGTTTTATAGGTAATAACCGTAACCACAGAAAAGGAAGATCTTACTAATTCCATCTTGTGAGGCATAGTGTGCTCTCCCGTCATCCTACCTTAAACCCTGCTAGTGAGGATAGTGGTGTGGTCCTTAGTCATGTCATCTTGTTTGATGATTTTAGAGTGCCCATACACTTGCTGACTAGGCACTCAGTGTTTATTTCATCGTGTCCACAGCCGCTTTTGTTGGAAGAAAGACTGCTGCCACGCGGTGCAGAAGTTTCTTTCCTCCCCAAGTTGTTCATTGCATAATTCCTCCTCCACAGTAAATACTCATCCACCCAAGTGCATTTGTACATAAATCGTCTTCCTGTGTCTTTTCTCCCTTTGTCAGTGTTTACCAGGGAGATAGACAAGAAGGCAAAGAAGCGTTTAACTCACTTCTTGACACACATCCTGGACCTCAGTTATCGGCCTCTCGATCCCCTGTAGTCTTGCCTTGCCGTGGTCAGACTACGCTTCATAGTTCACGATATGCACGCCCTTGGCTTCCTCCAGCACCTTCCACGTTCTGAGAACTGTGCATTTCCTTGAGCTTTGCACAGAAATGAAGTAAATACTTGTGCACCCGTGCATTTTATTTAAAGTTACCTACAATTAAGATATGATTGATCACTTATATTTCATACTGGGAGGATGTGATTGTACTCTTTGTTGTATGTAATTGTATATAATTGCACTGTTTATTTCAATGAAGCTTTCTTGACCGATTTTAACTTCTTAGAAGAATTCTTACATTTCTCTTATTTACCTTAGCCTTTGATCAGTCTTCCAGTCTAAAGTCTGTGACTTTACCTGTTACAATTTCAATTTGGAAAAAGTTATTTCATTAAGTATTTAATCTTTCCACAGAATTTCTATACAGTAGAATTGTTTGCTTTTAGCCATGGTAATGTTTGTTGTAAAGGCTTCCATAATGCCTGATGGAAGTGAATTTGTTTTCTATTTTAGGGTAGAGAGAATAGTATCAGTGAATTGACTACAAAAGGTTAGGCCTCTTTAGAACTGTGTGTGTTGTCACATTAAATTGAAATTTGAATAATGTCACATAAGCAAAAAAAACAAAAAACAAAAAAAAAAAAACCCAGAGAGACTGTATTGATCTTCTGTTAAAAGGGCACTTTGTGCATGGAATGTGCTGTGGCCATCAGAAGCAAAGGATCTTTGCAGAGCCGCGGGGTGCCTGGCGCGGGATTAAGGGGCGTCCCGCGGGCTCTAGGATCCTTTGGCTCTGGATTAAGGGGCGTCCCGCGAGCTCTGGGATCCTTTGGCGCTGGATTAAGGGGCGTCCCGCGAGCTCTGGGATCCTTTGGCTCTGCCTCTCACTGTCTGTGGTGCTCCTGGTGCTCTCATTGACCACAATCCACCGTTCTCTGCTTTCTCCCCTGGCTCCACTGCCCTAAGGGCATCTACGAGGGAAACTTTGGGTGTGGCTACTTAAAAGAGAGGCGAGCGTCGGGACTAGTGTTTTGTGAAAATACCGCCTCAGTCTATAGAGCACTATTTGTGAGTCCTCCGGGGTTCTTTCTTTCTTTGTCTGTTTGGAAACTGCCAGAATGTGGACTGGAACTTCTAATGCAGTTGGCTGGCGGTGGACTGATGTTGCATGCTTTTATTTTCTTGCATGATTTTAACTATTGTGTATTTATTTTGTGCTTGTTTTGTGAAATGTAACACTGTTGTAACATTGGAGAGCATCTGACCATGAGATGAACAACCCTGGCTAGTAGAGAAGTGGTCCTCCATTCCTCAACTGCTACTGGCTCGTTGAAAAAAACCTCTCCTGAGGAGAAATGAAGCCATAATGATTAAAATTCATTTTCTTGTGGTTCATCTCAATGTGAGATGTAAATTTTTTTGTAAAGTTTCACAAAACTGTTTTAAAATCTATCCCCTCCTTTTTTTTTTTTTTTTTTTTTTTTTAATTTGAGATGGAGTTTTGCTCTTCTTGCCCAGGCTGGAGTGCAATGGCATGGTCTCGGCTCACTGCAACCTCCACCTCCCATGTTCAAGTGATTCTCCTGCCTCAGCCTCCCGAGTAGCTGGGATTACAGGCACCCACCACGACGCCTGGCTAATTTTTGTATTTTTAGTAGAGACAGGGTTTCACCATGCTGACCAGGCTGGTCTCCAACTCCTGATCTCAGGCAGTCCACCCCCCTCGGCCTCCCAAAGTGCTGGGATTACAGGTGTGAGCCACCATGCCCGGCCTATTATCCCTTCCTGATCAAACACGCAAGAGTCAGAACTAGGGCCTTCTTTGAAAACCCTGCTGTGTAATCAACTCTCAGTCATTTGGGGGATGGTCACGTGAAGATAGAAATTCACCCATTTTTTAAATAAAAATTTGCCTTCACTTACATGATTTACCCAGAGCTCCTAAGGGAGAAGAAAAGTATATTAAGTTTGTGATTCACTTTCTTTTAAGACACTTAAAGACCTTCCTGGAGTGGATAATTGAGCGTGTCTTTGTTCCCATCTCATCATATGTTGCCCGTCTGGCACTGGATACCTGTGCTGTTCTCTGTGCTTGCAGTAGAGAGCCGTTTTCACCTGCTTCAGGGCCACAGGGGGCCACAGCGTCTTAGTCATTAGCCCAGAAAGTCAGACTTCATCCAACTGACAGTGAGATTCTTACGGCCCAGTTGTCCCTTAGTAGAGCAGTGATAGCGCTTTGCATTTTTGTAGAGTTTTCATTTCTATTTCCAAAGGATTTCCCTATGCATTCTCAGTTTATTCTTATTTTTTAAAGTAGGGGGAGCGTAGGGGGCAAAACTTGAAGAGCAGGTATTTTGTTTATTTATTTACTTAATTATTTTAAATTATATTTTTAAGTTATAGGGTACATGTGCACAACGTGCAGGTTTGTTACATAGGTATACATGTGCCATGTTGTTTGCTGCACACACCAACTCGTCATTTACCTTAGGTGTTTCTCCTAATGCTATCGCTCCCCTCTCCCCCTACCCCCTGACGGCCCCTAGTATGTGATGTTCCCCGCCCTGTGTCCAAGTGATCTCATTGGAAGAACAGGCATTTTGCCCTGTCTTACAGATGAGGAAAATCAAGACCCTGAGGGGTTAGGTGAGCTGTTCAGAGTCACAGCGATAGTAAGTGGTAACCATAGTCTCTCTGGCTGTCTACTCATATATGTCTAAGGCCTTTTTAAAGTCAAAGTGAGGTCAGCAGTACCTGTTTTACTGCTTAAAAGTAACAGCAGCATATCCTGTTACTTTTAAGAAAATAATTTTTTGCTTGCAGAAAATTTCATCATAGACTAGTGTAAATCTGACTAGATAGCTCCCCTGTGTAAACTGTTAGTTTATCTCCAATAGCTTTTCCAAGTTGCTTTTTCCCATTCTACAACTGCTTCCTTTTGCAGAAAGGAAGTGTCTCTGACCTTGTATCAGGAGCGTTACCAAAATCAGCTTTCCTGCAGCATTATCCAAGTTGCACACTGTACTTCCTTATTAGAACATATGCATCACCTAAGATGTTCCGTAAAACAAATGTGAACTTTTCCCCCACCCATTGGTTTTCAACGTGAAGCCAGATCAGTGCTTCTCAGTTTTCCCCAGAGGGCTGAGAGCCTTGCTGTCACTGGTGAAGGCTTTGACGGCTGCCAACCCAGTGCTCTCTTACTTCCTACCCACTCAAAAGCACCTTGAATTCCAGCTCCAGGAGTGCATTGCCACCAGCGATCCCCATCTGCAAACTTAGGACAATAGGAATTTTTCGTAGGCTGGAAACGACCTCTTCATAATGTGGATTCTTAGAACTTTGCCCTCCTTCTTTTGATGAAATTCTGGGCTTTAATTTCAGGCTTGAACAAGAAGGACTTCCTCTGACTCATGGTGGCCAGCTTTGACATCTTAAGCCTGATATGACAGCATACTTACTGAGCACTTTCCAGGAGCCAGGCAGGGGTCTCAGGTTGCTACTTGTTTAATCTCCAGACCCTCATTATCACTTTACAGATAAGGAAATTAAGACAACACCAAGAACCCAGATGACACAGACTAGAGATTCCCAGGCACGGCTTCAGTGCGTGGGAGAGCTGGAATTGGAACTCAGCGTGGGCCCAGAGTCGGGGTGCTTGGCGCCTCTTGTCCCCTCGACCCTAGTGCAAAGTGAATTTATTGTCACTTTATTAAGTTTATAGATTCATCAGTCTGTATGTGGAATTCATCTGAGATGAGTGGTATTTGCACTAATGCCTTAAACATAACAGTACTAGCTGGATAATAGCCACCACTGTGGAGGCCCTTAGGCCTAATGATGCTAGGAGCTTTGTGCAAGTTATTTTGGCTGTCATTTAAAAAAAAAAGGCCGGGCACAGTGGCTCATGCCTGTAATCCCAGCACTTTGGGAGGCTGAGGTGGGTGGATCACAAGGTCAAGAGATCAAGACCATCCTGGCCAACATGGTGAAACGCCATCTCTAGTAAAAAAAAAATACAAAAAATTAGCCGGGTGTGGTGGTGCATGCCTGTAGTCCCAGCTTTTTGGGAAGCTGAGGGAGGAGAATCGCTTGAACCCAGGAGGTGGAGGTTGCAGTGAGCCAAGATGGTGCCACTGCACTGCAGCCTGGTGACAGAGCAAGACTCCGTCTCAAAAATATAAATAATAAATAAATAAAAACAAAACAAAAAACACAGGTGGCTCCCACTGCTTCCTGATGGTGAGTAGCCCGAGGCTGCAAGATGAGTAACTCCAGAGGCCTCCCGACGGGGCACCTGCCTGAAGCACTTGCCTGGTCTAGTCTGTCTCATCCCCAGAGCCACACAGCTGTCCACTACCTTACACAGCTTCTCCTGCATCCCCTACCCACACACCGCAGCCTCTCTCCTTGTTTTACTTTACTTGATGCATGTTAGAATAATAAGTGTCTTTGGTACAGCCCATATCTATCCAAAAGTGAGCTTCAGGAAGGGTTTGTAGGATATCCGAAGAATGTCAGTCCTTCCGGGCAGCAGAGTTCTCATCCTCATTGTATATGAGCCCCTGGGAAGTGTGTGAAGGATGCCCTTGTCCAGGCTCCACCTAGAGACGGACGCAGTGGATCTAGGGACTTTTGAGAGCTCCACCGGCAGCTTTAGGGTCATGTGAATTCCTGCCTGGCCGCATGTTCCATCTTCTCTCCTGGCCCAGCCTGCCAGTCATGGAAGATTGAGAGGCTAGTTACTCATCTTTCTTCATTATAAAATCTTTTGCTTAGCAAAAAAAAAAAAAAAAAAAATTAAACATTTAGTTCAGCTTGTCACAAGTTTGAAGTTAATTACAACTAAAATGATAAATTCTTTAATCTTGAATACTAGTCCTAGAAGGAGCTTGCAAAACAACTCAGTCTTGCCTTTTTGAGGGCAAGAAACTAATGAATTGGAAAAAAATCAATAAAAGTAAACATAAAACCCATAATCATAGGACTATATTTAGAGCCCAAGAAGCTTCTGTGGGGATCCAGCCAGCCTGACTCCTACCCCGGAAAAGGACGAGGAGCAGAGAGGAGCAGCTCCTCTGCTGGGTGCTGGGTGGGAAGGTGCGTCTCAGCGGCGGTTCCAGGACCTGACCTGGCCTGAGAGGGACTTGGGCGGCTGTGGCCCATTCATTGTGCTTCAAATAAAACCTTTAATTATGATTGGTATTTTAGGGGTTTATTCAGCATAGAATAGTAAATAGAACCCTTTCCTAAAGCCCCACTCTTGTATTTGTGAAATCACAAGGGATCAAGAGGGTGGGGGTAGTAAAAGAATATTAATCATAGGGGATAAGGAGCTGTCTTTTGATATGCATAGATTAAAGGTTCATTCTAAGATGAAGTCTTGGGCATAAAGAATTTTATACGTGGCATTTTGGTTGTTTGTGTAATTCTGGTGGTTTTGTTTAAAGATTTTTGTTTGTTTATTCCCATAAATTTTCATGTCTTTAACCTTACATAAACTTCATTGCATGTTTTATTAACCCTTGGCATATTCGTTTTCTTCTGACTTGAAAGAGTAACCCATTAGAATTTAACCCCGATGTCTTGAAGAAGACTGCAGTTCAGAGAGCTTTAAAGGTAAACTGTTTTCCCTTCAGGTCACAGAGTTAATGAAAACATATTGAAAGAGATGATACTTTGTCTCATAAGTTTATTGGCAAATTACCTCCCATATTTATGTAGTAATTAATTGTCTAGTGGAAGAGACCCTACTTTTGTTATCCAATAATTAGTAGTTAGAACAATTAAAGTCAACTTTGAAGGTAAATTTTATAAAGTACTAGTATGATAAATTAGATTATTTTCCTGTTGGCTTTAGGCAACTCTCTCTAAGGTGATTTAAGTATCTATTTTAATTGGATTTGAATTTGTGAAAATTGTGATATAGACGTTCTACTTAAAATCTTAACTGATGTTTAAATCATGACTTAAAGGGTATGCCTTGTGAACTGTGAATATACATTTAAATATCACCTCTTCCAATATGTTGAGTTAGGGTCATCTCTGAGTCAACACCTTCATGGCTTCTGGTGCTGCTGGGTTTGGGTGATCTCTTGAGAAGCTTTCAATTTCATTAAATGAGGTCTATTGAAAACTAAGCTCCACTCCCTAAAATATGACATCCACGTGTGTGCTCTGGCAAATTGTTAAAAAGTTTTCTTATGATTTAATGTTTTATTATTTTTTCTTTAATTTCTTTGAATATTTTAGGCTTAAATTTTAGGGAGAGGTGGGGAATTTTAAATGAAATTATTTAAAGAAAATTCTATCTATTCTAAAGAAACAGGAACTGTTTTTAACCAGTCTCATCTGGAAAAAATGAGTTAGATTTCAAAAGTGCAGGAGACTGGCAGAGTCTGCTTTATATTGTGGTATTTGCGAACCCCCACTTCGTCCTGCACCAAGGAGATAAGTTGTGGGTTACTAGGGGTTACTCCTGTGGAGTACTAGTTAGCACAGTAGTTGAAATAACTGTGCCCTCCAGAACATTGAAAGGAATTACATCAACACTCTTCTTTGCTATCTGAGAACATAACGTTAAGGCTGAAGGCCCTGAAATCAGACTGTGTTTAAATTGCAACCCAACTGCTCAGCAAGCAGTGTGACCTCCAACAAGACACTTCGTCCACTCTGTTGTGTTATTTGTAGAATGGAAGGAGTAGTATCCTCTTCATGAAATTATCGAATACATTAAATAAAAGAATACGTATGAAAGTGCCCAGTGTAGCTAGGATAATATATATTATAATTGTTATATTATTAAATTAGCTCACCTAGTTTCCAAAAATGCCCATTTTGTAAACATGCAAACTGAGGTTCAGATAGATGCAATATTTAGGTCTCAATAATCAAGGGATAAACAGAGCTGAGGTTTAAGTTCAAGACAATCTGACTTAACGCTTATATTTTTATTATACTTTGTCCCTTTGACTTGTGCTGATGGATTTTGAATATTGCATCATAGAGGAAAACTTAATGATTTAACCTTATTTCATAGGATTGAAAACATCATCCATTTTAAGATACATCATTATTTTATGAACCAATAAGATTTTAAATGCCGCTAAGTTTTGACAGTGTTTATTTTATACTTAGAGAATTTTAGGATAAACAGTTTTATCATGTCACTGACAGGTATACCTAAACAGAAAATGGAAGCGAAATAAATTGGTTAGGGCAGTGACAACTCTCACTACTGCCAACCTCCCCCAAAAAGGTATATATTATCGATTTAAGATTCATTCTGTTTTCAGAGATGTTAGAAAATTGGGGAAAAAAAAGTATATGTTTTAAAATTGACAAGGTGCAGTCAATTTCTAGGAACAGGTGACCACTTTTTCAGAGATGAAGTGTTTATATTAATTAAGGAGCACTTGGTTTCTGTATCTAATAATAGAACTGACTTAGAAGTAGCAGTAGGTGATGTCCCTCTAAAGTCCGGGGGTTCTGGCCTGGGGATCTGCCACGAGCTACCTGTGGCTCCAGCCCGAGGGGACACAGCCTCCTGTGGGGCCAGAACTTAGTTACTTGGCCATGCCTGACTGCAAGGGAGGTTAGCCAACAAAATCTGTATTTACAGAGGACTTGTGCTCAGCTAAAACTTGGGAATCTAATATTAAAGGAAAAAGGAGAAAATTAACTTAGGGGGGAAATTAGTATTCTCTTCCACAGTAATCTGTAGCCTTGGAAACTTTTTTCAACAGTACTTATTTTGCAGAATTCATTCACATCAGAAAGATGAACCAGAAAATAGATTATTGCAGTAGGTTTGAACTAATAATATTTCTTCCAATAATGATAGGATTTTGACACCTATTTCTGACACTGCTGTATTGTTGAGTCTTGACTCTAAAATTATTTAACTCAAAAACATTTTTGTGACCTTCTAATTAATTTCCACTAACACAGATATTTAACTGCATCTTCTTGTGGGGCTAAGTTATAAATAAACCTCATGTCACACGTATCTGCTGCTTTACTATTTTCTCCTATCAACTATCTGTGCTAGTGTGTACTTCTTACCGTTTTTCCTAGTCCTGAATTTTTTCTTCATATTTATATCTGCTTAATTTAATATGATTCTAAACTGATGATTATTCTTCCAGTCAAAATTATTTAGCAGCTGGTAAGCAAGATTTGATATGTGAAAGCTTAAAAATGCTCA
The DNA here is from genome assembly GCF_000001405.40 of Homo sapiens. Taxonomy (NCBI): domain Eukaryota; kingdom Metazoa; phylum Chordata; class Mammalia; order Primates; family Hominidae; genus Homo; species Homo sapiens. Next base: position 158,750,193 of record NC_000007.14, on the reverse strand, counting down.
AACAGAAGACGCTAAGTTGAGAACATAAAACCGTGTATCTGACACTCTGTACTATTTTTATTCCCGCCAGAGAAATATTCTGAATTTTACGTTCTTTTACATTTGTCTTTTAATGATTTTTGGTTTTCATTAATTGCACTTTATTCATTTTCGTTATCCTTGTAAATAAAAGAACTTTCGAAAAGTGTGATTAACATTAAGAATTTTTAGAAGATTCAGTTTTCCAAAGTAGTTGGCTTTAAAAATACCAGACTCTAACCTTTAAAATTTGTGTGCAAATGAAAGTTTTGTAGTTATGGTTTGGGGTGTGTGTAGCTTATGTTTTCCCATTAAATTGTTCCCAGATATTCCCTTAAATATCAGAGATAAATAAAAATGACTACTAATATAAGCCAGTAATTTCATTTTTAGTTAAGACCCATTTAAAATGTGTTTATTTATTTTGTCTGTTTTCTGTTTGTTTTGGGTAGTCAGGGAAGAAAATAAGCAGCAACCCAAATCCTGTTGTCCAGATGTCAGTTGGGCACAAGGCCCAGGAGAGCAAGGTAAGGTGCTCGCCCTGGACTCAGCCTTGGTGCCTGTCGTGCGGGCGCTGTCCGTGTTGCCGTCTCACCTGGGGATGCCGGGTTGCAAATACATTCAGTTGTGTGATAGCGTGGGCATCGAGACCAGGGCTTTTCAGATCTATTTTTTCTTAGATCAGTCATTTGATATAGATAACCAGCTACTTGAAATACCAAGAAATATACTGTTCATTTTTTAAAATGACTTCAGTGGCTAGGTGTGGTGGCTCCTACCTGTAATCCCCACAATTTGGGAGGCCGAGGCAGGGAGATCCCTTGAGGTCAGGAGTTCGAGACCAGCCTGGCCAATACGGTGAAACCTCATCTCTACTAAAAATACAAAACTTAGTCGGGCATGGTGCCGGGTGCGGTGCCGGGTGCCTGTAATCCCAGCTACTCGGGAGGCTGAGGCAGGAGAATCGCTTGAACCCGGGAGGCAGAGGTTGCAGTGAGCCGAGATTGCACTACTGCACTTCAGCCTGGGTGACAGAGCAAGACTCTGTCTCAAAAAACAAAACAAAAATAACATTAGAAAGTAATAGATGAATATGTTTTTGCTTGATTTTATGAGTAGACACATGGGAACAATTCCTAAGTTTGTCTTGAGCACTCTATAAATAGTTTAAAAGAAAACCAACAGTGCTTAAAATTCAACCAATACAGTTAGAATTACGACTTGAAAAGAGGGTATGGCTATTACATATTGCTGTAATATGTTCTACTTTCCTTACAGGAGAAAAAAAATTAGCTGGGCATGGTGGCACGTGCCTGTAATCCCAGCTACTTGGGAGGCTGCAGCAGGGGAATTGCTTGAACCCGGAAGGTGGAGGTTGCAGTGAGCTGAGATTGCGCCACTGCACTCCAGCCTGGCGACAGAGCAAGACTCTGTCCCCCCTACCAAAAAAAAATAAAAAATAAAAAAAAAAAGAAAGAAATTGCCCGAAGTTACAGGTCATCACTCACTGAATTGTGAACAGTTTAAGAGACGTGCCCAAGTGCTCACCCTCCTCAGTTCGGAGGAGCTATTACGTTGGTGCAAAAGTCATTACAGAACCGAGGCCAGGCCACGCACACGAAGCCTTTATCTGTGGGCGCACAGGTTGGGGCCTCATGACAAACTCTAAAGGCTTTAGACCGTCTCGTTATCTTTTCAACACATCCACCATCAATACATAATAGTGCATACCTGCAAATACATGTCTTGGAATTTAATTAAGGTCAACCTAAGCTTCTAGTTTTTTGTTTTATTTATTTTCTTTTTATTTTTCATTCTAAGCTTCTAAACACATAAAATGAGTAGCCCTTTTCCACAGAAAATATCAGAGCTAATAATTTGGATATTTCTTCTAGATTCGATACAAAACCAATGAACCTGTGTGGGAGGAAAACTTCACTTTCTTCATTCACAATCCCAAGCGCCAGGACCTTGAAGTTGAGGTATTTTATTTGCATTTTTTAACCAATTTATTGACAAATAATTGACTTTTTAAAGTATACAATTTGCTGAGTTGTGACCCGTGTATACACCTGGGGATCCATCGCCAGAATCAGGACAATTGGTAGATCTCTCTGTAACCCGGGCCTCCCCTAGCCCCAGGCAAACACAGACCTGCCTTTGGTCACTGTAGATTACTGTTCACATTTTCCAGGATTTTATACAAATAGAATTATGCGGTATGTCCTCTAGTTGTCTATATTCTCTGGTGATAATTATTCTGAGGTTTACCTGTGTTGTTGCAGATACCCACAGTTTGTCTTTTTTTATTGTTGAGTAGTAGTTATGGATATACCACAATTTGCTCATCCATTTACCTGTGAGTAAGACATTGATAAAAGATTGGGTTCTTTCCGGTTTAGACCTATTACATATAAATCTGCTGTGAATATCACATACAAGACTGTGTGTACATATGCCTTCATTCTGTTGGGTAAAATGCCCAGGAGCAGGTTGCCAGGTTCATGTTTAGCTTCTTAATAAACTGCCAAATTGTTTTCCAAAGAGATTGTGCCGTGTCACATTCCCACCGAAGTGCATGTGAGTCGAGCGGGCCCCACATCTCGCCAGTGCTGTGGTGTTAGTGGGTAGATAGGAGTATTACCGGGTGGTTTCAGCGTCATTACTAATGACGTTGAGCACCTTTTTATGCTTTTTTACGGTCTTTGTATCTTCTATGGTGAAATGTCTATTCAGTTTTTTTGCCTGTCTTTTTTATTTGGTTATTTGTCTTCTTAATACTGAGTTTGTAAGACGTTTGGGGTTTTTTTTTTAATGTTTCATTCTTTCTGAGATGAAGTCTCACTCTGTCATGGAGGCTGGAGTGCAGTGGTGCGATCTCAGTCACTGCAGCCTCCACCTCCTGGGTTCAAGTGATTCTCTTGCCTCAGCCTCCTGAGAGCTGGGATTACAGGTGCGCGCCACCACACCTGGCTGATTTCTTGTATTTTTAGTGGAGACGGGGTTTCACCATGTTGGCCAGGCTTGGCCTTGAACTCCTGACCTCAGCTGATCCGCCCACTGTGGCCTCCCAACGTGCTGGGATTACAGGCGTGAGCCAACGCACCCCGCCTCTTTGTTTTTGAGAACAGAGTTTCACTCTGTTACCCAGGCTGGAGTGCAGTGGTGTAATCACAGATCACTGCAGCCTCCAACTCCTGGGTTCAAGTGATTCTCTTGCCTCAGCCTCCGGAGTAGCTGGGACTACAGGCAGACACCACCATGCCTGGCTAATTTTTTTATTTTTTGTAGAGAATTATTTTATTTTTTGTAGGGTCTCACAGTGTTGCCCAGACTGGTCGCAGACTCCTGGGCTCGAGCAGCGATGTTCCCACTTCTGCTTCCCCAAGTGCTGGGATTGCAGTTGTGAGCCACGGTGCCCAGCCTCTTTTTCTTAATATGGCTGTGTAGTTGTTCAGCATTTGTGCAGTTGTTCAGTCTTTGTTGAAAAGATTATTATTTGCCCTAATTTATTAGCTTAGCAACTTTCCAGAAATTCAGTTGCCCATATGTATAGGTCTGTTTCTGGAATTCCTTCTGTTCCATTGTTCTATATGTCTGTCTTTATGCCAGTATCACACTGTCTTTATTATTGGTGCTTTATTAATCTTTTTTTTTTTTTTTCTTGAGGCAGGGTCTCACTTTGTCACTCAGGCTGGAGTGCAGTGGTGCAGTCATGGCTCACTGCAGCCTTGACCTCTTAGGCTCAAGCAATCCTCCCGCCTCAGCCTCCCAAGTGGCTGGGACTAGAGGTGCACACCACCACACCCAGCTAATTTTTGTGTTTTGGGTATGTGTGTATGTGTGCCTCAGCCTCCCAAGTGGCTGGGACTACATGTGCATGCCACCATACCCAGCTAATTTTTGTGTGTTGGAGGGGCGTGTGTGTGTGTGTGTGTGTGTGTGTCTATTTATGTATGTAAAGATGCGGTTTCACCACATTGCCCAGGCTGGTCTCGAACTCCTGAGCTCAAGCCATCTATCCACCTTGGCCTCTCAAAGTGCTGGGATTACAGACGTGAGCCATCATGCCTGGCCTGTCTTCTCTCTTCTTCTTCCTAATAAGTCTTACAAGATGTTTATTGATTTTATTTTCTTAACCAATTTTTTGTTTAATTGTCATTATTGCTTTTCTTTTACTATTTCATTGATTTCTACTATGATCATTATTATTTCAGTCCCACTTACTTTGGGTCTTTGCTTCTCTTTTTCTAGTTTCTTAAAGAAGAAGCTTGAGACATTTCTGTTTTTATAATGTAGGCATTTACTCCAATAAATTTCACTTTAAATTCTGTAGCTACATCTCACAAATTTTGACTTGTCGTTGATGTCTCCTTTTGATTATTATTATTTCCTTAATTTCCCTTTCAGTTTTTTCCTTTGACCTGTGTATGGGTTATTTTGGTCTGTTATTTAGTTTCCATATGTTTGGGGATTTTTTTTTAATCTTTCTATTATTGATTCCAATTTCATTCCATAGTGGTCAGAGTACATACTTTGTATGACATGAGCCCTTTTATGTTTGAGACCGGCTTTATGGCCCAGAGCACTGCCTGTCCTGGGACACACTCCACGTGCACCTGTAGGCTGTGTGCCTTTCTGGTGTTGGCGAGTGTCTCATGAATGTCAGTAGGTCAGGGTGGTTGGTGGCATTGCCATTGCTCAGGCCCTCTGGGGCCTTACTAGTTCTCAGACTACTTATATCAGGTATGAAGAGCATGGCGTTTAAATCTCTGAATTTATGTTTTTTTCCTCAGCCTCTGTTTTTGCTACTTGTATCTTGAACCTCTCTTGATAGGTGTGTGTGAACAGCCAGGCCTAGGAGACCTGGTCATGCCGCTTGCCCGACCCTGTCTCATTAGATAGGTGAGTGTGAACAGCCGGGCCTAGGAGACCTGGTCATGCCGCTTGCCTGACCCTGTCTCATTAGATAGGTGAGTGTGAACAGCCGGGCCTAGGAGACCTGGTCATGCCGCTTGCCTGACCCTGTCTCATTATTCTGTGTTGGTTGTTTTATTAGGTTGGTGCAAAAGTAATTGGAGTTTTTGCCATTGAAACTGCAATTACTTTTGCCCCAATCTGATACTTTTTTACATTCTGTTTTATACAAAAGGATTTGTGTTTTGTCTAGCTGGTTTTTCCTTCATAAAGTGCACTTCTGTATTCTCAAAATAATCTATGCTTACTGGACCTTGGATTTTAAAAATAATTTTTAAAGTTCCACAAACATTGTCATAGTTATTTCATTTAAAACTGCTTTTGTGATTATAGTTTAGTTTGAAAAGAAATATGCAATCAACCTTTTAGGTTTTCCTGAGTAGTTATGTGTTAATTTCTCTGACCATTTTTGTATAGCCTGAGAAACCTTCAGAGTTCTTACTCTATTTGATTAAATTATTTTATATTACAGCCATCTAACAGGAATAATTCCTGTTGCAGAGATAATGCAGAAGGTTATTATACAGGAAAAAGAGGCTGGGCATGGTGGCTCACACCTGTAATCTCAGTACTTTGGGAGGCTGAGATGAGAGGATCACTTGAGGCCAAGAGTTTGAGAACAGCCTGGGCAACATAGTGAGATCCACCTCTGTTTTTTAAAAAATTTTTAAATGCCTTGCTGTAAATTTTCTTTAATGTGGATTTTGAATGGAGAAGGCTTAAAAGGTACTTAGAAATGTATTGTCTCCATAAATGTCATGAATGGAAACTGTATACATCGTTATGAGTGTGTATTGCCACCATTTTCCCAGGGGTTAAAAGACAGGTAGACTATTGCCTATTAACCCAGGGTTCTCCGAACCGATTGGTCATTATTGTCATTACTGCTTTTCTCATTTGTCATTATTACATCATTTCTTTCTGTGCTCATTGTAATCTATAATGACGAAATAGCAGATCTTTTGCTTGTTAACAGTGTTTTGTGTCTTTGTTAGGAGATTTCATACCATGTTAATCATTATGGAAACACTACTTAAGAGAATATGGCTGAAATATGTTTGGGTTTTTAAAAATATCTTTCTTACAGACTAATATTGTCTGTGGACCTTTCTACATTTGTTTGTTTGTTTTTGAAACAGTTTTGTCACCCAGGCTGGAGTGCAGTGGCGCGATATCAGCTCACTGCAGCCGCCTCCTCCCAGGTTCAAGCGATTCTCATGCCTCAGCCTCTTGAGTGGCTGGGACTACAGGTGCGCGCCACCATGCCCAACTAATTTTTTGTATTTTTAGTAGAGATGAGGTTTCACCATGTTGGCCAGGCTGGTCTCGAACCCCTGGCCTCAGGTGATCTGAGCCTCCCAAAGTGCTGAAATTACAGGCGTGAGCCACCCCACCTGGCCCCTTTCTACATTTTCTAAGTTCCTATCTCTGAGGACAAAGGGTCAGGAGCGTAGACAACGTAGAAAGGTTCTGCAGACATGATCCTAGTTATGCCAGTGTTTCCACCCTGTGTTTTGCAGGTCAGAGACGAGCAGCACCAGTGTTCCCTGGGGAACCTGAAGGTCCCCCTCAGCCAGCTGCTCACCAGTGAGGACATGACTGTGAGCCAGCGCTTCCAGCTCAGTAACTCGGGTCCAAACAGCACCATCAAGATGAAGATTGCCCTGCGGGTATCGTGTCGTCCTGCAGTGAACACCATAGGGGATGGGGAGGCGGGTGCTGGCAGGGATACTCATGGGCCCCGGGCATGAGGCCGGTGAAGAAAGCTCTGTGTCGGCTGCAGCTCTGGGCCGCAGGAGGGCGCCGGTGCAGGGAGGAGATATTGTTGCTGGGTATCAGAGGGTTCCGGGGAGAAGACAAAGGCTGGGACTCAGCCATAGAACAGGCCACGTTTCCAGGTTGCCCGAGCAGGCCCACGGCTACTCAAACAGTGCTTTCCTGTGAACCCAGCAACCTTACCGTTATCCTTTGGCCCAGAAAGTGTTACTGTTGGTATCAACAAGGTTTTCTCCTAAGTCTTAACTTTTCAAAGGTTGTTCAGAAGAGAGAATTTAATAAAACTCCACGAGACAGTAGAACTTACAGGAAAAAAATATTTTTTGTCCAAAATCACGATTCATTTGTAAATAGCTAAGGAAATATTGAAAGTAAAACTGGCAAACATATGGGGAAATACTAAAACTCATGAATCAAAGAAATGCAAATTAAAATAAAGAGCCAGCTTTTTAAGAAAATTACAAATGTCTTCTATTGAGGGGGCAATGGGAACAGCCTCCTTGCCCCGGCAGAGACTGGAGGTGTCGCACACCTCTCCAGAGGGAGCTGCGACAACCCTGAGCCACTCATCTGAAGGCTCCTTGGCCTTTCTTCTAGAAACCTGACTTTTGTTTTGGTGATACAAAGTGTGGGGAGACCAGGAACATAAAGATGTTCACCGCAGCGTTATTTCCTAAAACCAGAAAAAACCTTTAAGCTGTCACGTGAGTGGAGTGATTTACAAGGTGTGGACTCTGCTCAAGCCAGCCCAGGGACCAGCTCATGTGCTCACACAACTGGGAGACCCCAGGCCCTGCGGGAACCCCCTGCTCCTGCACTCATGTCAGGTTGTTGGGGTGATCTTGCTGGATAGCAGGGGTTCTGGACTTTCTTCCTCCCTCTGGGGACGCCGGGTGGAAACCCCTTATGTAGAATACGGGCTTTGGTCTTGTGTCGAGGAAATGCGACTCTGGGCTCTTGATGTAAAAACATTGTCCCACAATTGTGTAGAAATACATGGAAACGGAAGAGACTAGAGGAATACGCAGAAGTGTTATGGGGGGCTCCTTGCCTGAGACGTGGCCTGGGGAGGATGGAGGAGCTTCTGCCCAGGTTGTGTGGCACCAGAGGGTCAGCTTCAGGGGGGTGGCCTGCCCTTCCACACCAGGCTTATCACTGCCACCGCCCTGTTGCTGCCACCAGAGCCTGAAGACGCAGGCCTCGGCGATGCCCCAGCTACTTGGCAGGCTGAGGCGGGAGGATCTCTTGAGGCCAGGAGCTTGTGGTGTAGTGCGCGATGGTCACCCCTGTGAAGAGCTACAGCACTCTGGCCTGTGCAGCTTAGCAGGTCCTCATCTCTGGGAAAAAAGTGGTATTTGTATCACAGAAGTGACATTTTGGTTACCTAAACTTTCCTTTAAAAAAAAATTTTTTTTTGAGCTAAGTTTTAAAGAAATTTTTGCAGGTAAAGACATCCCAGGCTGTTCCAGTATTAGGATGTTACCAGTGTCACCAAGTTTAATTTTTATGTTTATGTCCACCTCTAGGTGCTCCATCTCGAAAAGCGAGAAAGGCCTCCAGACCACCAACACTCAGCTCAAGTCAAACGTCCCTCTGTGTCCAAAGAGGGGAGGAAAACATCCATCAAATCTCATATGTCTGGGTCTCCAGGCCCTGGTGGCAGCAACACAGCTCCATCCACACCAGTCATTGGGGGCAGTGATAAGCCTGGTATGGAAGAAAAGGCCCAGCCCCCTGAGGCCGGCCCTCAGGGGCTGCACGACCTGGGCAGAAGCTCCTCCAGCCTCCTGGCCTCCCCAGGCCACATCTCAGTCAAGGAGCCGACCCCCAGCATCGCCTCGGACATCTCGCTGCCCATCGCCACCCAGGAGCTGCGGCAAAGGCTGAGGCAGCTGGAAAAGTAACTAAGTGCCACCATGTTGTTTCTCACCAGCAGAGCAAGCGCCCCCCACCCCACGCTGGGGGAGAGTCGTTTAACGCAGCAGAGCATGAGGCCGGCATGCTTTGGGGAGGGAGGCCTAATCTTAGGTTAACTGAAAGCACTTCAGGTTGTGTTGCCGTTTTGCTCACTGCATCTCGGACTTTGGAAATAAAACCTGCCATTTTCTAGGATTTAGTCATTAAAGATTAGAACGTGATGGAGTAATAGGTTTCACAGTAGGAAAGACAGGAGGCAGCGCCGGGACGCTGCTGTGTGCCTGGGCCTCTGCCAGGAAGACAGACGCAGAGCTGGCCCGCGGGCCTCGCTGCGGCCACTGGAGAAGCCCTGGCCTCCCCGTTGTGTGAGGACAGACCTGCTCTTTCACGTAGTTGGATCCCATCCCTGTTGCTCAGTCTCTTTTGTTTGTCTTCGGATGTCTGTGTTGGCTCCTTATTTAAGCCCCATGACTCATAGGTGTGTGTTAAGGGTTTCTTTAGATACGGAGGAAAAAGTTGTCTGTAGTTATCACAAGCTTCAGATGTTAACCTTTTCCTCTTGGTGGAAGAAACAAAATTGACCTTTGAAATAGTTCTCCCTGTGTGGTGTTATAAGAGGTGTGTTGAATAATAAGAAAATAGTAACAGAAACGGAGGCAAAGGTGCTTCTGAGCTGTTAGAAAAAGCACACGCAGACTGTGGAGCTTGCACAGCCGCCCTCCTCTGAGCCACACTCACTTTTTTCTTTCATGCTTTCTCATGTCCACTATTTTGGAAAGAAGAAAACATTCCTTCTCTCTTGCTCCAGAAGGAAATAGAATTTTAAACAAGGAAACACTTTTTCTCAGGAGCTCAATTTGGGAAGTAGAAATGATCTTAGGGGCCACTGAACAAACAAGACCAGTTGTCATTTTGGGGGTCTGTGTTCCATCCTTGAGCAGAGAGAAATGGAAGGAAGGGCGCTGCAGTCTCATCAGATGGGAAGAGAGCACGTGGCTTGCATGAGGCTTTGAGACGGGACATGCAAATTCGGGTAGGACAGGCTAGAAACTGCTTAACAAGGACCACAGGGCTGATGCTTGTAATAAGGACACTGTGTGGTTTTAACCTCGGGTGCTCAATTGGTGAATCATAAGATCTGCACATTTAGAAAGGAGACTATTCCTTATCCTTATAGGGTTGCAGCCTGCAGGCTGGCCAGCCTGACAGGCCCGGAAGCACCTCAGAGGAGGAAGGGTAGGGCAGGAGCTTGTGCGGAGCACGCGTCCTCAGCAGGTTCCAGGAGGAGCTGTGAATGCCGCAGAGTGCCCAGCCTCTCTAGAACAGCCAGCAGCAGTCCGTGGTCAGGGTCTGCCATCAGGAGGAAGTTGTGAAATCAGCCTCTCGTCAGTCAAAGCTGCAGTTAGCGCCGGTGGAGCAGGGGTCACTGAGTCAGCATCTGGATCAGGACAAGCTGGGATTTTGCTTTAACACTGCTGCTCTCGAGGCCAGTGCTTGTTTAGCTGCTGGAGAAAGAAACACCTGGTGGCAGGTAGAACCCAGTTTATTCTGTTAAGCGTTGGGTGTGAGGCTTACCCTTGCCTGGCATGGCCCCAGGTCTTCTTTGTAGCTTGGTATCTTACTGCCGCAAGGAATCTGTTCCTTCAGTCTTAACGATCTCTGCTGCAGCATTAATGCCAGTCGGTTGTTGCATCTGAACTGCGAAGGGGGGGGTATAAATAACCTCCCGTCCTGTTGTGGTCAGGAACTCAGTGTTTAAGTTTCTCTGGGGTCCCCTGGGTCCACTCACATGGGAGTGGGGTGGGGGCTTAGGATTTTACTTTTAGTTTTCAGGACCCTAACTAAAAAACTGTCAGTTGGCTGGACGCGATGGCTCACGCCTGTAATCCCAGCACTTTGGGAGGCCGAGGCAGGTGGATCACCTGAGGTCAGGAATTTGAGACCAGCCTGGCCAACATGGTGAAACCCCATCTCTACTAAAAATACAAAAAATTAGCTGGGCGTGGTGGCGGGCGCCTGTAATCCCAGCTACTCAGGAGGCTGAGGCAGGAGAATCGCTTGAACCCAGGAGGCGGAGGTTACAGTGAGCCAAGATTGCGCCATTGCACTCCAGCCTAGGCAACAAGAGTGAAACTCCGTCTCAAAAAACAAAAACAAAAGAAATAATGTCAGTTTTGAATAATTAATTTATATTGAACCCTCAAGTAAAATATTCATCTGTTTGACTTGTACCCAGAAGTTTCAAATTATGTTTAAGTTCATGGGTAATTTGACTTCTTTTTGTCTAAATGAATAGAAATTATTTTATCGTGTACAGTGGACCAATGAATCACAACGTTCTCCAGTCTCAGGCAAGCTGGTGACTTTCTGCTCTTTTCCCACAGCGGGACGACCCTGGGACAGTCTCCACTGGGGCAGATCCAGCTGACCATCCGGCACAGCTCGCAGAGAAACAAGCTTATCGTGGTCGTGCATGCCTGCAGGTGGGGGCTGGGGTCCCACGCGCCCGCTGCTGTGCTGCTGAGTGTGGATGCTGGATAGGATGATGTAGACACCGCCTTTAGGATTTCCAAACATCCATTTATGTTTCATTTAGAAAGGACAAAGCAATTAAACCTCTAGAGACGGTGCTCGTAAAGGGTGTCACCACTGCGTATGTCACATGACAACGTTTTGGTCACCGAAGTACAACGGTCCCCTAAGATCATACTGTATTTTTACTGTACCTTTTATGTGTTTAAATACACAAATATGGCTTGGCATGGTGGCTCACGCCTGTAATCCCAGCACTTTGGGAGGCTGAGGTGGGCAGATCACCTGAGGTCTGGAGTTCGAGACCAGCCTGACCAAAATGGAGAAACCCTGTCTCTACTAAAAATACAAACTAGCCACGTGTGGTGGTGCATGCCTGTAATCCCAGCTACTAGGGAGGCTGATGCAGGAGAATCACTTGAACCCAGGAGGCAGAGGTTGCTGTGAGCCAAGATCGTGCCATTGCACTCCAGCCTGGGCAACAAGAGCGAAACTTTGTCTCAAAAAGAAAAAAAAATACACAAATATGTCACAATTGCCTACAGTATTCAGCACAGTAGCATACTGTACAAATGTGTAGCCTAGAGCAGGAAGAGTGTGTGTGTGTGTGTGTGTGTGTGTGTGTGTGTCTGTGTGTGTGTGTGTATTTTTTTTTTTTTTTGGAGACAGAGTTTTACTTTGTCCCCCAGGCTGGAGTGCAGTGGCACAATCTCATCTTACTGCAACTTCCGCTTCTTGGGTTCAAGCAATTCTCCTGCCTCAGCCACCCGAGTAGGTGGGATTACAGGCGTGCACTACCTCGTCCGACTAACTTGTATTTTTAGTAGACACGGGGTTTCACCATGTTGGCCAGGCCTCCTGAGTAGCTGGGACTATAGGTGGAAGCCACCAGGCCTGGCTAATTTTTAATTTTTTTATGGAGACGCTGGTCTCTAATTCCTGGCCTCCCAAAGCACTGGGATTATAGACTTGAGCCACCATGACTGGCCTAATCAGGAAGAATTTATTTTAACTTGTTTGTTATATTAATAAGTATAAAGTCAGGTGACTGTTGCATTAATTGCATTTGTTAACAATGATACTGTGGGCTTACGAACTATTTTCCTTTTATGCAATTTTCTCTGTCCTATTAGTGGTTTAAAATATGATATAAAAATTTGGTGCTTATAAATAGCTGTTGGAAACATAGGAAAATAAAATTAGCACCATTTAGAAAGATGATAAAAATGTAGAGTTCAGTACATCACTCTTGAGAAGTTCATATATTCTTGCCACTTAGATAATGATCGTGGGGGATACTGTTGTAGAGGAGTCTAGCAAAACAATCCCTCCTAGACTTTGTGGTCAGTCAGCAAGCGAAGAATGTGGGGGCCTGTGCAGCTGGGCACCTGACCGCGTTTGCTGCAAAGGAGCAGCCCCCTTCTGGAGGGGTAGGCACTGTGGGGTGGGGGCCTGGCTTTCTTGGCTGTGAGAGAGAAAATGGCAGAAGCATTATGGAAAGACAACCGTCACTCTGTTACAAGCAGAGACCAAGGACTTGGAACGTCCTCCAAACTCTGGGCTTGAGAAATGAAGGCCGAAGTCGCTGCTGAGAAAGCCACTAAGAAAGGAGTTTGGGAGATGCCACCAGGCAGCCGTCGGGGGAGGCAAAAGCGCCTCACGCATTCTGTTCCTTGTTGCTTCTCGGTTTGTAGATAAACATGAAATCAAAGCTTGATAAAGCATATCTGAATGTGCTGCTCATTCTCTTTTTCTCGGTCCTAATACCTCGTCTTATCTGGTTTGTGTTGTAAGAAACCTCATTGCCTTCTCTGAAGACGGCTCTGACCCCTATGTCCGCATGTATTTATTACCAGACAAGAGGCGGTCAGGAAGGAGGAAAACACACGTGTCAAAGAAAACATTAAATCCAGTGTTTGATCAAAGGTACGGTATTTTATCCAGCTGAGGATAGACTGCCCGGTTGAAGTGACGGATTAAGAAGGCCCTAAATGGTGCCTTTGAGTGGCCAAAGCACATAAATCAGCTGTTGAGAAGTTCAATCAGAAACCAACTTTTAGCAAACATACTTCTCAAAACAAATAAGCATTTTGACCTTCATGTAGAAGCTCTAAATACAGTAAATTCAAGTTACAACCCTGTGGACATGTAGACTAGTGATTAAATAAAGATCAGGTTACTGATGGCCCTGAAGAACTCATTTTTGGGGGTTATATCTGTTGACACTTAACTATGTTATCAATTAAAACTGAGAATTTAAGGATACATATATTTTTAATTTTATTTTTAAATAACAGTAAGCCCCAAACATCTTACCGTATGACATATTGGAAAAACAACTGTATTTCCAAAAATAAAAAACATAATGAAAAGAATGGTATTATTGTTCAGCATTTTTGCTCATCTCTTTAGTGGTCTGGCTCAAGAGGGGCTGGAGCCTGCTTCTGTGGTCAGGGTGATTTGGTGACCTCCTAGGAGGGTCTCAGAGACACCCCCAGGGGTCATTGGCCCCCACTTTTAAAGAGCTGCTAATCTGTACCATTTTGGTATCTTAGGTGATTGTCCCCTAGTGCTTCAAAACCCACCCTTGTTTTGGGAAATGATAATAATACAGTTGTATGGTGTCGCTATCTGCTAATTCAGTTTACGTTTCATCTTTAAACATCCTCCTCATTCATTGTACTTTCATACAAGTAGCTTTATGTAAAACACCCATCAGAAACTGGCAGGCGTGCATCAGCCCGATGAGGTTGTGCAGGGTGCTCCTACCCATCCGAGGCATTTAAGCGTCTGGAGACTCCACTTGCCCCCCAGCACGGTGGCCTGGGGCAGGCACCCGCAGCCCGGAGGAGAGACGCCCTGCAGGCACTTTAGTGCAGCGTCTGGCTGAGCATCGGGAGTGCTTTGGAGGCCTTCTCCCTCCTGCGAAGCTGCAAGCACATACTTTTTTTTATTGGAGATGGTGGGAATAGGGCCTGAAGACTAAACCAGACTGAGTGGAAAGCCTGAGTGAGTGGGCTGCTCTGGAATTGCTGTTTTGTCAACATTATCCCACATTTTAATCCCCTGGAAGAGTCAGACATGTTGAGAGACGCTCCTCACCCACCCGTGAGTGAGCCAGGGACCTTGGGACCCAGACATCTATGGGATGCCAGAGCCTTCTTTTATGTGTGGGAAATGAAAAAAATGTTGGTTTTTGAGTCTTCCTGAAATGCCAGATTAAAACATTAGGTAGAAGAACTCAGTTTTATAATAAAAAACAAACATGACATTTGGAATGATCTCATGAGCAGAAATGCCATTTTTAGTTATAAGAAAATACAGCAGAATGATGGATAAAGTAAGGCTCTCGTTTCCTATTTCAGCTTTGATTTCAGTGTTTCGTTACCAGAAGTGCAGAGGAGAACGCTCGACGTTGCCGTGAAGAACAGTGGCGGCTTCCTGTCCAAAGACAAAGGGCTCCTTGGCAAAGTAAGTGCCAAACGAATCCTCAACCAGTTCCTGCAGTTTGTAAAATTGAACATTTACCTGCAGTGCAGTGTTTAGACCATGTCTGTGTAAGTGGAAGGGGCGAACTTACGAGGTCGATGCTTGTTTATAAATCATGGGCTATAAAGACAGTCAAAACATCTGTGCTTTCTGAAGATATTTTAAGTTAAGTCTTCACATTTTTGTTCAAGTATCACATTGAAGGAAAATAATCTCTTACAATTCCATCTCCTCAACTGATGGCTCTGCTCTTTTTCTAAAATTCTTTGGCTTTATTTATGTGAATTTCTTCTACTCTTTGTCCGTATTTCACATTTCACTTTGGCATGTGAGTGTATGTTATTTAGGAATGAGAGTAGGTTCAGTTGGGGAGGAAGAGATTTGAGTCACGGGCATCATTTCGTCAGCTGTGCTGCCATGGAGGGCACATGGGCCAACCCTTCTGTGAGTCATCTCCGCTGATATTCCGTCATAGCTGAATTTTAAGACTGCTGGTTGCATGAAGGATTTCTTAGATGTATTCAGCGATGTAGCTTACAGGTGCTCAGGGGGGTAGAAAAGATTGAAAAAGTAAGAGCCTTCAGAAAAGGGAGAGTCCATATTCCTAGATGAAGACAGAAGATTAGAGAGATGAGAAGAAGTGGTAAAAGATCTAAAAGACATTGTCTTAGCCTACTTTATGTATTTGTTTATTTATTTAGAGACAGGGTCTGTAGAAGCACAGGCTGAAGTCCAGTGGCGCGATCATGGCTCACTGCAGCTTCAAATGCCTGGGCTCCAGCAATTGCTGTCTCAGCCTCCCGAGTTGCTGGGACCAAGGTGCGTGTCAGCACGCCCAGATAAATTTGTTTTACTTTTAATAGAGACAAGGTTTCACTATCTTGCCCAGGCTGGTCTCAAACTCTTGGGCTTAAGAGATCCTCCCATCTTGGCCTCCCAAAGTGCTGGGATTACAGACGGGAGCCAGTGCCCCCAGCCCAGCCTACTTTAACTGCTTTTTTAACAACCCACAGGTATTGGTTGCTCTGGCATCTGAAGAACTTGCCAAAGGCTGGACCCAGTGGTGAGTGTCCCTGCTGCAGACAGAGAACCCCAGTGTGTAGCTAAAAACGCTTTCCCCGCCCAGTGGGTAGTGTCCCCCACAGACAGTGGTGGAACCCGACACGTATCTGATAGGCTTTTCCTACTTGGTCCTGTATCCGTCACCACCTTCCTGTCACTGTCTTTCTCAGGTATGACCTCACGGAAGATGGGACGAGGCCTCAGGCGATGACATAGCCGCAGCAGGCAGGAGGCGTCCTCTTCAGCGTAGCTCTCCACCTCTACCCGGAACACACCCTCTCACAGACGTACCAATGTTATTTTTATAATTTCATGGATTTAGTTATACATACCTTAATAGTTTTATAAAATTGTTGACATTTCAGGCAAATTTGGCCAATATTATCATTGAATTTTCTGTGTTGGATTTCCTCTAGGATTTCGCCAGTTCCTACAACGTGCAGTAGGGCGGCGGTAGCTCTTGTGTCTGTGGACTCTGCTCAGCTGTGTCCGTAGGAGTCGGATGTGTCTGTGCTTTATTATGGCCTTGTTTATATATCACTGAGGTATACTATGCCATGTAAATAGACTATTTTTTATAATCTTTACATGCTGGTTTAAATTCAGAAGGAAATAGATCAAGGAAATATATATATTTTCTTCTAAAACTTATTAAATTCGTGTGACAAATAATCATTTTCATCTTGGCAGCAAAAAGTTCTCAGTGACCTATTTTGTGGTGTTTCTTTTTGAAAAGAAAAGCTGAAATATTATTAAATGCTAGTATGTTTCTGCCCATTATGAAAGATGAAATAAAGTATTCAAAATATTAACATTTTCATAAATATAAGGATGTATTATTGAGAAGTAAGTTGAAGGGCTTATAAGGAAAAATGTTTTATAACTGAGTAATATATTAAGAGAATTGTCATGGTTCATAAATCACATTATGCTAATCTGAAATTTCTTACATAAAAATGAAGTGTCTTATGTTTATTTTAATTGCTGTTGTAACTTACTCATGAAACAGTATACAGACACCTTGTACTTTTCCTCAACTGTAAGAGCAGACTTTCAATGTTAGCAATTAAGCTGTTGTCAAACAATCAGTCATGAGCTTTGTTAATTTTCAATGTTTTCCCAGCCTATAAAAAAAGGAAGGTACACGTTGTCCTTTTAAAGGTTGTGAGGTAGATTGGAGTGAGTAGACAGGATATTGCATTAAAAATTGAAAGCTCGATCTCATTATTGTCAGGAACCCCCAGTGTGACCTCACACATAGGATGTGGGACCTTTGAGCCGATGTGCACTGGCCACCACCAGGGTTGGGGGCGCCACAGCTGCGAGCCCGGCCCCTGCTGTTCTCAGCAGCCACTTCCCAGGCTGCCTCACTTTATGCCATGACTGACCTTAATATTGGGATATTGTTATGCAATTTTTATCCTGTTTAGACTGTTAAAAGCAGGTTTCTGTACTTAAGAGTCCCCCAGACCTCCTGTGAGGTGAGGCTCTGTTGCAGTGTCGTAGGCTGTGTGTGTCTGTAAAGAAAGAATGCACATATGTAGACGATTAAGTGTATATTATAAGCTATATGCTGAAAATGGCTTCCATAGCCATGAGAACATCTTAAAACTATGTGTAAATATATTAAGGAAAGTATAGCTTTGTAATTTAAATTGGAGCTTTTAGCTTGTTTCATGGAACTATACAACTTGTGGGTAACTCACATGACCAAACAAACCAAAGTGCCTGTGACGGGGCGGGTGGCGTCTACCCACCCTCCCTTCTAGCAGATTCTTATTTTGTTTGAATTTATAAACAAGGCTGGTGGCTGTCTACCCACCCTCCCTTCTAGCAGATTTTGATTTTGTTTCAATTTATAACTTACACTTTGAACCATGGGTTTACTTATAATGGAGTCTGTAGCTTCACAGCATATTTCATGTAATCATAAAGACCAGTATATTCCCTCCTGCTGAATGACATGCGACTGTAAAGCCTCTTTATAAACCATTTCCAATGTTAGTATATAGGATTATTTGGGAAGCGTATCAATACCTTTATAGACAAATACGAACATGTATGCACACAAAACATTTAACTATGGTATTTATGGAAGACAGGTAACAACATTAAATCTAGTTGCTTTCCCTTAGTATTAGATTTGTTGAGGGTTTTTTAAAAATCAGGTCTGTTGAAAGTCTTCTGTCATAATCTATAAAGCAGCAGCACTCATGGAAATTGTAGCATGCCAGTAATTTTTACCAACATCCCATACATCTGAGTTCTGCAGTCCAGTGTGTAATCCGCTCCATGTGTATTTTGCTTAATGGAATGCTTTATTTAAGCACTTAGGCAGAGTAGACACAATTAAAGGTACAAAGCCCAGAGGAAGTGGTAGAGCAGCACCGTGCCTGCCCTGAGGCAGTGGAGTCAGTAGCGCTGTCCCCAGGGCCTTGAGTGCCTGGAGGTGCTTGGCCTCCAGTAGCTGCCTCCATTCTCTTTTAAAAAAAGGGGGTGATTCTGAGGCACTGAAGTGCCTCCCAGATGTGGAGGAGTGAAGCCACCATCGAGGCCACACTCAGCACTCCAGGATCCCAGCGATGTCAGACACTCTTGAGTTGTCAAAACGTTAATTTTCAGTTTTAAATAATCAGTTTATCTAAGAAAAGGGAATTTTAACTTTTCTACCTTGAGCCAAGCCAATGAAGGGAAAATTAATTAACTTAGTAAATTTGAAGTGCAGCTCTGTTAGCTCGTACATGTGGGTTCTTATCCTGATCCTGTGCCTTAAAGTAGGAAGGTGTTTCCAAGTTCAGATTAAAATAGAAGCAGCTGGCCGGGTGCGGTGGCTCACGCCTGTAATCCCAGCACTTTGGGAGGCCGAGGCGGGCGGATGACCTGAGGTCAGGAGTTCAAGACCAGCCTGGCCAACATGGAGAAACCCCATCTTTACTAAAAATACAAAAATTAGCCGGGCGTGGTGGTGGAGCGCACGCCTGTAGTCCCAGCTACTCGGGAGGCTGAGGCAGGAGAATTGCTTGAACCCAGGAGGCGGAGGTTGCAGTGAGCCAAGATCGCACCACTGCACTCCAGCCTGGGCAACAGAGTGAGACTCCGTCTCAAAAAATAAATAAAATAGAAGCAGCCTTGTAACTGTATTTACCATGATAATATATTCTGCACGGTAAGAATTCCTTTTACAGACATTCTTTATCAAGAGGTCGGCCCTTCTTTTTCAGGCACATAAGCCAAATGCAGGCCTGTGTGTAGCTGTGTGTTTTTTCTGTGGTTGCCGCATTTATTCCACCTCCAGCTGGACCCCCCACTGCAAATAGAGAACAGCGGTGGGGGATGGGGGTTAAAAAGTAGAGAACCTCCTTTCTGTTCAACTAATTTCACGTGACAGTGCATGTATTTATTCAATAAAACCTTTATGTTAGCTCAGTCGTGATTTGTTTTTCTCTGTCTTTTGAAGGGAGGTGTTCAGTGTGCAGTCAGATAATTTGAAAGGAGACGTCGTGCACTGTTTCATTTGCTGTCTGCACTCGCGTTTTCCCAGCAGCTACGTCAGAGCAGCTGACATCCTTCCTGTTGTTCCCAGCTCAGTTTGACTCTCCTCTGCCCAGCACATTACACTCCACATGTCAAAAACAGCTCTTCTAAAGGATAATCATACGTAGAAAAAATAAACTTTAAATGTGTTTTTAACTAGGGCTCTGAGAAGTGCAGCGGGGACTGCCGAGACACCTGAACATTGGAACACTGAGGGTGATACTGGAGTATCCCTTCCTGTTGCGTTCATTACTGGTGGTCTGGATCGACTTGAGTGGAGCCCTTGCGCTTTTCCTCGTAGCCGCTCGGCATTTCACACCAGGCACTTCCTTTCTCCTTGACTGTGGGCCTTTGACACCGGGCACTTCCTTTCTCCTTGACTGTGGGCCATCCTTCTTGGCCTCTGTAGCGCCTTCCTCTGTATTTTCCTTGCACATTTTTGGCCATTTTCCAACACTGTCTTCACCTTCAACCAGACTCAATAATTGGCATAATGTGGGTTTTGGTTCTGATCACTTTTTATTTTTATGTGGTGTTCTTAATACCATCAATACCCTGGTTTCCAGATGTATGTCACTGATACAGATGTTGTCTGAGCTCAGGACCAGTTCATCCCACTGCATCCCCGTCCTCTGTGTCACATGGACACCTCAAGGCACACCCTTTGTCCATCTGTCTGTCCATCATCCGTCTTGGTGCTGGAGCTGAGACCTGGACAGCACCAGCCACCTCCCACTGCCTCAGCCCATGTGCAGACACCAAGTCCTTGAGCTCTAACTGGAGAATGTAGCCACCTCAACTCTGTCCCCTCAGTCCAAGCCACCGTCCCTCTCCATTTCTCAATCTTTCTCCCCTGCCTGCTCCATTTTCCATACAACAGGAGAATCTTTCAGACACAGATCACTCCCACTCAGCTGTGTTCCACTGTTCAAGAGCAAGAGCATTTCCTGACTTCTGCAGCTGAGTGTTTCTTCTTCCTCTGGGACCCTCACCCACTGTACCTCAATCAATGCCTCTCAGTTCCACAGACGGCCCCTACACATTCCCACTCAACACCCCCAGGCATGCTCCTCCCCGCAAGCACCTCCACACCTGCTCGGAACTCCCCAACATCTCCACACTGCTCCCCCGAGCACCTCCACACTTGCTCCTCCCCCCCAGCACCTCCACACTTGCTCCTCCCCCCCCAGCACCTCCACACTTGCTCCTCCCCCCCAGCACCTCCACACTTGCCCCTCTCCCCAGCACCTCCATACCTGCTCCAACGCCCCCACCTCCACACTTGCTCCTCCCCGCCAGCACATCCTCACTTGCCCCTCTTCCACAGCACCTCCACACCTGCTCCAACCCTCCCGCCTCCACGCTTGCTCCTCCCCCACTATCTCCACACCTGCTCCTCCCCCCAGCACCTCCACGCTTGCTCCTCCCCCACTATCTCCACACCTGCTCCTCCCCCCAGCACCTCCACATTTGCTCCAGTCCCAACCTCCACCTTGCTCCTCCCCCCAGCACCTCCACGCTTGCGCCAAGCCCCCCACCTCCACGCTTGCACATCCACACTTGCTTCTCCCAACACCTCCACGCTTGCTCTTCCCCCACTATCTCCACACCTGCTCCTCCCCCCAGCACCTCCACATTTGCTCCTCCCCCCCCACCTCCACGCTTGCTCTTCCCCCGCAGCACATCCACATTTGCTCCAATCCCCCCACCTCCACACTTGCTCCAACCTCCCCACCTCCATGCTTGCTCCTCCCCCCAGCACCTCCACGTCTGCCCCTCCCCTCCAGCACATCCACACCTGCTCCTGCCCCACCCACCTCCACACTTGCTCCTCTCCTCTCCTCTCCCCAGCACCTCCACGCGGGCTCTTACCATGACTGGCCCAGCTCACATCCACTCCCCGTAACTTCTCAGTTGAAAGCTGATCTCGGTGTCCTGTGAGTTTTCTTAGCATCATGTGTGTGTATGTGTTTTTTTTTTTTTTTTTTTTTGAGACAGGTTCTTACTCTGTTGCCCAGGCTGGAGTGCAGTAGGGGGATCAAGGGATCCCCCCCACCTCAGCCTCCCAAAGTATTGGGATTACAGGCCTACGCCACCATCCCGGCCTGTGTTACTTTGATTCACCAAATTTAACGTAATTACAATTTAGTTTTATTTAAAACTTTCCTACATGGACTGTAAACTTTCAAGGGCAGAGATTATGTGAGTTTTATTTAAAACTCACTGGTCGCCTATCACTGTTCCAGACACATGGTAAACCAATTATCTGTTGAATAAATGTATAAAGTTTGGCAGACGGCTCACACCTGTAATCCCAGCACTTTGGGAGGCCAAAGCAGGTGGTTCACTTGAGCTCAGGAGTTCAAGAGCAGCCTGGGCAACATGGCAAAACACTGTCTCTACCAAAAATACAAAAATTAGCCAGGCGTGGTGGCGCATGCCTATGGTCCCAGCCACTCGGGAGGCTGAGCAGAAGAAGGATCACTGGAGCCAGGACGTCGAGGATGCAGTGAGCCATGATTGCGTTGCCGCACTCCAGGCTGGGTGAGACAGCAAGACCCTGTCTCAAGAAATAAATACGTTTGGCAGACCAAAATATAATTCATCTCGTCTAACAAGTTTCCATTCAAAAAAAGATATATACCTACTAACGGTTGTTAGTGACGACTAAGGAGAAGATACTGCTAAGCGTGATGGATACTATTGAGAGAAAAAGCCAAGGGCCTCCTCATCTGAGAAACAGTTGAGACATGAAAGTTGGAAACACCCAGGAAGTCTGCCTTTAACTATTTACTGTTATTCTCAACTTCCTGGGCAATATAATACAAAGAAAAAAGATTATCTGGAAATTTTTACAAAGAGATAGTCATTTTCAGATACAAGATTGCCTACCTGGAAATCCCAATAATAATACTCTGCAAAGAAGGCCAGGCACGGTGGCTCACACCTGTAAGCCCAACGCTTCGGGAGGCCAGGCATGGCAGCTCACACCTGTAAGCCCAACGCTTTGGGTGGCCGAAGCAGGAGGATCAGTGGAGCCCAGGAGTTTGAAACCAGCCTGGGCAACAGAGTGAGACCTCATCTCTATAAAAATAAAAAAACTAGCTGGGCATGGTGGGTGCACACTTACAGTTCTAGCTACTTGGGAGGCTGAGGTGGGAGGATCTCTTGAGCCCAGGAGGTTAGGAGGCTGCAGTGAGCTATGATTGTGCCACTGCACTTCAGTGTGGGCGACAGAGTAAGACCCTGTCTCAAAAAAAATATCTGGGCCGGGCGTGGTGGCTCACACCTGTAATCCCAACACTTTGGGAGGCCGAGGTGGGCAGATCACGAGGTCAGGAGATTGAGACCATCCTGGCTAACGTGGTGAAACCCCGTCTCTACTAAAAATAAAAAAAATCGGCCAGGTGTGGGGGCACACGCCTGTAGTCCCAGCTACTCGGGAGGGCGAGACAGGAGAATCACTTGAACCCAGGAGGCGGAGCTTGCAGTGAGCCAAGATCGCGCCACTGCACTCCAGCTTGGGCGACAGAGCGAGACTCGGTCTCAAAAATAAATAAATAAATAAAAATCTGGAGGCCGGGCGTGGTGGCTCACACCTGTAATCCTAGTACTTTGGGAGGCCAAGGCAGGTGGATCACTTAAGGTCAGCAGTTTGAAACCACCTTGGCCATCATGGTGAAACCCCATCTCCACTAAAAATACAAAAAATTAGCTGGGCATAGTGGTGCGCACCTGTAATCCCAGCTACTCAGAAGGCTGAGGCAGGAGAATCACTTGAACTGGGGGAGGCAGAGACTGCAGTGAGACGAGATCATGCCACTGCACTCCAGCCTGGGCGACAGAGTGAGACTCCATCACCAAAAAAAAAAAAAAAATCTGGAAAATATTTGGATGTAGAAATGTCTGTGTCGTATATGGTAATGCCAATAGCTATTGGAAAATATGGAAAAAGTCATACAGCAGCAGCCTTAGAAGTGCAACAGCACAGATGACCAGCAGCCTTGCTGCCTCTGGAGGGGAAAGAAGGAGCTTATTGCTCTCCAAAAGTTCCATCCCCAGGGAATTGTCACTATTTCAACTCTCAGGCTCCCAGGAAAACTCCATCTCCAGGTTTGTTGGTCCAGAAGAATCGGTGGCGGTTGTTTAACATTGCAGCTGCCTGAGGCAGTGGTAGCAGTTGGGACAAACAAGAGGCCAACCAAACACTTTGAAAGGAGAACCTAGGGGATGAGACTGTCCACAGAGGGCTTTGTAAAACTCTGGCATTGCTGGGGTGCTAGACACATGCACATGCCGGGCTGTGCACATCCCCAGGAAAGACCTGCAAGAGTTCTCATTTCTGGCTGTGAGGTGCCTGCTGGAAGACTGAAGGCACCCAGCACATGCACAGGGCCCCTTGGCAGCAGGTGGGAGACCAACTGGTCTGAAGTATTCAAAGAAGTCCTTTCCAATCCTTAGCTGGCACGTGAGCTAACCCAGCAGAGGCTTCAGAGGCAGCATGTGACAACACAGCTTCTAGAGAGTCCAAGTATGTTACTAAACACAAAGAAACAACAGTGACAACCATCATCAACAACAAAGCCAGGAGTGGAAGAGGGATCTTGTCTACAGAGTTGCCACACTATATTATCTTTATTTTTTTTTATTTTTTTTTTAGATGAGTCTTGCACTGTTGCCAGGCTGGAGTGCAGTGGTGCCATCTTGGCTCACCACAACCTCCACCTCCTGGGTTCAAGCAATTCTTCTACCTCAGCCTCCCGAGTAGCTGGGACTACAGGCGCCCACCACCATGCCCGGCTAATTTTTGTATTTTTAGTAGAGACGGGGTTTCACCATGTTGGCCAGGCTGGAGTATATTATCTTAAATGTCCAGATTCAATGAAAAAAGGATGAGGCATGCAAAGAAACAGCAGAGTGAAGGCCACACACAGGAAAAAGGTAGTCAGATAAACCACCCCAAAGGAAGTCCTGGTGCTGGACATCATGTGGACGAAGACAAGACCCTGAATCCACTTTTAACGTGTTCACGGGAATAAGGGAATCATGTCAACAATTACAAGAAAGTATGAAAATGATGTCTCACCAAAACAGAGAAGATCAGTATAGAGAAATTACGAAAACAGTAACCAGAAAGCCTGGGGTTTAAAGAAGTGTAATGTGAAATTCACTAGGGGAGCTCACCCATGTATCTGAGCTGACAGAGGAAAGAATCAGCAAACTTGGAGGTGGCTCCATCGAGATTATCCAGTCTGAGGGACAAAAAGAATAAAGAAAAACGAACCTGACATACGTGCAGTGAGAGTTCCAGAAGGGGAGGAGGGAGAGAAGCACCAGTGAAAACACTGAAAGAAATAATAAGCAAAAACTCCCTAATTTGGAAAGAGCCACACGCAGGCACATCTTAGTTAAACTGTTTGAAAAGACGATGCAACTAGAGAAAGACTCATCGCCTCCGCAGTGCGAACTGCTGAGTTCTCATCAGAAACCCTGAAGGCAGAGCAGAGGGATGAGGGATTCAAGGTGCTCACAGAGCCTGTCAGCCAGGAATCCTGTCGGCAACAGCTGTCTACAGTGAAGGAGAAACTAAGGCATTGTCAGATTTTTTTTTTTTTTAAGAGAACTTGTTGTGAGCCAGCGTGCCCTACAAGAAATACTAAGGATAAAGTCACTTTTTTGTCTTTGCGTACATGTCAGGCCCTAAACAGAAACACCTCTCTAGAGGGTCTACGTTTCCATTTTGCAGGACCTCAAGTCTGGGAAACAGGGAGGCCCAGTGGGGTAGAGCATGGCTCTGGAGTCAGAACCCCCAGGTTCAAGCCCCACTTCCGTCCCACGGGACCTGGAGCAAGTCAAGTAACTTCTCTGCCTCCATTTCCCCCTCTGCAGAGCAGGAATCGCTGTAGTCCTTACCTCAAAGGCAGAACTGAGGATGAAGTGAGGTCATCCCTGGAAAGCACTTAGGACAGCACTGGCCCATCGCATTGGACCATCATCAGCCACCACGTCCACTCTCTGTCCTCAGCTTTGCATGATCGTCAGCCACCACGTCCACTCTCTGTCCTCGGCTTTGCACGATCATCAGCCACCATGTCCACTCTCTGTCCTCGGCTTTGCACGATCATCAGCCACCACGTCCACTCTCTGTCCTCAACTTCTATCAGAATGTGGCACCCTCCCCTCCTTGTCCACTAGGTTAGGACAACAATAGTGTTACACTTTCTCTTATACTCAAATCCCCAAATCATTAAGGCATGAACCTTCCACCAACCTAACTGTCAGAGGTGCCTCTCCCCTCTCCAACTCCAGATTCCTTCCCCACATACCTGGCTATTCAGTATCTTCTAGCATTTGCTACTCATTTGTCCAAGAACAAGGCCCTCTACTCCCCTGCCTTTTTGGTTGTTGTTGTTGTTTTTGACAGAGTCTTGCTCTGTTGCCCAGGCTGGAATGCAGTGGCATGAACACAGCTCACTGTAGCCCCAACCTTCCAGGCTCAAGTGATCCTCCTACCTCAACCTCCCTAGTAGCAGAGACTACAGACATGCACCACCACAGCTGGCTAATTTTTTAATATTTTGTAGAGATGGGGCTTTGCCACATTGCCCAGGCTGGTCTCAACTCCTGGTCCAGAGGGCTCATGTGATCTTCCCGCCTCGGCCTCCACGGTGCTGGGATTACAGGCGTGAGCCACTGTGCCTGGCTACCCCCACCTTTTTGAGGTCATGCGTCTGTTGGGCCTGTGTATCCCCAGTGAAGTCCCCCAGGGCTCCACTTGGCCTTTTGGGGCCTCCTTCATTCTCCACAGTACAATGAGGCCATGCAGTTTCTTCTTTTATTCATGGTAGCATAGGTGCAGACAGAAATGTGCACAAATCCTATTTCACTGCCTTGATGAATTTCCAAGCTGAACACACCTGTGTAACCAGCACCGTCAGAAGAAATAGCAACGTCAGAGCCCCAGGCACCCTCTTGTGCCCCTGCTGGTTCTGCCCTCACCCTACCAGGGATCACTCCGCTCCTGACGCCTCGCCCTGCAGATGTGTTTTTTCAGATTCTGAGCTTGATGGAAGTGGAAGCGTTCAGTGGGTTCTCCTGTGTCTGGCTGCTTTTATTCAACATTGTGAGAGGCAACATGGTGCCTTTTAACAAGGTTTGACTGACGACTTGGGTGTAAGTGAAGCTTAATACAGAAAGAATTGATACCAGATGAGGCCCAAATCAGGCTTCACAGCCAGCCCACCTCCAAGTCCACACCCATGACCACAGCTGCATCCGTGTCTTCGGCCTGCGAGCCCAGGCCTGTAGGCAGGAAGGACTTCTAGGCTCACAGCAGAGGCCTCACCTGCACCCAGCATGAACACTTGGGCTCCGCAGTTCACCAGTGGACGGCACCCCCGTTCAGGCCTGGCTCCTTCCATTTCCATAACCATGAGGGCACCGCAGACCAGGCTGGCGACGCCGCAGCCCCATGCCAGTGTTCACAGGCTTTTCTGCAACAGGGATAGGGACCGGCGTCTGAACCTCACTTGGATCAGACACAGCAGAGGCTGGTCTCAGTTCCCAGTCTCTCGTGAGAACCATCACACACACACCACACACATGGACAACACACAATATGCACACAACACATACCACACGTATTCATACAGATACAACACAGAACACAAACAATATATACACACCATGCATGCATAACGCACAATACACACAAAACAATACACACAACAAAATACACATCACACACATTTACATGGACAACCAAGAACACACCACACACTTGCACAACAGACAATATACACACAACATACACACAATATACAATTCACATACCACACATTCATAAAACAGCATATAACACCACACTACCACACAAATACACAAAACAATACATCATACAATATATACACAACACACAAGACATACTACACACACTCAGACAACACAACACAATACAACACAACACAAAATATACATACAAAACAATGATAACAGGACACACAACACAACACACATACAACAGTATAACACGCGACACAGTCCACACACATGCACACAGCACATGCTCACAGCTTCCTAGAGTCTAAGTCTAACCTGAGTGGGGAGCACTGGCCTGGGTTCTGGATGACGATGCTGCCTCGGGGCTAACTCAGACTTACAGAGAAGTGCATAGGATGGCTGTGGCCCACACAGACACAGTCAGGGCCTACAAAGTTCAATTCCAGTCTCTACACTGAAAAGAGACTCTACTCTGAAAGAGAGCTGTTGATGACCATTTCTCTAGTTAAACAAACTAAAGGTACGGCTCTCAGGCCCTCTGTTCCCTGCAGGCAGCCCCATCAGTGGATGGGTGCTTTGCTTCTCTGTAACCTCTCTGACAATGCTTACTATTAAACAACCTCTTTGTTTGGCTCAAGATTCACTTCCACTTGTCCATGATTCTCCAAGCTTCTTCGACCCTGAGTTGAAAGGTGAAAGCTTTTTATTTATGATTTTTTTTAAGAGATGTGATGGATATTCACAGGCATGATCATAATTCACTACAGCCTCAAGCTTCTGGGCTCAAGCGTCCTCCCATCTCAGCCTCCCAAGTAGCTGGAACTATATATATATATAGTTATATATATAGTTACATATATAGTTATATATAGTTGTATATAGTTTAGTTATATATATAGTTATATATAGTTATATAGAGTTTAGTTATACATATAGTTATATATAGTTATATATAGTTTAGTTATATATATAGTTATATATAGTTTAGTTATATATATAGTTATATATAGTTATATATAGTTTAGTTATATATAGTTATATATAGTTATATATACTTTAGTTATATATATAGTTATATATAGTTATATATATAGTTATATATAGTTATATATATAGTTATATATAGTTTAGTTATATATAGTTATATATAGTTATATATATAATTATATATAGTTATATATAGTTATATATAATTATATATAGTTATATATATAGTTATACATATAGTTATATATAGTTTAGTTATACATATAGTTATATATAGTTATATATAGTTATATATAGTTTAGTTATATATAGTTATATATAGTTTAGTTATATATAGTTATATATATAGTTATATATAGTTTAGTTATATATATAGTTATATATAGTTTAGTTATATATATAGTTATATATAGTTATATATAGTTTAGTTATATATAGTTATATATAGTTATATATACTTTAGTTATATATATAGTTATATATAGTTATATATATAGTTATATATAGTTTAGTTATATATAGTTATATATATAGTTATATATAGTTTAAGTATATATATAGTTATATATAGTTATATATATAGTTATATATAGTTTAGTTATATATAGTTATATATAGCTATATATAGTTATATATATAATTATATATAGTTATATATATAGTTATACATATATTTATATATAGTTTAGTTATACATATAGTTATATATAGTTATATATAGTTATATATAGTTTAGTTATATATAGTTATATATAGTTTAGTTATATATAGTTATATATATAGTTATATATAGTTTAGTTATATATATAGTTATATATAGTTATATATAGTTATATATAGTTTAGTTATATATAGTTATATATAGTTATATATAGTTATATATAGTTTAGTTATATATATAGTTATATACAGTTATATATAGTTTAGTTATACATATAGTTATATATAGTTATATATAGTTTAGTTATATATATAGTTATATATAGTTAAATACAGATATATATAGTTTAGTTATATATAGTTATATATAGTTAAATATAGTTATATATAGTTTAGTTATATATAGTTATATATAGTTATATATAGTTATATATAGTTTAGTTATATATAGTTATATATAGTTTTGTTTTATATATAGTTATATAGTTATATATAGTTATATATAGTTATATATAGTTTATATATAGTTATATATAGTTATATACAGTTATATATAGTTTAGTTATATATATAGTTATATATAGTTATATACAGTTATATATAGTTATATATAGTTTACTTATATATAGTAATATATAGTTATATATAGTTATATATAGTTTAGTTATATATAGTTATATATAGTTTAGTTATATATATAGTTACATATATAGTTATATATATAGTTATATATAGTTTAGTTATATATATAGTTATATATAGTTATATATAATTATATATAGTTTAGTTATATATAGTTATATATAGTTTTATATATAGTTATATATAGTTATATATATAGCTATATATAGTTTAGTTATATATATAGTTATATATAGTTTAGTTATATATAGTTATATATAGTTATATATAGTTTAGTTACATATATAGTTATATATAGTTATATATAGTTATATATATAGTTATATATATATATAGAGAGAGAGAGAGTAAATTATTTAATTCCTTCCGTAATGATTTAGAGGGACTGTCTTCAAACCAGTACAAATGTTTCATAAATAATATCTGGCCGTTTTCTAACCAATTGAGTAATTTGTTGCACAATAAGCCACCTTACAACTTTCGAGTCGATTTTAATCTATTAAATTTGAGTAGTAAAAATGTTACGTAATTAGGACACGATTAAAATGTGGTTTAAATATTTCTGTCGGGGAGAGGACGCCACACTTCTACTCAATGAAGACAAACATTTTTACGGTCCAGAGGTCTTTTATTTTATTTTATTTGAACACCTATGATGTCATGAATTCACAGGGAATAGCTTCCAGCAGCTCAGGTTCCTTCCCCTTGGTTCTCGCACCGTGAGCTTTTCTGGGTGGAGCAGGCTGCAGCTTTAGTTGAAGCAGGTACCTTTCTCTGCGGCTTCTTTCTTTTTCTGATCATTTTCCTCCACACATTTCAGGAAGCCACTTAGAGTGCTCCGTGTGCTCCATACGCACATAATTCTCTCGGCAGGAATCTTGCCCTTGTCTGTTTGCAACAGCACGCTGGAGAACGCGGTCGACTCCCAGCTTTGCCGCGGTCACACCTGCGGAGCTTCCTTTTTGAACAATATCTATTCCCTTGATGTCTACAGTATCACCTTTCTTATAGACTCGCATATACGTGGCCAAAGGAACAACTCCACGTTTTCTAAAAGGCCAGAGAACATCCATCGGGAGCCTCTCCCCTTTCCCCTCCTGTTGGTCATTTGGGCCAATGACGGAAGATGGCGGTTCCGGCCGAAAGGAAGCGTGGCTGAACTCTAGTTGTGCATTACCATGTCCATCTCTAGATGAATATTTTAACTTAAAACATAATAGCATAAGCTTCTTGGATCACTTATTATGCAATAATTCTTCCAAAAATTTGCCCAGAGATAGTGCGCTGGATGCGTCTCATCATAATTCTCTGAATATGTAAATACTAGCGTCAGTTGCTAACAAAGTATGTTTTGTAAGGCAGAACAGCTACGTAAAGGCTTTTCATTCCTTCTGCTCAGGTGTAGGAAACAGCTTTGGGGAACTGTTATTTTGTTGTTGTTTTGAGACAAGGTGTCCCTCTATCGCCCAGGTTGGAAAGCAGTGGCACAATTCCAGCTCGCTGCAGCCTCAGACTCCTGGGCTCCAGTCATCCTCCCACCTCAGCCTCCCAAGTAGTTGGGACCGCAGGTACACGCCACCATGCCTGGCTAATTTTTTTATTTTTTGTAGAGATGGGTGTTTCACTATGTGTGCAGGCTGGTCTCAAACTCCTGGGCTCAAGCAACCTCCTGTCTTGGCCTCCCAAAGTGCTGAAATTACAGGCATGTGCCACTGTGCTTGGCTAGGAAGTTTTTGTTCTCCGCTCATATTCCCTTGCTTTGAGAACGTAAACCTGTGAAGCATCTCATTGACTTTCTCAAAATATAAAATACAACCAAAATACTGTTTAGCGCTCTTGATTCATTCAGCAACATTGAAACACGCACCTACTATGTACGAGGCGGTTTGCGCGGCAGTGATGGGGAAGCTCTCTGTCTTCATGGGCCAAATACATCTGCCTGTGTATGTGTGCGTGCGTCTGTGCTCATGTGCGTGAGTGTGTGGCCGTGTATCGTGTGTGTGATCTTTTCATTGTCTTTATAGTTTTGCCTTCTCCAAAATGTCATATAGTTGGAATCACACAGTATACGGCCTTTTCAGATTGGCTTCTTTCACTTAGCAGTATGCATTTACAGCTCCTCCATGTCTTTTCATAGCTTGATAGCTCATTTCTTTTTAGTTCTGAATCATATTCCATTGTCTGAATGTGCCACAGTTTACTTATCTACCTCACTTGCTAAAGGGCAGCTCATTTGCTTCCAAGTTTGAGCAATTACAAATAAAGCTGCTATAAACATCCCTGTGCAAGTTTTCTGTATGGCCATAGTTTTCAACTCTTTTGGTTAAATACTAAGGAGCACAATTGTTGGATAATACGATAATAGTATATTTTGAGCTGGGCATGGTGGCTCACACCTGTAATCCCAGAACTTTGGGAAGCTGATGTGGGAGGATCACTTGAGCCCAGGAGGCTGAGGCTGCAGTGAGCTATGTTTGTGCCACTGCACTCCAGCCTGGGCAACAGACCAAGACCCTGTCTAGAAAAAAAAAAAAAAGAATATATTTAATTTGGTAAGAAACCACCGACTGGGCCAAACATGGTATCTCGCGACTGTAATCCCAGCAATTTCAGAGGCTTAAGGAAGCAGGAAGATCACTTGAGGCCAGGAGTAAGAAACCCTGGGCAACATAGTAAGACCCTGTCTCTGCAGAAAATTTAAAAATTAGCCAGGCATGGTGGGGCATGCCTGTAGTTTCAGCTACTCAGGAGATTGAGTTGGGAGGATTGCTTGAGCCCAGTAAAAAGGTTGAGGCTGCAGTGAGCTATGATGATATTGAGTGGAGTGCCACTGCACTCCAGCCTTGGTGAGAGAGTGACCTTTAAAAAAAAAAGAAGGAGGAGGAGGAGAAGGAGGAGGAGGAGAAGGAGGAGGAGGAGAAGGAGGAGGAGAAGGAGGAGGAGGAGAAGGAGGAGGAGGAGAAGAAGAAGGAAGAAGAAGGAGGAGGAGGAGAAGGAGCAGGAGGAGAAGGAGGAGGAGAAGGAGCAGGAGGAGGAGGAGGAGAAGGAGGAGAAGGAGCAGGAGGAGAAGGAGGAGGAGAAGGAGGAGGAGGAGGAGAAGGAAGAAGAAGGAGGAGGAGGAGAAGAAGGAAGAAGGAGGAGGAGGAGAAGGAAGAAGAAGGAGGAGGAGTAGAAGGAGGAGGAGGAAGAGGAGGAGAAGAAGGAAGAAGGAGGAGGAGGAGGAAGAGGAGGAGAAGAAGGAAGAAGAAGGGGGAGGAGAAGGAAGAATAAGGAGGAAGAGGAGAAGAAGAAGGAAGAAGAAGGAGGAGAAGGAGGAGGAGAAGGAAGAAGAAGGAGGAGGAGTAGGAGAAGGAGGAGGAGAAGGAGGAGGAGAAGAAGGAAGAAGAAGGAAGAGGAGGAGGAGAAGGAAGAAGAAGGAGGAAGAGGAGAAGAAGGAAGAAGAAAGAGGAGAAGCAGGAGGAGGAGAAGGAAGAAGGAGGAGGAGAAGAAGAAGGAAGAAGAAGGAGGAGAAGGAGGAGGAGGAGAAGAAGGAAGAAGGAGGAGGAGGAGGAGAAGGAAGAAGAAGGAGGAGGAGTAGGAGAAGAAGGAAGAAGAAGGAGGAGGAGGAGAAGGAAGAAGAAGGAGGAGGAGTAGAAGGAGGAGGAGGAAGAGGAGGAGAAGAAGGAAGAAGGAGGAGGAGGAGGAGGAGAAGAAGGAAAAAGAAGGAGGAGGAGGAGGAGGAGGAAACTGTTCTCTACAGTGGCTGCACCATTTTGCATTTCCACCAGCAGTGAAGGAGAGTTCCTGTTGCTCACTTCCTTGCCAGGATTTGGTGTTGTCAGTGTTCCAGACTGGCCTTTCTAGTTGGTGTGCAGTGGTATAACATCGTTGTTTTCATTTGTGTTTTCCTGAACATATAATGTGGAGCATCTTTTCATATGTTTGTTTGCCATCTGTATATCTTCTTTGGTGTGGGGCCTGTTAAGATCTTTAGCTCATTTTTTATTTGGATTGTTTGTGTTCTTATTGTTAAGTTTTCAGAGTTTTTTGTATATTTTGGATAACAGTCCTATATCAGATGTGTCTGTTACAAATATCTTCTCCTACTCTGTGCCTTGTCTTCTCTTTCTCTAGATATTGTCCTTCACAGAGCAGAAGTTTTAAATTTTAATGAAGTCCAACTTATAAACGATTTCTTTTATGGATTATGCCTGTGTTGGGTCATCGCCATACATAAGGTCATCTAGGTTTTCTCCTGTGTTATCTTCTAGGAGTTTTATTGTTTTGCATTTTACATTTAGGTCTATGATCCATTTTGAGTTAATTTTTTGAGGGGTATAAGATCTGTGTCTAGATTCACTTTTTGCATGTGGATGTCTAGTTGTTCCAGCACCATTTGTTGTAAAGACTATCGTTCATCCATCGTACTGTATTTCCTGTGCTCCTTTGTCAGAGTTCAGTCAGTTGTATTTATTTGGGTCTATTTCTGGGCTCTCTTCTGTTGCACTAATTTATCTTTTCATTTACCAGTACTACACTGCTACTACTATAGCTTTATAGTAATACTTGAAGATGGTAGCATCAATCCTGTCTCTCCATTTAGTTAGTTCTTCTTTGATTTCAGTCATCAGAGTTTTGTCATTTATTTCCTATGGATTTTTTTTTTTTTTTTTTGAGACAAGGTCTTGCTCTGTTACTCAGGCTGAAGTAACACATTGCACAAACATAGTTTCATGCAGTCTTAACTTCCTGGGCTCAAGGGATCCTCCCACCTAAGCCTCTCGAGTAGCTGGGACTACAGGTATACACTGCCATGCCTAATGTTTAAAAAAAAATTATTTTTTGAGATGGAGTCTCGCTCTGTCACCCAGGCTGGAGTGCAGTGGCATAATCTCAGCTCACTGCAACCTCTGCCTCACAGGTTCAATGATTCTCCTGCCTCAGCCTCCTGAGTAGCTGGGACTACAGGTATGCACCACCATCTCTGGATAAGAGGAAGTTTCTTTTTCTTTTTCTTTTTTTCTTTCTTTTTTTTTTTTTTTTTTGAGACGGAGTCTCCCTCTGTCACCCAGGCTGGAGTGCAATGGCGCGATCTCAGCTCACTGCAAGCTCCACCACCTGGGTTCAAGCAATGCTCCTGCCTCACCCTCCTGAGTAGCTAGGATTACAGGCACGCACCACCATGCCCAGCTAATTTTTTTGTATTTTTCATAGAGACAGGGTTTTACCATGTTGGCCTGGCTGGTTCCAAACTCTTGACCTCAAATGATCCACCCACCTCGGCCTCCCAAAGTCCTGGGACTACAGGCATGAGCCACCTCACTCAGCCTATAATTTTTTTTAAATCGAGCTAATTGTGTTACTCATCTTTTCCTTAGCGTTACTTATCTTTTGTAGCTTCATAGTTCAGTTTCTGATTGCAATATGTTAAAAGGTGCTGTGATGATTGAGAATTCATCTGTTTCTCCTTGTAAGTTTTTCATTTTTTATTTCATATTTTTAAGGTTTGGTTGTAAAGGGCATACAGATTCATGATTAATATATCTTCCTGATGGATTTTTTCATTTATTACCTATTATCCCTTCATTATTTTCTATAGATATTTTTGCCTAGGATTCTATATTGTCTAATATTAATATTGCCATACCAGCTTTCCATTAATTAGTACTTAAATGGTATTTTTCACACCTTTATTTTAAACCTTTCTGTGTAGCTTTGTTTTAATTATATCTTTTATTTTATTTATTTATTTATTTTTGTATTTTTAGTAGAGACGGGGTTTCACCCTGTTCACCAGGATGGGCTCAATCTCCTGACCTCGTGATCCGCCCGCCTCGGCCTCCCAAAGTGCCGGGATTACAGGCATGAGCCACTGTACCTGGCCTGTTTTAATTATATCTTGAATAAGATACACATAGCTGGAATATGTTATGTTATCCGATTTAATCTCTTTTTAAAATTAAGAATTTAACCTTTCTACATTAGTTATGAATAGTGGCATATTTACACTTATTTCTATGATCTTACTTGAGGTTTTATTTTTACCTTTTCTTTTGCTTCCTTGCTCTTCTTTCCTACCTTTGGATTGATAGAGTTTTATATATTTTTTCCTTTGCTGTTTGGAAGCTGTAGGTGATATTATTTGATTGGTTAAACTCTTTCGGTATCTGTCTTTCTAAACACAAAGGACCGTAGATACTACAACTCAGTGTGTGCTCTTCCAGAGTTTTAGTTCCAATATTTTTCCTTTTTTTTTTTTTTTTTTTTTTGAGATGGAGTCTCTCTCTGTCACCCAGGCTGGAGTGCAGTGGCGCAATCTCAGCTCACTGCAAACTCCGCCTCCCGGGTTTACGCCGTCCTCCTGTCTCAGCCTCCTGAGTAGCTGAGATTACAGGCGTCTGTCACCACACCTGGCTAATTTTTTGTATTTTTAGTAGAGACAGGGTTTCACCGTGTTAGCCAGGATGGTCTCGATCTCCTGACCTCGTGATCCACCCACCTTGGCCTCCCAAAGTGCTGGGATTACAGGCGTGAGCTACTGCGCCCGGCCAGTTCCAATCTTTTTCAATGCAAAAAAGTCATTATCACTTTATAGTGATTGTTAATAACATCTAAGGGTGCAGATGGGCAATTTCTGTGCTTGTTTTTATTTCCTGGATTCCATAGCTTTCCTTGAGTTGACTTTTCTTCTTTAATAATTCTTTATGGAGAGTCTCTGGGTACTGATTCCCTTGGTCTTTTAAGGACTGAAAATGTCTTTATTTGCCCTTTTCCTTGAATAATTAGTTGGCTGGTTTTAAAATTCTGAGTTGGCAGTTACTTTTCTCCAGCACTTGCCTTCTGGTATTTACTGTTGATGATTATTGTTTGTAATAATCTTCACATCCAATAATTATTAAATCATTCACATCTCTTTAAGCAATCTGTCTTTTCTGTCTGAAAGGTTTTAGGCCTTTAAAAATAGCTTGATGTTCTACAATTCCATTGTAACTTACATAGGTATGGATTTATCTTAATTAATTCTTTTCATTGCTTAGTGTGTACTATCAATCTTTTTTTTTCTTTTTTTTTGAGATGGAGTCTCACTCTGTCGCCAGGCTGGAGTGCAGTAGCACGATCTCACTGCAACCCGTCTCCCAGGTTCAAGCTATTCTCCTGCCTCAGCCTCCCAAGTAGCTGGGACTACAGGCGTGCACCACCATGCCTACTTTTTTTTTTGTATTTTAGTAGAGACGGGGTTTCACCATGTTGACCAGGATGGTCTCGATCTCCTGACCTTGTGATCTGCCCGCCTTGGCCTCCCAAAGTGCTGGGATTACAGGCATGAGCCACCGCACCCGGCCTTTTTTTTTTTTTTTTTAATTGAGACAGAGTTTTGCTCTTGTTGCCCAGCCTGGAGTGCAATGGTGCGATCTCCGCTAACTGCAACCCCTGCCTCCCAGGTTCAAGCAATTCTCCTGCCTCAGCCTCCCAAGTAGTTGGGATTACACGCACATGCCACTGCACTAGGCTCATTTTTTGTATTTTTAGTAGAGATGGGGTTTCACCGTGTTGGCCAGGCTGGTCTTGAACTCCTGGCCTCAAGTGATCCACTCGCCTTGGCCTCCCAAAGTGCTGGGATTACAGGTGTGAGCCACCACGCCTGGCCCCCTTCAGGCATTTTAAAGATTGACATTCTAGTCCATTGGCCTGGGTAGTCTTGGGCATGCAGTGGCTGTGAAGACCCCTGCCTGCTGTGAGGTGGAGGCAGCAGCCAGAACTCACTCCTCAGTGCGGCATCCGAGGAAGGACTTTCCTGGCTGGGAGTCATGCCTGTCACCCGTGGCTGCCTGGCTGGGTCCCTCCCGCCAGCACCTACGTGGGCCCATTGCCCCCAGGGATTTCTCAGAGACACGTCACACTCGTTCTTAAAATACTTCAGAGAGGGCCAGGCGCAGTGGCTCATGCCTGTAATTCCAGCACTTTGGGAGGCCGAGGCGGGTGGATCACGAGGTCAGGAGATCGAGACCATCCTGGCTAACATGATGAAATCCCGTCTCTACTAAAAATACAACAACAACAAAAAATTAGCTGGGCATGGCAGCGGGCGCCTGTAGTCCCAGCTACTCGGGAAGCTGAGGTAGGAGAATGGCGAGAACCCGGGAGGCAGAACTTGCAGTGAGCCGAGATTGCGGCACTGCACTCCAGCCTGGGCGACAGAGCGAGACTCCGTCTCAAAAAAAAAAAAAAAAAAAAAAAAAACTTCAGAGAGATTCCACCACCCATTGAATAAACCCCAACTTCCTGGTGTGAACCCCGGCGACAGTTCCTGTTTCCAGCTTGTTTCACCCCTTGCCAGTCTATGCTGGCAATGCCCGTGTTTGCCTGGCACTCACATGCCGCCCTCTGCCTGGCAGGCCCCTCTCCCTTCCAGCTTCAAGCCCCCGGCAGCATTCAAACCTACACTCTGGCTACACAATGGAATCACTCTGTCCAGCCCACCGCCAGCGATTCTGACTTAATTGGTCTGGGGTAGGGCTAGGTTTTTTGGTTTTAAGAACTCGGCGATTTTAAGTTGTGTTCAGGATTGACAGTGAGTGTTCTCGAGTCTGTTTAGATACCACGACCCTTAGGAAGCCTTTATAACATCTTTCTGCCCTGTGGCACCACCCAGGACTCTGGCTCACGTTGTCCCTGAGGCCAGACCCATGGA
Source organism: Homo sapiens (assembly GCF_000001405.40). Taxonomy (NCBI): domain Eukaryota; kingdom Metazoa; phylum Chordata; class Mammalia; order Primates; family Hominidae; genus Homo; species Homo sapiens. Next base: position 158,712,149 of record NC_000007.14, on the reverse strand, counting down.
TATGGGCTTGACTGTGCCTGGTGCCACCAGCACTGCATCCCCTTCCCCTCAGCTCACCAGATCCGAATCCCCACCTTGGCTCCTCTCTATTCATACTCTTGCTGGTAAATTTTTATTTATTTATTTTTAGTAAATTAATTTCTTTTTGAGATGGAGTTTTGCTCCGTTGCCCAGGCTGGAGTGTGATGGCGTGATCTCGGCTCACTGCAACCTCTGCCTCCCAGGTTCAAGTGATTCTCCCGCCTCAGCCTCCCGAGTAGCTGGGATTACAGGTGCCCACCACCACACCCAGCTAATTTTTGTATTTTAGTAGAGACAGTGTTTTGCCATGTTGGCCAGGCTGGTCTCGAACTGCTGACCTCAGGTGATCCACCCACAGGCCTGAGCCACCATGACCAGTCATAAATTTTTTTTTGAGAGGGAGTCTCGCACTGTCGCCCAGGCTGGAGTGCAGTGGTGCGATCTCGGCTCACTGCAACCTCCGCCTCCCGGGTTCATGCCATTCTCCTGCCTCAGCCTCCTGAGTAGCTGGGACTACAGCCTCCCGCCACCACGCCTGGCTAATTTTTTTGTATTTTTAGTAGAGACGGGGTTTTGCCAGGATGGTCTCGATCTCCTGACCTCGTAATCCGCCTGCCTCAGCCTCCCAAAGTGCTGGGTTTACAGGCATGAGCCACCGCGCCCGGCCGTGAATTTTTTTTTTTTTTTTTTTTTTTTTGAGACGGAGTCTTGCTCTGTCGCCCAGGCTGGAGTGCATTGGCGCAATCTCGGCTCACTGCAAGCTCCGCCTCCCGGGTTCACGCCATTCTCCTGCCTCAGCCTCCCGAGTAGCTGGGACTACAGGTGCCCGCCACCACACCCGGCTAATTTTTTTGTATTTTTAGTAGAGACGGGGTTTCACCATGTTAGCCAGGATGGTCTCGATCTCCTGACCTCGTAATCCGCCTGCCTCAGCCTCCCAAAGTGCTGGGTTTACAGGCATGAGCCACCGCGCCCAGCCGTGAATTTTTAATAACAGCTTTATTGAGATACAGTTTTATACCATAAAATTTACCCTTTTAAGCATACAACTGTGTGGCCTTAGTAAACCCACAAGGTTGTGCAACCATCACCACTATCTAATTTTAGATAATTTTCGTCACCCCAAAACCACAGCCATTAGTAGTCACTCCCCACGCCCTCTCCTCAGTCTCTGGCAACACCTAATCTGCTTCCTGCCTCTGTGGATTTTACAGTCATGTGGACCTTCCATATAAATGGAGTCCTACAATCCGTGACCTCCGTGTCTGGCTTCTCTCACTGAGCATGATGTTTCAAGGGTCATCTGCACTGTAGGGGTGTCAGAGCCTCATTCCTTCTACAGCTGAGTCATATTCTATTGTGGGAAAAGACCACACTGTGTTTCTCCATTTGTCTGTTGATGGACACTTGGGTTGTGTCCACTTTCTCAGTCATGCTATGAGCTTTAAGAGGACAGTGATTGTCCCGCGTTAACGCCTGGCTTGGGCAGGTGCTGAGGAGCCACTCATCGCGCAGTCCGATTCTCAGCTGTTTCAGGTTCAGCCTGGAGCAGGAACCTCAGCTTTATTGATTTTATACTCGAGTCATTCACGTTTCCTCTTTTTACATGTTTTCTGAGATCAGTTTCTTCTAACCTGTGCATTAGGATCACTTGGGGAGGTTAAAAAATATGAATGCAGGCCGGGTGTGGTGGCTCACGCCTGTAATCCGAGCACTTTGGGAGGCCGAGGCGGGAGGATCACGAGGTCAGGAGATCAAGACCATCCTGGCTAACACAGTGAAAACCCGTCTCTACTAAAAATACAAAAAAATTAGCCGGGTGTGATGGCGGGCGCCTGTAGTCCCAGCTACTCAGGAGGCTGAGATGGGAGAATGGCGTGAACCTGGGAGGTGGAGCTTGCAGTGAGCCGAGATTGCGCCATTGCACTCCAGCCTGGGCGACAGTGTGAGACTCTGTCTAAAAAAAAAGAATGCCCAGGGAATCCCCGGTTGAATTGATCGATTTGATTGAGTTGGCCAGGAAGCCTAGCCTTTAGTATTTTTAAAGCAGCTGAAGTAGTTTTCATGGGCAGCCATGGTTGAAAACGTTTGCCCTCGATGGTTTATCTTGTTCTCCTTTGAGTAACCACTAAGGAGATACCCCTGAGCTCACCTCCCGTGCCTGAGCTCCGCATCCCTGGACCCATGCTGCGACGTCCCCGAGGACCCCAGGGGGATTGGGGGGGGGGCTGCTCACTTTCCTCTTCACTTTTGCCCCTGCAGTCTTCCCTAGGTCACAGCTGCAG